>NC_000003.12:62737272-63040303 GCF_000001405.40 Homo sapiens | reverse complement strand
AATACATCCATACAGTCATCTGCAAACCAAAGCTCCTAGATTAAAATATTGAAAGATAACCATGGATCACCAATAGTAATGATGACAACTAATACTTATTAAGTGCCTACTATGTGTCAGGCAATGTGCCAAGGTGTTCCTGCATTATCTCACTGATACATCATAATAACCCCATGAGATAAGCACTGATATTATCCCCATTTAATGGATGAAGAAGGTAGGTTCCAGAGGTGTTAAGTAACTTCTCAGGGATCACATAGCTAGTGAGTGTCAGAACCAGTCGGGGTCCACGTAGATCAGACTCCAAATCCCCCACCCCACACTAGTGTGCCATATAACCTCTTGGCGAGGCATTATTAACACAAAGGAAAGATAAGCAAATTCCAGAAAGACATTCTTCTAAGAAACAGCAACTATGACACAGTGTTAAATCAAATTTAAAACCACGCCAAAAAAAAAAAAAAAGAAAAGAAAAAGAAAGAAACATTGGTTCTTTCTCCTTACATTTTTTCATCAAAACTCACAATCCCATTATGCTTATTGCTCCTCTTGTTCCAGTTCCTTCATAAACAGAAGTTTCAATTGCCAGCTTCTTGGAAGTCACTGTAATTAGATTTACTTATCTTCTCTTTAATCGTTTTATATTTTTCCTCTCTCAACTTTTCTATACAAAGGAAGAAAAGTATCACTTTTCTTTTACTGTTTATTTCTTTTTCAGGAAGCCTTAGAAAGTTTTATATGATTTGTCTTTACTTTCTCAAATTCCACCTTTTCCAGAAAAAAATATAGCATATTCAAGAGGAAGAAAAGCAGGGGAGTTTGGCTTCAATTATTTGTCTTTTAAATGAGACTGGAGAAGATATCACTGAAGGTGGAAGAATATTCCCATTCATTCATGCATTAAACACATATGATCACAAAGCTCTTGGTCCTTTGATAGGTTTATTGAAGCATTCAGTCTAATGGAGGAGAAACATCAGTCAGGTAATCATGTCAATGAATGTATAGTTGCATTGAGAGTTGTGGGGAGGAGATTTTCAGGGTTCAGTAAAAAAATCATAAGCTCTGATGAATCATAAAGGTCAAGGGGGCTTTTCTGAGAAAGGGACATGAGCTAATTTAACTAGAAGAAGGGGGAGAGGACAGGGTCAAGAATGTACTGGGCAGTGAGATCAGCACATGCAATGGCCCTATGGGGAGGATTTATAAGAAGACAGATATGGCTAGGGCAGAAAATGAGGAGTATGCTATGACTAAAGCAGGAGACAGGGACTGGGCCATGCCTGACCATCCAGGCCAGGATGTGGATTTTGGATTTTTATCTCCAAAACAATGCACACACTGAAGGATATGGATCAAGAAGATAGGTCACAAAGATTAGGGTTGTGAAAGGATCGTTGCAGTGGTTATGATTTACAAAAAATAATTCCCCATAGAAAGACTTTGTTCATCATCTTGGCTTTTGACACTACTCAGCAAGACTCAAACAAATTTTTTCCAGTAGGTGGAGAAGATGTTCGCTTCAGTGGCATGATTTCAGGAACCCTAGCCCCTAAAGTCCTTGCCATTGAATTGTGCAGTGAAGGAATCTCCCCAAATACTATGTCATTAGCAGAGAAGTCAGTGAACAGACAACCTACAGAATAGGAGAAAATATTTACAAATTATACAACCAACAGAGGACTAATATCTAGAATCTACAAATAACTCAAACAACACAACAATAGCAACAAAAAAACCAATAACCCCATTAAAAAGTGGGCAAAGGATATGAATAGACATTTTTCAAAAGAAGATGTATAAATGGACATCAAGCATATGAAAAAAATGCTCAACATTACTAATTATCAAAGAAATGCAAATTAAAACCACAATGAGATACCATCTTACACCAGTCAGAGTGACTATTATTAAAAAGTCAAAAAACAACAGAAGTTGGTGAGGATGTGGAGAAAAGGAAACATTTGTACACTGTTGGTGGCAATGTAAATTAGTACAACATCTATGGGAAAATAGAATTAATATTTCTCAAAGAACTGAAAACAAAACTAACATTTGATCAAGCAATCACCTTATTGTGTATCTACCCAAAGGAAAATCATTATGTTAAAAAGATATCTGCCCTCATATGTTTATTGCAGCCCTATTCACAATAGCAAAAACATGGAATCAACCTAAATGTCCATCAACAGATGACTGGATAAAGAAAATATATAAACACAATGGAATGCTCTTTAGCCATAAAAAAGAATGAAATTATGTCTTTTGCAGCAACATGGATGGAACTGGAGGGCCATTATCTTAAGTGAAACAACTCAGAAACAAAAAGTGAAGTGCCTCATGTTCTCCCTTAAAGTGGGAGCTAAATAATGTGCACACATGGACATGGAGTGTGGAATGATAGACATTGGAGACTCCAAAGGGTGGTAGGGCGGGAGGTAAGTGAGAGATGAAAAATTAATTAATGGGTACAATGTACATTATTTAGGTGATGGATATTCGAAAAGGCCAGACTTACAACTATGTAATATATCCATGTAACAAAACTGCACTTGCACCCCTTAAATTTATACAAATAAAAAAACAGGTATGGTATCCTAAGCTCCCAAGACCTAAGAATACTTTAGCATGAATTCATTTCTCAATCTTTTGTAGTGAACAAAACCCTTTGGGAACCATCATGATCAGCAGCAGTGGCATCTCTACATTTAAATAGGTCTTCCAGAATTTATGAAACACATTCATAAACATTATTTGAAGTTAATAATAATAGTAATTACTTGCAAATGCTAGCCAAGTACTCGTGATTTCTCTAATTTGATCTTTACCACATTCTGTAGATAGGTAAAGAACAATTATCTCATTTTAGAGATGAAGAATCTGAAACGCAGAGAGATCCAGTGAATTACTGAAGGTAATTCGCAAGTGACCAATCTGGGGCCTGAACCCAAGAGTGCTGAATTCTAGTCTGGTATTTCACAACTGCATACTTGGGCAGCTTAGCAAATGACTGCCTGGATTTAATTATTGGCTTCACCACTTACTAACCATGTGAACTTGGACGAGTTTTTGACTTTTCTGAGGCTCAGTTTCCTGATCTATAAATATGAATAGTAATAGAACTACTTAAAAGAATAGTAAAAATTAAGTCAGTACTTTTAATATGCTTAGAACAGCCTAATACATTGTAAAGGCTCAATAAATGTTAGGCATTATTATTACATTATTTTTATATGCTCCACTATACTGTGAAGTTTGGGGTAGGCCAGGGAAATGCTTAAAAATAATAACACTTTTAGATGAAGAGCTAAAATTTATCAGGCAGATATTCTTAGTGTTTTAGATATTTTACAATAAAGTAGGGATTATTATTATTTCCTTTTTTTTTTTTTTTTTTTTTTTTTTTTTTTTTTTTACTGACAAAGACATTGAAGCATGGTATATTAGTCCATTCTCATACTGCTATAAAGAAATAGCTGAGACTGGGTAATTTCTAAAAGAAAAAAGTTTAATTGACTCACAGTTCTGCATTGCTGGAGAGGCCTCAGAAAACTTACAGTTATGGTGGAAGGCACAGGAGAAGCAGATCTTACAAGAAGGCAGGCAAGAATGAGCATGTGTCAGTGCAGGAAAATCTACCATTTATAAAACCATCAGATCTCATGAGAATTCACTCACTATCAGGAGAACAGCAATGGGGGAAACTGCCCCTATAATCTAACCACTTCCCAGCAGGTCTCTTCCTAAACACCTGGGGATTACAATTTAAGATGAGATTTGGGTGGGGACACAAAGCCTAACCATATCACATGGAGATTAAAGTGACTTGTTCAAAGTCCCCAAACTAAAATGTGGCAGTGCCAATGTTTGAAGCCAGGTTAATCTGATCTGTAAGGCAGCATGCCTGGGAGCCTTGCTGACTTGCTTGAAATCATTGGAACTTATTGAGAAGCCCCAGGTGGCAAAGGTAACAGGAAGGTACCAGGAATTTAGGGTTGGAGATAAAGAAGATAATTGGAAACAGATATTCTTTCTGGCTAGTTGAGTAGACTGACAAAGTTTTTAAGGACTGAGAATTTAAAAGACACATACATACACATCTGCAGAGAAAGAAGAAGGTGTTAGTGGAAGCATAAAGTATCTTTGTCAGTGACATGCTGGACATCTTTAGATGAAAGTATTACAGGGTAAAGCTTAGAAACTAAGATCTATAAGGCGGCCCAGCCAAGAAAAACAAAAACAAAAAACAAAACAGATTGTGTTTCAGTTGAAGAGATTATCCAATGATTTAGTATAGAATTTATTTTATTTCCAATAAATATTTTCCATATCTTTATTTCTTAAAACCATTTCTGACCAGGTGCAGTGGCTTGCACCTGTAATCGCAGCATTTTGGGAGGCCGATGTGGGTGGATCATCTGAGGTCAGGAGTTCGAGACCAGCCTGACCAACATGGAGAAACCCTGTCTTTACTAAAAATACAAAATTAACCAGGAATGGTGGCGCATGCCTGTAATCCCAGCTACTCAGGAGGCTGAGGCAGAGAATTGCTTGAACCTGGGAGGCGGAGGTTGCAGTGAGCCGCAATTACACCACTGCACTCCAGCCTGGGCAACAAGAGTGAAACTCCATCTCAAAAAAAAAAAAAAAAAGTTTCTTGCTATTCATCCTGGTTCATCCATGCCTCGAGTGAAAGGGTTAATTATTAATGTTCAGGGAAACTACTTTTGTACCCAAGTTTAAGGGTATCCGATAATACTAGTCCAATCTTTTAAATGAATAGGTAATATAAAATATGTTCAAGGAGCAAACAGCATATTCATTTGATTCAAGAATAAAATTTGGTCTGTCAAACTGAGGCTTGTGTGTTCTCTATTTGGCAATCCAAAGCTGAGATCATCTTGTGGAATTCCTGTCCATGCTCCTCAATTTTAGAAGTATTTCCATCTTCCATCTGCATGATGCCACCAAATTTAAGATTTTTGTTTCAGACATGTGAGCTTCTCTTTATGGTGAGAAATGATCACCAATACCAGGTAAAATAATTAGATTAGAATAAAATGGAAAACAAAGAGCTCTGTTACCAAAATAAAAAAAGAGTCCTTATAAATTTTATGCAGCATTCCCATGTGGTCAAGATTTGTTTATTTAAAAACGATATTGGGATTAGAAATCAAATAAATATTGCATATTGTACCATTCAGAGCTTTCACAAGACCATATTATATGCTGGCAATAGCAATAGTATCATACCCTGTGTATTTATTTGATTATCATAATCATATTGTCACCTTGAAATCCTACCCTACCTTACTGTGAAGTATAAATGACTAATAAATAAGGAGGCATTTCATAAAACAACCCAAATAATTCTAAATTATGCCATTAATGTAGCAGGGAATGCTTGACTCAGAAAGATCATACTGTACATGTCCATGTCTGATTCCATTTACCATTCATTTGATCTGGCACCACAGCTCTGTGATAGAATGCAGGACCATCTCAACCTCACCTAAAGTAGATAGTCTTTCCTAAATAAAGACAAAGCTAAAGACCCATTATTGTAACCAATACATGTGTATTGAATGTTTTTTCATTAGTAGTTATAGATCACAAAAATGTATTTAAATTATTAAATTAGTTTAAGCTTTCTGAAAAGGACTTGAACTGCCATGACAATTGTTTGGTTTTCAAGATGGCAAGCCAAGGTTATGGAGGTAGTGAGGGGTCACGAAGGCTTAGTCTTTGTCCACGTGGATCTTACTAACCATTCAAAATGTCAAATTCAAGTTTCAGCCACATCAGAATTTATTAGCTGAGAAAGATAATTCTGTAGGCCCTTCTTGCAATCTAAGAAAAATCCTAGATATCTCTCATTCTACCCGGTCATTACCAGTTGCTAAGTTGGGTTGTATGTATGTAAAAATAAAAAAGGACTGAATTTGAGTGAGGCTAAATATAGAAGCCCAAATCCAGATTCTATTGTATTAGAATTCCACATGACTCAACCAATTCCCATAGGCTGACAAGCAGTCTAATTTTAAATCTGGAGGACTTTATAAAGTAAAAAAAATTTCCTAATTAGGTAAGGCATTTACTTGTCATTCTTCACTTTTGGTAGTTATCAGTAAAAAGTCATTTACATTTTGAACTCAACATTTTCAGAGTTTCCAATTTTACTCCAAGCCCCATTTGACTTCCAAGAAATGAACTAATTATCTTAGATGGGGTACAATCACCAAACGACTGTGGTAACTGAGCTGGAATTTCAGTAAGCAGAGCTTTAGCTACAGTGACGAGACTTAACTGTCACTCACACTGACCAAATCTCAAAGGCAAGATAAATGATAGAACCTCATTTAATTACCATTTATTCTTCATGAGAGTAGAAATTATTATAAATTATGCAGATAAGTAATTCATCATGGGGAATATGCCAAAAACACTATGTCTATGATATTAAATAACGTTGACTCAAGGCTTCAAGAAAATTAAAATTGTAAAGCAACAGGATAAAGTTTGCCCTAATACTTAGTACAAATGAAGTCTCCCTTCTTGTTTGAATATTTG
This sequence comes from Homo sapiens, assembly GCF_000001405.40. Classification (NCBI taxonomy): domain Eukaryota; kingdom Metazoa; phylum Chordata; class Mammalia; order Primates; family Hominidae; genus Homo; species Homo sapiens. The sequence goes on along the minus strand of NC_000003.12, from coordinate 63,033,733 downwards.
TAGTCCTACCTATCCTACCTATTCTTTGATCATTGTTCAATTATGCAGTGCAAAAAGATACTAAAAACTTTATTAAAATTTATTTCAAACCAGTTCATTAGGTATTTATTCTGTGATTACTATGCACACAGCCTTGCTAGTTCACAGGGCCATTTTGGTGTCACTGGAATTCAAGGTTGTATTCCCAGTCCATTTTTTAAAATAGTGAAAATAGTAAATGAGTCATTCCTTTATCCCAACACTACTCTCCTAAATTCTTGAAACTTCAGGTTTCCAAATTCATAAGAATTTGTTTTTTTTTTTTTTTTTTGTCTTATCAAAATCTGAAGTTCCGGCTTGTGTGCTGATGAATGAGATGACAGCCTCTTCTAAAATTGTACAAGTAGAATTGATAAGGTCAACCCTATGACACAGAGCTAGCCATGAGATAAACAAGCTTTGATAAGGGGTTACAGAGGTTTGTGAGAGGGAGGGGGGTTTAGATGAAGCACTGTAATAGGGAGTACAGAGCCACCATCAGAAGAAGCAATGTGGGGGCACTGGGATCCTAAAGAGCTGGGAGACTCCTTCAAGAAAAAGAGAGAAAAAAAATGATGACAGAAATGACTAGTTCTACAGTCATGTGTTATTTCATGATGGGGATACTTTCTGAGGAATGCATCATTAGGCAATTTTATCATTGTGCAAACACCATAGGATATACTTACACTAACCTAGAGTGTATAGCCTGCTACATACCTAGGCTATATTGTGTAGCCTCTTGCTCCTAGGCTACAAACCCAAACTGAATACTACAAGTAACTATAACACAATGAGTAGTATTTGTTTATCTAAATATATCAAAACATTGAAAAGGTACAGTAAAAATACAGTACAAAAGATAAAAAATGTTCTACTTACCTGGGGCGCATAATGTGACTGGAGCTTACACAAATGCAAGTTACTCTGGGTGAGTCAGTGAGTGAGTGGGTGCATGAAGGTGAAGGCCTAGGACATTACTGTACACTACTGTAGACTTTATAAACACTGCACACTTAGGTACACTGAATTTATAATCTTATGGGACCATTGCTGTATATGTGGTCCATCCTTGATGAAAACATTGTTATGTGGCAAATGACTATACTATACTACCATTTTTGAATGCATAATGTCCCAGGAAACACACTAAGCACTTTACATACATTAGCTCACTAAATCCTCATCATAATAACCATTCTGTACTGCTCCTCAGGTTTTAGCTGAAAAAACTGAGCCATGGAGAAGTTGACTTTCCCAAAGGCACATAAAGCTGGGAAGTGGCAGAGCCACGAAATGAAACAAGAGCTACATTCTAGTCCCTCACAAAAACAGATTTCACAAATCTGAGGGTTGATACTGCTTGGATCATGACAGCACAGGTGTGTGGAGTTAGTTTCCATTCAGTAAATAGCAGCTCAATTGGCTAGAGACAAAACCCTAGGAGTAATCCCTAAGTGACCCTTTCTTCAGCCTCCAGTCCATCTTGTCAGTTCTACCCACAAAGTGTACCCCAAATCTGATACCATTCTCCAACTCCACTGCTTTGCCCTGGCTCCAAGAAGCCATCATCTCTTACCTAGACTATTACAATAGTCTCCAGATGGTCTCCTTGCTTTCACTCTTGACCTCTTACTCATTCTCCACTTAGCAGCCAGAGTGACAATTTTTTAAAGTACATCTGATTATGACACTACCCTGTTTGGAACATTCCAAGAGCTTCCCATCACTTTTAGAATAAAATCCAATATCTTTTCCACAGCCTACCAGGTCCTTCAGCATCTGTTCTGTCTACCTCTTCAAATTCATCTGCAATAACTCTTCTTTTTTTTTTTTTTTTTTTTGAGACAGGATCTTGTTCTGTCACCCAGGATGGAGTGCAATGGCAGGATCATGGCTCGGCTCACTGTGGCCTCAACCTCCTGGACTCAGGTGATCCTCTCACTGCAGCCTCCCAAGTAGCTGGGACTATAGGCACATACCACCATGCCCAGCTGTATGTTTTTGTATTTTTTTGGAAAGATGGGGTTTCATCATGTTGCCCAGGTTGATCTCGAACTCCTGAGCTCAAGTGATCTACCCACCTTGGCCTCCCAAAGTGCTGGGATTACAGGTGTGAACCACTGTGCCCTGCCCATCTGCAGTAGCTCTTATCCCGTCACACTTTCATTTGTTTATACTGGCCCTCCTCTTCCTTGAATAACCCAAGAATTTCTCCATCCTGGGGCCACTGCTCCCCCCTGCTGCTGGGAGTGCTTTTCATTCAGGTCTTCTCAACATGGTCTCTGCTTTTTTACCCAGGTTCCACTTAAAACATCTTTTCTTCCATGAACCCTTCTTTGAACCCTTAATCACATTGGCCCCATCCCCTCTAGCCACCCTGTTTTTGTTCTTCATAACACTTGTCACTATCTGATAGTCTAACATCTATTACTTACTTATTATCTGCCTCTCCCTATCTCCAATATAATTTCCAGCTGTCTTTTCCCTTCATTTCCCAGCATTATGAACATGACCTGGAGCATATTAGTTTACTCACAAAATATTGATGATTGTATGACTGAATGAATAAAGATTGAACAAAGTGAGGCTCAGAGAAATTATATGGAACTTAATCTGTGGCTTCTGTGGCTAGTTCAACATGAAGTCAGCATCAGTAAGCAAGATCCAGGAAGTGCTGAAATCTCTAAGTGTTGGGGAACACAGATGAGTACAGCTCAAGGAGTCAAAGGAGAGCTGGTATTTGAGCTAAGTCTTAAAAAGGGTAGGATGCAGACACGAAGGTGAGGGCAATCAAAGCAGGGTACAGCGTGGGCAAAGGCAGAGAGGTGGAGACATTCAGGGCAGGCGTGCTCCCCTACACGAACAAAATATCAAATTGGCAGAGATAAGCAAAGAAGAGAAAAGCGTTGACACATCAGCTTCCCACTCTGCAGCCTTCAAGACTGTGGGAGAGTTTTTGCAACTGACACTAGAGTTAAGGGATTCTTAATTGTACCTTTTTTATTTTTTAGCTCGGCTGCTGCAATGCCTAGCCTATTTCTACTCTGCTTCCATTATGAAGTTCTCACACAGCTCAAATTTAATTACTTTTATCTGACTTATACTCTAAGAACACAGCTACAGTAGTACCTGGTGGTGGGTGGGAAGTAGTGGGGATCAGGAGGTTAGGCTTTTAACTCACCTTGCGACCTTGGACCTGTAATACAAGTGTGCTTGGGAGGACATTTTTATTTCCCCCCTGCCCCTCTCCCTCCCCTCCCCCTCCCCTCCCCTTCCTCTTCCTCCTCTTCTTGTTCTTTTGTGATACGGTGTCTCTATCTCTGTGGTCCAGTGGCATGATCAGAGCTCACTGCAGCAGCCTTAACCTCCTGGCTAATTATTTATTTATTTATTTTTGAGACAAACTCTCACTATGTTGTCCAGGCTGGTATCAAACTCCTGGCTTCAAGCTATTATTTTGCTTCAGCCTCCCCAAGTACTGGGATTACAGGCATAAGCCACCTTGCCTGGCCAGTTTTCAATTCTTTTATAGCTCAGTTTACCCACCTGGTAATATCTCACCACAACACTACATTTCTAGAATTCTGTGGTTTGACCCAGAGAATTGATTGTCACTCACTGAGTCCTCAAGCAATTCACTCTATTGTTCAGTCATGCAGTGTTTATTGGTTGTCTGTTTAATGTGCCAAAAACTGTGTGGCTTAAAAACAACAGGATGCAGCCATAAAAAAGAATGAGATTATGTCTTTTGTAGGAACGTGGATGGAGCTGGAGGCTATTATCCTTAGCAAACTAATGCAAGAACAGAAAACCAAATACTACATGTTCTCACTTATAAATGAGAGCTAAATGATAAGAACTTACAAACACAAAGAAGGAAACAATAGACCCTGGAGCCTAATTAAGGAAGGAGAGTAGGAGGAGGGAGAGGAGCAAAAAAGATAACCACTGGGTACTGGGCTTAATACTTGGGTGATGAAATAATCTGTACAACAAACCCCCATGACACAAATTTACCTATATAACAAACTTTCACATGAACCCCCGAACCTAAAATAAAAGTTAAAAAAAATCAGGAATTTATTGTCTCACAGTTCTGGAGGCCAGAAGTCCGAAATCAGGCTGTTGACAGGGACACACTTCCTTCAAAGGCTGTAAAGGGGAAGAATTTTTCCACGCCTCTTCCAGCTTCTGATAGCCCCAGGCATTCCTTGGCTTGTGGTAGCATAACTCTGATCTCTGGCTCTGTCTTCACAGGCCTTTTTCTCTGTCTCTCTTTTTATAAAAATACCAGTCATTGGATTTAGAATCCACCCTAAGTCCAGGATGATTTCATCTTAAGATCTGTATTTAATTACATCTGCAAAGGCCCTATTTCCAAATAAGCTCACAGTCATAAGTACTGGAGTTTAGGACTTGAATATGTATCTTTTGGGGGGGCCTCAATGCAACCCACTACAGTGAGCTGTAAAGAGTTCAGGTCCTGAGTCAAAAAGCCTTGACTCAAAATCCACTTCCACCACTTCCTCAATGTTGACTTTGAACAATGTACTAAAGGTAATCATCTAGCATTGTCCAGAGGATTAAATAAAAACATATATGGCACCCTGGAATATGACTGGCACACAGACAGTGATATGGTTTGGGTCTGTGTCCCCACTCAAATCTCATCTCAAATTGTAATCCCCCCATGTCAAGAGAGGGACATAGTGGGAGGTGATTAAATCATGGGGACAGTTTTCCTCATGCTGTTCTCACCCTTGTGAGTTCTCACACAATCTGATGGTTTAAAAGCGTGTGGCTTCCAGTATCACCCTAATACCAAAATCATGAAAAGACATAACAAAACAATAAAACTACAGGCCAATATCCCTGATGAATATAGATGCAAAAATCCTTAACAAAATACTAGTTAACCAAATTGAACAGTATAGCAAAAATATAACCTGTTCAAGTGGGTTTCATACCAGGGTTGCAGGGATGGCTTACCATACGCAAGTCAATAAATGTGATGCACCATATAAATAGAATTAAAAACAAAAATCGCATGGTCATCTAAATAGACACAGAAAAAGCATTTCACAAAATCCAACAACAGTTTTTGATTAAAATCCTCAGCAAATTGGCATAGAAGAGATATACCTTAATGCAATAAAAGGCATCTATGACAAACCCACAGCCAACCTAATACTGAACAGGGAAAAGTTAAAAACATTCCCCCTGAGAAGTGGAACAAGACAAGGACACTCAACCTCACCACTTCTATTCAACATAGTACTGGAAGCCACAGCCAGAGCAATCAGACAAAAGAAAGAAAGAAAGGGCATCCAAATCAGTAAAGAGGAAGTCAAACTGCCGCTGTCTGTTGTTGATATGATTGTATACCTAGAAAACCCTAAAGACTTGTCCTAAAAGCTGCTAGAACTGATAAATTCAGAAAAGTTTCAGGATACAAAATTAATGTACACAAATCAGTAGCTCTGCTATATCCCAACAGTGCTGATAATGAAATCAAGAACTCAACCCCTTTGGCAATAGCTGCAAAAATAATAATAATAAAATACTTACGACAATACCTAACCAAGGAGGTGAAAGACCTCTACATGGAAAACTACAAAACACTGCTGGAAGAAAGCACAGATGATACAGACAAATAGAAACACATCCCATGCTCATGGATGGGTAGAATCAATATTGTGAAAGTTACCATACTGCCAAAAGCAATCTACAAATTCAATGCAATTCCCATCAAAATACCACCATCATTCTTCATAGAACTTGAAAAAAAACAATCCTAAAAGTCATATGGAACCAAAAAAGAGTCTCACTGTTGTTGCCCAGGCTAGAGTGCAGTAGCGCAATGTCGGCTCACTGCAACTTCCGCCTCCCAGGTTCAACTGATTCTTCTGCCTCAGCCTCCCGAGTAGCTGGGACTACAGATGCATGCCACCACACTTGGCTAATTTTTGTATTTTTTGTAGAGACAGGGTTTCACCATCTTGGCCAGGCTGGTCTCACACTCCTGACCTCAGGTGATCCACCCGCCTCGGCCTCCCAAAGTGCTAGGATCACAGGCATGAGCCACTGCACCTGGCCAGTATTCTTTATAGTAGTGTGAAAATGGATTAATACAGAAAATTGGTACTAGGAGAGTAGGACACTTCTACAAAGATACCTGAAAATGTGGAAGTGACTTTGGAACTTGGTAATAGGCAGAGATTGGAGGAGATTGGAGGGCCTAGAAGAAGACAGGAAGATGAGTGTAAGTTTGGAACTTCCTAGAGACTTACTGAATGATTTTGACCAAAATGCTAATAGTGATATGGACGATGAAGCCCAGGCTGAAGTGGTCTCAGATGGAGATGAGGAACTTATTAACAATGGTGTAAAGGCACTCTTGCTATGCTATAGCAAAGAGACAGACAGCATTTTACTCCTGCCCTAGAGATCTGTGAAACTTTGAACTTCAGAGAGATGATTTAGGGTATCTGGCAGAAGAAATTTCTAAGCAGCAGAGCATTTAAGATGTCACCTGACTTTTCTAAAAGTGTACACTCGTGTGAAGAAAGAGATGGCCTGAAATTGGAACTTACATTTAAAAGGGAAGCAGAGCATAAAAGTGTGGAAAATTTGCAGCCTGACCAGCAGTAGAAATGAAACACCCTTTTTCTGGAGAGAAATTCAAAGCCAGCTGCAGAAATTTGCATAAGCAATGAGGAGCCAAATGTTAATCATCAAGACAATTGGGAAAATGTCTCTAGGTCATGTCAGAGATATTCACAGCAGCCCTTCCCGTTACAGGCCCAGAGGCCTAGGAGGAAAAATGCTTTCAGGGGCTGGGCCCAGGGCCCTGCTTGTGCTCTGTGCAGCTTCGGGACTTGCAGCCCTTTGTGCCAGCTGCTCCAGCCCCACCAGTGGCTAGAAGGGGCCAAGGGACAGTTTGGGCCATTGCCTCAGAGGGTGCAAGCCCTAAACCTTGGTGGGTTCCATGTGGTGTTGCACTCGCAAGTGTACAGAAGGCAAGAATTGAGGTTTGGGAACCTCCACCTGTATTTCAGGGAATGTATGAAAAAGCCTGAACGTCCAGGCAGAGGGTCTGCTGCAGGGGCATGGCCCTCATGAAAAGCCTCTACTACAGCAGTACGGAGGGGAAATCTAGGGTTGGAGCCCCCACACAGAGTCCCCACTGGAGTACTGCCTATTGGAGTTGTGAGAAGAGAGCCACTGTCCTCCACATCTCAGAATGGTAGATCCACCAGTAGTTTGCACTGTGCACCTGGAAAAGCTGCAGGCACTCAATGCCAGCCCACGAAAGCAGCCAAAGGGGGTGTACCCTGCAGAGCCACAGGGGTGGAGCTGCCCAAGGCTGTGGGAGCCCACTCCTTGCATCAGTGTGCTCTGGATATGAAATATGGAATCAAAGGAGATTTTGAAGCTTTAAGATTTAATGGCTTTCCTGCTGGGTTTTGGACTTGCACAAGGCCTCTAGCCCCTTTTTTGGCCAATTTCTCCCTTTTGCAATGGGAGCATCTACCCAGTGCCTGTACCCCCACTGTACTTGGAAGTAACTAATTTGCTTTTTATTTTACAGGCTCATAGGTAGAAGGGAATTGCCTTGTCTCAGATGGGACTTTGGACTTGAACTTTTGGATTAATGCTGGAATGAGTTAAGACTTTAGGGGACTGTTGGAAAGGCATGACTGCGTTTTGAAATGTTAAAAGAATATGAGATTTGGGAGGGGCCAGGGGCAGAATGATATGGTTTGGCTCTGTGTCCCCACCCAAATTTCATCTCCAATTGTAATCCCCATGTGTAAAGAGAGGGACCTTGTGAGAGGTGATTGGATCATTGGGGCAGTTTCTCCCATGCTGTTGTCAGGATAATGAGTTCTCAAGAGATCTGATGGTTTAAAAGTGGCAGCTTCCTCTATGTGCTCTCTCTCTCTCCTGCCACCCTGTAAGACGTGCCTTGCTTCCCCTTCACCTTCTGCCACGATTGGAAGTTTCCTGAGGCCTCCCCAGTCATGCAGAACTATGAGTCAATTAAACTTTCTTTATAAATTACTCAGTCTCAGGTAGTTCTTTATAGGAGTGTGAAAACAGATTAATACAGCCGGTTTTAATAAATGTTATGCTTATTGTAACTATTGTTCTCTTTAGCAAAGTATTTCCAATGATGGAATTGTCTGTTCATCAAGAAAACAAATTTGTGTCCATAGCAAATCACTACAGGGGAGAGTGGAGGTAGTTAACTGGAAAATGAAAACCTAAAAAACCTACCATAGAAAACATGGGCTTTAGGGCCAGGCCTGTTGCTCATACCTGGAATTCCAGTGTTTGGGAGGCCATGGCAGATGTATCACTTGAGGCCAAAAGTTTAAGGCTGCAATGAGTGGTGATGATACCACTACACTCCAGCCTGGGGAACACAGGGACAGAGCAAGACCCTAGTTCTAAAAAAAAGAGGGAGAGAGAAAAAAAAAACATGGGCCTGAAGTACCAAAACTGACTCTCTGCATTGATTGCATTATCCAGATAAATGTTCAGTTGCCATCTTAATGGGATCTAAATAGACAAAAGCTGGATTTAAGGTTGATTCAGTATATTTTTACTTTCTAATGGGCAATTTCAGGTTCAACCTGCACTCTTGGAAAGATGGCTAATTCAGTAGATTTCTTGGTGTAAGAAGCCTATTACACTTAAAAGGATCATTTTTACTTCTTGAAATCTTGACATTAGAAACAGGAATGCAATTTGCAGATATTTTTGTCCTTAAGTTTCCATGGCTTATATACCTCAAAGAATGCATACTCTTATTGCAATGGCCTGAGGCTTTCCACTCTGCTGCAACACTGCAGTCTTCTTCTAAGATGCATGATCTGTTTTCTGCTTGCTTTCTGAGCTTCATTATTCATGCATTCATTCCATAAATATTCTGAAGCAACAAGGATCATCTACTATGTGCCACACATTATTTTAGATATTGAGTGCACTTCCAGTAATTCATCAGGTTTATATTAAATGTAAGAGTTGTTTAGATCTGGCACAAGATCCCAAGGAGGCTGACCTTGGCCTGTTTATGATATTAAAGAGCAAATTATGGACTCTCAGGGTACGGGGAAAATGTGACAGCAATGATCTCTTTCTGCAAAATTATATGTTTACGATGTTGCATTAAGAGTGGATTGGGATTGCTGAGAGTAGAATGGATGAAGCTGTTGTTCTGAAGCTTCTCAGTTCTCTCTGGTATTTCAGATTTGTTCTGTGTCACTGTCTATGTTGTATACCCTAAGATTCTGTCTTAATTTTATCCCATGACTAGAACTAGGTTAGAACAAGGCCAAGGTTAGAACTAGGCTGTGGTACTAATCTATCGAGTTCATTTGACTGGAACTTTCATAATGATAGCTGCAACTGTGTCTGTCATTGTATGTCTGCCTGCTGGGATACAGTAAGTGGGCAATAAGTAGGTGTCAGAAGAAGAGAGGAAGGGAGGGAGGGAGGGAGGGAGGGAGGGAGGGAGGGATGAATTCATCATAGTATATGAGATACTTGTGACTGAACTACATTCCTTGTTCAACTGCACCTTGCTAACTCTCTGTCTTGTTGATATTGTCTTTATCTTATAGCTCATGCTTAGCATGGTTTTAAATCAATCCCTCCCAGCTATAGCTTACCATGTTCTAACCATATTAGGACTTCTATATTCAACCTTTCACCCTGACTCCAACTAATTGCCGCCTTCTGTCTCCCAGTTTAAACTCCCAAGAGATTTTTAAAAAAATTTATTAAATGTTTTAAATTTTGCCCCACCCCTACCCCACTTTTTTTTTTTTTTTTTTTTTTTTTTAGAGATAGGGTATTGCTCTGTCACCCAGGGTGGAGTGAGTGGCACGATCATACCTTACTTTAGCCTCAAACTCCTGGACTCAAGGGATCTTCTCACCTTAGCTTCCCTAGTAGCTGCAACTACAGGTGTGCACCACCACGCCTGGCTAATTGTGTTGTTGTCGTTGTTGTTGAAGAGACAGGGTCTCATTTTTTTTTGCCCAGGCTAGTCGTGAACTCCTGACTTCAAGCAATCTTCCTGTCTTGGCCTCCAAAAGTGCTTGGATTACAGGCATGAGCCACCATACATGGCTTAGATTTATCTGTCTTTTAAAAATATATTGGCCAATGGCTTCTGATGCTTATTTGGAAATGTCTATAGCCAATGTGGTAATGAGCTGTTGGTGCTAAAAAATTGGTATGCCATTGGCAAAAGGGACGAAAGCAGGAGGATCACTTGAGGCCAGGAGTTCCAGGATGTACTGAGCTATGATCATGCACACTGCACTTCAGCCTGGGTGATCAAGTGAGACCCTGGCTTTACCAAAAAAAAAAAAAAAAAAAAAGATACATCTGAGACCAAAATCATCTTATTAGAATGACAGTGAAGCCAATAAAATACATCATCCATATAGCTTAGAAGACCAAACCTGACTCATTTCAGGAAAACTGTCTCAATGGGAGTGTCTATAAAATCCTCCCTGTTCCTCCACTCTCCACTCTGCATTATCTCCATGTCAGTGAATTATTTTTGCACAATAAAAGCATTCATATAGAACATATTTCTAGATGTAAATATGCTCAGTTCCATTTGAAGAGACATTATTTGCTTCATTATTTCACAGAGTGCAATTTGCACCATTCTCCCTGTTGCTCCAGCACCAGTGGAAAGAAGCAGGAATGAACTAACTTGTCATTTTCCAAAGAGATCACTGTCCTGTGCTAAGGTGATTAAAAGGCCTTGTGTGTTGGGCCAAAATCGCGGGGGAAACGAGTTCTTTCTAATCTTTTGACATCAGAATATATGTTTAAGTGGAGAATTTCTGATATTAAGGGATCAACAAAGTTGAAATGTTGCAATGACTATGTTCTTTTTGTAATAATACTAGAGTCAGTTCTCAGCACACCACTGAATCTAACTCTCCAAGCCTCCCTTAAGCTTACAAATGATATTCCATTTATTTTAAATCAATCAAGTGTCCTTAGAGGATTTCACCAGAAACCCAAATATAATTACATAAACACACAGGCTTCCTAACTATGTGTGTGTTTTGCCAACAGAAAAATATGTTTTCTGTGCAATGCAGACAGAGTGAATGAAGGTTTATAAAATACATTTTAATGTCTTAAGAACAACAATATTAGACCTAGAACTGGGCACATATACCTTACCAAGAAGAAAAAATAAACACAGAAGATGTGATTAGGGCCTTACTGTGGTTGAAATTACCCCACAGTAGCCTCTCCTCATTTAAATGAAGTTTACTCTGTTTCATAGTCTACATTTCAGTAATATACTTATTCAAATCCTAGAAAATTGCTAACTTCATCAGCACTAGGCAACACAAGGACCTGAGGGTATGAGCTAGTCTTTTATTTATTCATTAGATTTCTATAACATCTCTTTTCCAAAGAGCCCCAGGCACTGCAGAGAATGTTCAACTGATGTTAGACCAAGGATTCATGGAAATGAGAAGTGGAACTTTGTCTAAGGAGACGTGACAGAAGAAAGGAAACCAGGAGGCAGAGTAAAACGAAGTGGAGAAGAGTCTGACAGGGAGAAGACATATGCAGCCTTTAAAATGCCAAAATAAAAATGTGAAGTCTCAGCACCAGGCCTCTGTCTTTAGTCCAGGTAATATGATTACAGAGGACATGCTTCTGAGAAGGAATACTGTTCGCAACCTCTTAGAATTACACATGTCAGGAAAGCTCCTAAAAATCTCATTTTTAACAGATATGTTGAATTGACATGCTACAGGCTGACAAAATTTAATGTTCAAATTAAAAGATATTTATTTTAACACATTTTAATATGCTCTTATTTAATAAAGCTCCCTCTCATTCCACCTGTGTCTGATGTAACCACATTTTTGTTATTATTTATTTTTTTTCATAGTCCACACCATTTGGAAAGTACTGAAAGTCATAGAGGAAGATGGGTAAAAGGCAGTGGGGTTTCTATTTATCAGATTGCAGTATTGTGTAGTTAGCTCTAAAGGCTACTGTGGCAGGCTCTCCACTCTTGCCAGGCCCTCCACTCTTGCCAGGCCAAGGAAAGATGGGAGAGATCCGGAGGACAAGTTCTTCAGACATAACAATTGGCCATCTCTACAAAACACACTGAATAGTGGATCCTACCAGCTTCATGCCGATTTTAACACTAAGAATAAAAAAGTAAGAGAGTGAATTGTAATGAGATCATGGACAATACATGACATTTTTGAAATTTTATTTTGGAGGCTGAGGTGGGTGGATCATGAGGTCAGGAGATTAAGACCATCCGGGCTAACACGGTGAAACCACGTCTCTACTAAAAATACAAAAAAATTAGCCGGGTGTGCTGGCATGCACCTGTAGTCCCAACTACTTGGGAGGCTGAGGCAAGAAAATCGCTTGAACCTGGGAGGCAGAGGCTGCAGTGAGCCGAGATCGCACCACTGCACTCCAGCCTGGGCAAACAGAGCAAGACTCCATCTCAAAAAAAAAAAAAAAGAAAAAAGAAAAAGAAAAAGAAAAACAGGGGGTCGAATAGCTTAAACATTTTACTCCTTTGTTGGTATTAAACATTATTATGTATCAAATCACTAATCATCACTAGCTTTAAAACTTAAACACTGACATTCCAACAAATTACTTATAAATAATTAAGTCTAGTGCTGATGGAGGGGAATCAGAAGGGATAATCCTGAATTTTTACTTTAACTCTGAGAGCCTGGTGTTGGACAAGGAGCAAGTGGCAAGTTACATTTGATCCCAAACGAACGTTTCTTTCAGAACTGCTTTGAGGAACCACAGAAAGACAGTATTTTCTCTTGGTTCAGCATTTTAGGGTCAATTCAATTCAATTTAGGACAATTTACTATTTGTTGGACAGCAAGCAGTGTTGTGCTTGAAGCTAAAACATGTCTCCAGCCTCATATTGCCTACAATTGCATGAGTGGTGCTAGATAGAAGCTTGAAGCTGTCATGCTATATTATTTCTTTCTTTCTTTTTGTTGTATTTTCTTTTTCTTTCTTTTTTCTTTCTTTCCTTCTTTCTCTCTTTCCCTCTTTCCCTCTCTTCCCATTTCATTTCTTTCTCTTTCTTTCCCTCTCTCCCTCCCTCCCTTCTTTCTCTCTTTCATTTTTTCTTTATTTTCTTTCCTTCTTTCTCTCTCTTTCCCTCTCTCCTCCCTTTTCTTTCACTTTCTGTCCTCCCTCCCTCCTTTCTTTCTCTCTCTTCTCTCTTTTTCTTTCTTTCATCTTTCTTTATCTTTCTTTTTGTTTGGCTCTGTTACGCAGACTGAAGTGCAGTCGTGCAGTCATAGCTTACTGCAGCCTCAAACTTCCGGGCTCAAGTGATCTTCCCACCTTAGCCTCCCAAGTAGCTGTGTCTTGCTAATGTTTTTTATTTTTATTTTTTTTTTAAGAGATGGTGTCTTGCTTTGTTGCTTAGACTAGTCTCAAACTCCTGGCTTTAAGTAATCCTCCCACTATTTTTTTTTTTTTGGTATTTTCAAATCAGCTCTTTTAATAGAAGATTACGTGAAACCAGTGAAACATGATTTTTTGCCATCCATAATCATTTGAAAAAAGTGGTTAAAAAAACTATAAAGAATGACATTTTTATTCCTATTCTTTTGGAGAACGATTTTATCTTTAGTGACTGGCAAAAACTCTTACTTCTAACATCAATAACTGAATTCTAATTCAGGAGAATTAATTAGTAATGGATTATTTATTATCATTGAACACACACATTTCCAGTTCATTATCTGCAAACTTATTGATCCAACAAAATAAATGTTTAAGCATATTGATGGCAAATAAAAGGCAACTGAAACAAAATAAAAGGCAACTGAAACAAAAGTACGAATCTTTAGCTCTTGCCTTTAAAAAGAAGAACTTAATAGAGTCCTTATAACCAAAAGAATCAATTAGAAAGTTGGACTAGGCTGAACAGTTATGTTACTTAAACTCAGGCATTTGGACTTCCTGTCCAGTTTAAAGCTTGAGTAAGTGACAAAAAAAGCAGAAGGAATGATTGATGGTGACTCAGTCCAGGAAAGGTTCTGTGACAGACTGTCCCTGCCTTACAATGAGGCACCCTGAGTCCTGGCTCTCTGGAATTGCCTTAGAGCAAGCTTGTCCAACCCACGGCCTGCAGGCCACATGTGGCCCAGGACAGCTTTGAATGTGGCCCAACACAAATTCATAAACTTTCTTAAAACATAAAAATTTCTGATTTTTTTTTTTTTTAGCTCATCATCTATCATTAGTGTTAGTTTTTTTTATGTGTAGCCCAGGACAATTCTTCTTCTTCCAATGTTGCCCAGGGAAGCCAAAAGATTGGACACTCCTGCCTTAGAGCCTCCTCAAGCCACAGATCAGTTCTGCAAACTTGCAGAATTTTCATGAACCTCTGATGACCCTCCAATACATCTCCTTCTTTTGGACATCTCATTATTTGGAAGCCATTTAAGCCTTCATTGAGATCCACTGGATTCTGTGGAAGCCAAATAATGAGATGACTAAAATAAAGGATCCTCTTTTGTTTATGGGCTTCCCTATCGTGTTTTGGGGGAACTTTTTTTTTTTACCTAGGGTTGGGTGAGTCAGGAGAAAAAGGGGTCTTATGTCTTTACTGACAAGTGTTATTCTGGAGAATGGTCTTTGAAAGAGACAAGAAAACTTTAGGATGTCACCCAACCACCATTCTCCTTGTTTGGGATTGCTGGTACACCTGTCTCTTGCAGTCCATCCTGCTTTCAGGACACTGAAGCAAATGATTATTGTTTAAAGAGATCAAAACTTACTGCTCAAAGCCATTTATTCAGAAAAGCCTAAATCCAGGTTATGCTGGATAGGTTGAAAATTAAGGAACAACCCTTCATGCTAAAAACTCTCAATAAATTGGTATTGATGGGACGTATCTAAAAATAATAAGAGCTATCTATGACAAACCCACAGCCAATATCATACTGAATGGGAAAAAACTGGAAGCATTCCCTTTGAAAACTGGCACAAGACAGGGATGCCCTCTCTCACCACTCCTATTCAACATAGTGTTGGAAGTTCTGGCCAGGGCAATCAGGCAGGAGAAGGAAATAAAGGGCATTCAATTAGGAAAAGAGGAAGTCAAATTGTTCCTGTTTGCAGATGACATGATTGTATATCTAGAAAACCCCATCGTCTCAGCCCAAAATCTCCTTAAGCTGATAGGCAACTTCAGCAAAGTCTCAGGATACAAAATCAATGTGCAAAAATCACAAGCATTCTTATACACAAATAACACACAAGCAGAGAGCCAAAGCATGAGTGAACTCCCATTCACAATTGCTTCAAAGAGAATAATAAAATACCTAGGAATCCAACTTACAAGGGACTTGAAGGACCTCTTCAAGGAGAACTACAAACCAATGCTCAATGAAATAAAAGAGGATACAAACAAATGGAAGAACATTCCATGCTCATGGGTAGGAAGAATCAATATCATGAAAATGGCCATACTGCCCAAGGTAATTTATAGATTCAATGCCATTCCCATCAAGCTACCAGTGACTTTCTTCACAGAATTGGAAAAAACTACTTTAAAGTTCATATGGAACCAAAAAAGAGCCCGCATCGCCAAGTCAATCCTAAGCCAAAAGAACAAAGCTGGAGACATCACGCTACCTGACTTCAAACTATACCACAAGGCTACAGTAACCAAAACAGCATGGTACTGGTACCAAAACAGAGATATAGACCAATGGAACAGAACAGAGCCCTCAGAAATAATGCCACATATCTACAACTATCTGATCTTTGACAAACCTGACAAAAACAAGCAATGGGGAAAGGATTCCCTATTTAATAAATGGTGCTGGGAAAACTGGCTAGCCATATGTAGAAAGCTGAAACTGGATCTCTTCCTTACACCTTCTACAAAAATTAATTCAAGATGGATTAAAGACTTAAATGTTAGACCTGAAAGCATAAAAACCCTAGAAGAAAACTTGGCAATACCATTCAGGACATAGGCATAGGCAAGGACTTCATGTCTAAAACACCAAAAGCAATGGCACCAAAAGCCAAAATTGACAAATGGGATCTAATTAAACTAAAGAGCTTCTGCACAGCAAAAGAAACTACCATCACAGTGAACCGGCAACCTACAGAATGGGAGAAATTTTTTGCAATCTGCTCATCTGACAAAGGGCTAATATCCAGAATCTACAATGAACTCAAACAAATTTACAAGAAAAAAACAACTCTATAATGAACTCAAACAAATTTACAAGAAAAAAACAAACAACCCCATCAAAAAGTGGGTAAAGGATATGAACAGACACTTCTCAAAAGAAGACATTTATGTAGCCAAAAGACACATGAAAAAATGCTCATCATCACTGGCCATCAGAGAAATGCAAATCAAAACCACAATGAGATACCATCTCACGCCAGTTAGAATGGTGATCATTAAAAAGTCAGGAAACAACAGGTGCTGGAGAGGATGTGGAGAAATAGGAACACTTTTACACTGTTGGTGGGACTGTAAACTAGTTCAACCATTGTGGAAGTCACTGTGGCGATTCCTCAGGGGTCTAGAACTAGAAATACCATCTGACCCAGCCATCCCATTACTGGGTATATACCCAAAGGACTACAAATCATGCTGCTATAAAGACACATGCACATGTATGTTTATTGAGGCACTATTCACAATAGCAAAGACTTGGAACCAAGTCAAATGTCCAACAATGATAGACTGGATTAAGAAAATGTGGCACATATACACCATGGAATACTATGCAGCCATAAAAAATGATGAGTTCAAGTCCTTTGTAGGGACATGGATGAAGCTGGAAACCATCATTCTCAGCAAACTATCGCAAGGACAAAACACCAAACACCGCATGTTCTCACTCATAGGTGGGAATTGAACAATGAGAACACACGGACACAGGAAGGGGAACATCACACACCAGGGCCAGTTGTGGGGTGGGGGTAGGGGGGAGGGACAGCATTAGGAGACATACCTAATGTTAAATGACGAGTTAATGGGTGCAGCACACCAACATGGCACATGTATACATATGTAACTAATCTGCACGTTGTGCACATGTGCCCTAAAACTTAAAATTAGAAAAAAAAAAAGAAAGAAAACTAAGGAACGGAGCTTCCTAATTTTGCCCATCAAATTCTCAAAAAAAGAGAGAAGTGACAAAATGGTAGGCCTGAAATATAAGTATGATGCTTCTGTGTTTCTTGACAGTTAAAATTGTGTCATTTTACACTCTTGTTATGTCTGAAAAAAACATAATGTCAAATTACATAAGAAATATTTAATTCTGGTAAGATAGTTGGTGTGTCTCCGGGGTATTTAAGGACATTTTTACACACGTGTCTTTAAAAAGCAATCCGGGGCTGACTACAAGCAGTGGCGATCTTAGGTGCCCATTGAAAAGTATCACAATAGCATGTGAATCCTGCACTGGCAACCGAGCTATCCAGGTTCTCTCATCAGAACTGACTAGGCAGCTGGCGTGATCTAAGGAGAGGAAGGAAGAGCAGTGTGGTGTGGAGGCCCACCTGAGAGCCACATGGGGGAGAGGAGCTCCTACCCCCCAGCCAAGGGAGGTGTGAGTGAGCGTGCTACACAGCAGGAGAAACTGCTTTTCGCATGGAACCATGCAACCCACAGATTGGGGTGAATTCACACCACCGGGGCCTAAGGTCCCAACCCCAAAGCCACGCAGATTCTCAACAGTCTCTCAGCTAAAATGTGCTTAAGGCTGCCTGGTTCCCTGGGGGAGGGGTGACCAGCACCACAGCTGTGACTGCCTATTGTCTAAGCTGTTTGAGGTCCTTGGGGGAGGGGCAGCAGCCATCACTGGGACTAACAGCTGCCTAACACGCTAAGCTGCATGGGTGGGGGAAGGGTGGCAGCCATCTTTAGCTGTAGGCTGCTGTTTTCCCCTGCTGGAGCCAGGGAGGCTGGACAGCTTGGTCCCAAGAGGTGTCCCCTGCTGGCGGACTGCAGCCAGAGTGCCTCTTCAGGCCTCACCCTGACCCATCCTTCCTCAGCGGGCAGGGCCTCCCTGCAGGAACTCCAACTCCAGCCACGGGCTCAAGGACAGAACTCTGATCTCCCTGGGCCTGAGCTCCCAGGGGGAGGGATGGCCACAGTCTCTGTGGACCAGCAGACTTAGCCTTTCCTCCTGTTAGTTCTGAAGAATCCAGGCAGCCCAGACAAGTCGGTTTCCCCCCAGCAAAGAACACCCCCTCCACCAAGGGACAGTCAAACTGCTTCATTAAATGGGTCCTGCTCCCTGTGCCACCCGACTGGGTGAGACCCTCTAACAGGGTTTGTCAGACACCCTATACAGGGGCAATCCTACACATCAGGTTGGTGCCCTCAAGGTCAGAGATTTCAGAGAAAGGAGCAGGCACCCATCTTTGCTGTTCTCCAGCCTCCTTGAGTGACAACTCCAGGCACAGGAACAAACCAGACAAATAGGGCCTGAAGTGAACCCCCAGCAAACCGAAAGCAGCCCTGCAGAAGAGGGACCTGATCATTGAAAAAGAAACAAACAAACAAAAAACAATAAAAACAGCATCAACAACATCAAAAAGGCCCCACAAAAATCCCATCCAAGGGTCAGCAGCCTCAAAGATAAAAAATAGACAAACTCTTGAAGATGAGAAAGAATCAACAGAAACATGCTAAAAACCAAAAAGACCAGAGCGCCTCTTCTCCAAATGATCGCAACACCTCTCTAGCAAGGGCATAGAACTGGATGGAGGATGAGATGGATGAATTGACAGAAGTCAGCTTCAGAAGGTGGGTAATAACAAATTCTGCTGAGCTAAAGGAGCATGTTCTAAACCAATGCAAAGAAGCTAAGAACCTTGATAAAAAGTTAAAGGAGCTGCTAACTAGAATAACCAGTTTAGAGAGGAACATAAATAACCTGATGGAGCTGGAAATGAACAAAACACCTGAGAAATATGGGACTATGTAAAAAGACCAAATCTGTGATTAATTAGACCTGAAGGACATGGGGAGAATGGAACCAAGCCGGAAAACACAATTCAGGATATTATAAAAAAGGACTTCCCCAAAATTTCAGGAAATACAGAGAACACCGCTAAGATACTCCATGAGAAGTTCAACCCCGAGGCATAATCATCAGATTCTCCAAGGTCAAAATGAAGAGAAAAAAAGTTAATGGCAGCCAGAGAGAAAGGCCAGGTCACCTACAAAGGGGAGCCCATCAGACTAACAGAGGACCTCTCAGCAGAAACCCTATAAGCCAGAAGAGAGCAGGAGCCAATATTCAACATTATTAAAGAAAAGCATTTTCAACCCAGAATTTTACATCCAGCCAAACTAAGCTTCGTAAGCAAAGGAGAAATAAAATCTTTTCCAGACAAGCAAATGCTGAGGGATTTCATCACCACCAGGCCTGCCTTGCAAGAGCTCCTGAAGGAAGCATTAAATATGGAAAGGAAAAACCAGTACCACCCACTACAAAAACAAACCGAAATATAAAGACCAACGACACTATGAAGAAACTGCATCAACTAGTGTGCAAAATAATCAGATAGCATCATGATGACAGGATCAAATTCACACATAACAATATTAACCTTAAATGTAAATGAGCTAACTGTGCCCAATTAAAAGAAGACTGGCAAATTGGATACGGAGGATACAGAGTCAAGACCCATTGGTGTCCTATATTCAGGAGACCCATCTCAAGTGCAAAAACACACATAGGCTCAAAATAAAGGGATGGAGCAAAATTTACCAAGCAAGTGGAAAGCAAAAAAAAGCAGGGGTTGCAGTTCTTGTCTCTGACAAAACAGGTTTTAAACCAACAAAGATCAAAAAAGACAAAGGCATTACATAATAGTAAAGGCATCAATTCAATGATAAGAGCTAACTATCCTAAAGATATATGCATGCAATACAGGAGCACCCAGATTCATAAAACAAGTTCAGAGAGACCTACAAAGAGAATTAGACTCCCACACAATAACAGTGGGAGACTTTAACACCCCACTGTCAATATTAGACAGATCAATGAGACAGAAAACAAGGATATTCAAGACTTGAACTCAGCTCTGGATCAAATGGATCCACAGAACTCTCCAGCCCAAATCAGCAATATATACATTCTTCTTAGTGTCACATGGCACTTATTCTAAAATTGACCACATAATTGGAAATAAAACACTCCTCAGCAAATGCAAAAGAACTGAAAACATAACAGTCTCTGAGACCACAGTTCAATCAAATTGGAACTCAGGATTAAGAAACTCTCTCAAAATCACACAATTAGATGGACATTGAACAATCTGCTCCTGAATGACTCCTGGGTAAATAATGGAATTAAGGCAGAAATGAAGAAGTTCTTTGAAACCAATGAGAACAAAGAGGCAATGTACCAGAATCTCTGGGACACAGCTAAAGCAGTATTAAGAGGGAGAATTATAACATTAAATGCCCACATCAGAAACCTAGAAAGATCTCAAATCAACAACCTAACATCACAATTAAAAGAGCTATAGAAGCAAGAGCAAACAAATCCAAAAGCTAGCAGAAGACAAGAAATAACTAAGAACAGAGCTGAATTGAAGGAAATAGAGACACAAAATACCCTCCAAAACATCAATGAATCCAGGAGCTAGTATTTTGAAAAAAATTAACAAAACAGATAGACTGCTAGCTAGACTAATAAAGAAGAGAAGAGAGAAGAATAAAATAAACACAATAAAAAAATTATAAAGGGGATATTACCACTGACCCCACAGAAATACAAACTACCATCAGAATATACTATAAACACCTCTGTGCAAATAAACTAGAAAATCTACAAGAAATGGATAAATTCCTGGACAAATACACCCTCCCAAGACTAAACCAGGAAGAAGTCGAATCCCTGAATAGACCGTAAGAAGTTCTGAAATTGAGGCAGTAATAGCCTACCACCCAAAAAAAGCCCAGGACCAGATTCACAGCCGAAATTTACTACAGTTACAAAGAGGAGCTGGTATCATTCCTTCCAAAATTATTCCAAACAATTGAAAAGGAGGGACTCCTCCTTAATTCATTTCATGAGGCCAGCATCATCCTGATGCCAAAACCCGTCAGAGACACAACAAAAAAAGAAAACTTCAGGCGAACATTACTGAGGAACATTGGTACAAAAATCCTCAATAAAATACTGGCAAACCAAATCCAGCAGCACATCAAAAAGCTTATTCACCACGTTCAAGTTGGCTTCATCCCTGGGATGCAAGGCTGGTTCAACATGGGCAAATCAATAAACGTAATCCATCACATAAACAGAACCAAAGACAAAAACCACACAATTATCTCAATAGATCCAGAAAAAGCCTTTGATAAAATTAAACATCGATTCATGTTAAAAACTCTCAGTAAACTAGGTAGTTGATGGATCATATCTCAAAATAATAAGAGCTACTTATGACAAACCCACAGCCAATATCATATTGAATGGTCAAAAGCTGGAAAGATTCCCTTTGAAAACCAGCACAAGATAAGGATGCCCTCTCTCACCACTCCTATTCAACATAGTATTGGAAGTTCTGGCCAGGGAAATCAGGCAAGAGAAAGAAATAAAGGGTATTTAAATAGGAAGAGAGGAGGTCAAATTGTCTCTGTTTGCAGATGGCATGATTGTATATTTACAAAACCCCATCGTCTCAGCCCAAAAACTCCTTAAGCTCATAAGCAACTTCAGCAAAGTATCAAGAAACAAAATCATTGTGCAAAAATCAAAGCACTCCTATACACCAACAAAAGACAAGCAGAGAGCCAAATCATGAATGAACTCCCATTCACTATGCTACAAGGAGAATAAAATACCTAGGAATACAGCTAACAAGGGATGTGAAGGACCTTAGAGAACTAAAAACTGCTGATCAAGGAAATAAGAGAGGACACAAACAAATGGAAAAACATTCCATCCTCATGGATAGGAAGAATCAATATCATGAAAATGCCTATAGTGCCCAAAGTAATTTATAGATTCAATGCTATTCCCACCAAACTACCATTGACATTCTTCACAGAACTAGAAAAAAACTACTTTAAATTTCTTATGGAATGAAAGAAGAGCCCATATAGCTAAGACAATTCTAAGCAAAAAAAAAAAAAAAAAAAAAAAAAAAAGCTGGAGGCATCCTGCTACCTGACTTTGTACTACAAGGCTACAGCAACCAAAACAGCATAATCCTGGTACCAAAACAGACATGTAGACCAATGGAACAGGACAGAGTCCTCAGAAATAACACCACACATCTACAACCATCTGATCTTCAACAAACTTGACAAAAACAAGCAATGGGAAAAGGATTTCCTATTCAACAAATGGTGCTGGGACAACTGGCTAACCATATGCAGAAAACTGAATCTGGACCCCTTCCTTACACCTTATAGAAAAATTAACTCAAGATGGATTAAAGACTTGTGTAAAACCCAAAACCATAAAAACCCTAGAAGAAAACCTAAGCAATACCATTCAGGACATAGGCATGGGCAAAGACTTCATGACTAAAACACCAAAAGCAATAGCAACAAAAGCCAAAATTGACAAATGGGATCTAATTAAACTAAAGAGCTTCTGCACAGCAAAAGAAACCATCATCAGAGTGAACAGGCAACCTAGAGAATGGGAGAAAATTTGTATAATCTATCCACCTGACAAAGGTCTAATGTCCAGACTCTACAAGGAACTTAAACAAATTTACAAGAAAAAAACAAACAACCCCATCAAAAAGTACATGAAGGATATGAACAGACACTTTTAAAAGAAGTCATTTATGTGGCCAATAAACATATGAAAAAAAAGCTCAACATCACTGATCACTAGAGAAATGCAAATCAAAATCACAATGAGGTACCATCTCAACCAGTCAGAATGGCGATTATTAAAAAGTGAATAAACAACAGATGCTGACGAGGCTGTGGAGAAATAAGAATGCTTTTACACTGTTGGTGGGAATGTAAATTAGTTCCACCATTGTGGAAGACAGTGTGGCAATTCCTAAAAGATCTAGAACCAGAGATACCATTTGACCCAGCAATTCCATTACTGGGGAATCCCATTACCAAAAGGAATAGAAGTCATTCTATCATAAAGACATATACACATGTATGTTTACTGCAGCACTATTTACAATAGCAAAGACATGTAACCAATCCAAATGCCCATCAATGGGCATTTACTGGATAAAGAAAATTTGGTACATATACACCATTGAATAGTATACAGCCATAAAAAGGAATGAGAGCATGTCCTTTGCACAGACACTGATGAAGCTGGAAGTCATCATCCTCAGCAAACTAACACAGAAACAGAAAACCAAACACTGCATATTCTCACTCATAAGTGGAAGTTGAGCAATGAGAACATATGGACACAAAGGAGAACAACACACACAGGAGCCTGTTGGAGGGTAAGGGGTGAGGGGAGGGAACCTAAATGACAGGTCAATAGGTGCATCAAACCACCATGGCACATGTATACCTATGAAACAAACCTGCACATTCTGCACATGTATCCTGAAACTTAAAGTAAAATAAAAATACAAAGCAATCCTGAGAGTATTTTCAGATTGCGTGGTAATACAACTGTTTGAACAGGTAATGAATTCTATTTTTAATTTTGATGGCTTTTACTTTTCCCAGTGATTTCCTTTTTAATTTGCTGGAGGCTTGTTTTTGTCTTACCTATAATTATTTCTAGACTTTCTATACTTTTTTTTGAACAGAATCAAATTCAAAGGCGAATAGCATTTCATATTCCTGGATTGTTCTTCATTGCCTCTTACCTGCAATGGATCTCAGTAAAGGCTTAATTAGCCATTAACAAGCCAACATGTTAAGATTTCTAATTAATAGTGGCTTGCCTATCAAGTTAATGTCCTTGCAAATTATCTCCTTCTAGAGATTATTACAATTCACAGATGCAAATCCATTATTTATGTAGGGGGCTTAGTAGACTCTAAATTTAAACATAATGCAGGGGTGTCCCTTACCCTGAGAGACTGTGCTTCCAAAGTAAGTGCATAAGATGAAAAATATGCATAGTCAAAATTAGCCCCTTGACAAGTCCTTAAATGACACTGCATTAGAGACTGACACATTGAAGTCCATTAGTCCTGCACAGCTTTCCAGATGACCCTTTCTTCAGTTGAGTACCAGATCCTTGGCATTTTGGGGCATGGTAAATTAAAAATAATGACTTTTAAACACTAGAATTACATTATGCATGGCCATGTGCCCACAGTGTGAAATAAACATGAAAACAGTAGATACCCATCATATGTCAAGATCACCCTCAAGCAGACACTGTGATGGAACATGGCCTGAACTTCCTGCATTGTTTAAATTGCTCACTCTCTCTGTGGTCTCTTTCCCACCCACCCCACTTTTGTCTCTCTTTGCCAAACATATATGCAGGTAAATTTAGGTAAGTTAACACAGTACATGATATGACTGCACTATCTTTTTAAGCAACAATAATATTGATAGTTTCATAACCTAATTCTAGCTTTCAGTTGTTTCCATATTTTTATATTTTCATTGTTTCTTGCATTGAAAAAAAATCCATACCCCAATTTCAAATTCCCTGGCAAGACCCTTTATGTCGAAGTTTCCAAAGAAACCAAAGAACTTTACTTGAAATCAATCGGGATGGACACCCAGTGGATTGCTCAAGATCTGAGGTCTGGTTAATACTCACCCAGGGTTCATCTAGCAAATTCTTTTTGAGACTGTAAGTCATCTGCATCTGGAAATGTTTCCTTCATCTTTTCATTCTTCCATTCCCAAGATCTAGAAGATACTGGCATTGTGTAGGTTCTTAGAAAATCCTTGTTGAATGAAAAAGGAGAAAAGGGAGAAGGTGAGGGAAAGAAGCAGGGATGAAAGAAGGAGAAAGAGTATGAGGGAGAAAAGTAAGGGAGAGAAAGAAAGGAGGAAGGAAAGGACAAGGGAGGAAGGGAGGGAGGGAAAGGAGCTGATAGGACGCAAAAGCATGAGTTTGGCTGGTTCAATGCACTTGGAACTCTGACCTTGAGCAAATTACATTTCCGGTAAGATCATCAGTTTCCTCAGCTCAGTGTAGACACGGGAATAAAATATCTGCCATGTAGCGATTCAAAAAAAAAAGGGAGCTATACCGGCTAAGCAGTTATCACTGGGCAAAATTTGGCATTCTGACTGTTTTGAATCATCACATATATCTGCACTGTTCTTAAAAAGTAAATATATAAATGTTTATGTCTGGAGACTAAGGAGTTGGCTAGTAAGTAGTCATGTTGTGAACAGTCTGCCCACAAGGACCATCACAAAGCAGGCAAAATCTTCTGAAAGGCCTTCAGCAGATGCTGTTCTCACAGGCAAAAGCAAATAACAAGGAAACAATGATGAAACAAAGATCCGAGGTTTGTTAAATTATGATTAAGAAGGCTGCCTCTTTCTCCTGTGTGCCATGCATTTACTATGCACAGTAGGCATCCTCACATCATCTGAGTTAGGAAAATGTTTCTATTCTCATTTTTCAGATAAGAAAATGGAGTTCGGAGAAGTGAAGTAATTTGCCTAAAGTCACACAGGTCTTAAGCACACTGGGCCTGGATTCAATCTCACCCCTACTTGACTATACGACATCCAGGCTTTTTATTTTTCTTTTTTTTTTAATACTACCCTCATGCTCATTACTGTAAGCCAGCTGATTAACTCTATAGGAAGTGTCCAAAGTCATCTGAAGTAAACTGTCTATTGGTGTAGGAACAAACTAGTAAAATATACTCAGTGTAGATTTAAGTGCTGAAAGAGGGACATCCATGTGAGACAAAGGGCATTCACTACCAGATATTCCTCAGGGACTTTTCTGTATTGTATGATATGAAGCCCTGGCAAGTAATAGCAAAGAACGCTGTACAAATGGGGTCTTTGAATACATATTATGTGTCAGGCACTGTTCTGAGCACTTTTAGAAGTGCTTAAAAGTGATTAATTTCATCTGTACCGTAGCAGCTCCTTGGGGCAGGCACTAAGCCCCAGAGAATTTAATATAACCCGTAAGTAAGAACTGGAGTTGGTATTGGAACAAATGCAGTCTGGCTCCAATGACTTAGCTCTAAACAGCTACACAGGTTGGTCTGATGTTTGTTTTTCCCATTCTGGGCTTGACTTAAAGGACCTGTAGGGAGATGGAAGAGCACAATATGGGTAGTGAAGCTTAGAGGTGAGTCAGGACTTCCTGAGTAGGCTGATGTGGAGCTCAGAAAATCTGGGACCTGCCCTCCTTCCCTTCTCTAAGCCTTAATTTCTTCATTGTAAGGTATGGCTGATGATGCCTGAGTAAATAGCTTCAATGAGGATGATCTTGCTTATGAATAACTCAGTTTAAAAAATAGAAACAATGGTGGCATGCACCTGTAATCCCAGGTATGTGGGAGGTTGAGGCAGGAGAATTGCTTGAACCCAGGAGGTGGAGGTTGCAATGAGCCGAGATTGTGCCACTGCACTCCAGCCTGGGCAACAGAGCAAGACTCTCTCTCAAAAAAAAAAAAAAAAAAAAAGAAAAAGAAAAAAAGAAAAAAGATAATAACAGTATCTACCGCACAGGGCTATTGACAGCATTATACACTCGGTGGCTGTGGAATAGGAGGAAACATCTAGTAATATGGACTACCATCACCATCCTGTGCACTATGAAGGATGTATACATTTAGAAATGGAGCTCCATCATTATTTCATATATAATTCAAACTTAGATCTGCAGTGTAGGCATCCCCTATTGCTACCTCATGATGAGTAGCTTTTTCCAAAAGCATCTGAAGATAACAGAATTGAAAGAAAGAACACAAGGACAAACATAGTATATGAAGATCTTTCAAAGGTGGATCTTTCATCTGCTCTCTGCTTTGTTGCCTGAAGGAAAATAGTTTCAAATATATGCTCTGCCTGTCGGTGTTGGCAGTCATGAAAACCAAGTCTATGTCTTGTCTGGCTTATGTTAACACGTTTGCAGTGTCTCCCTTGATGGTACAATGAAGTGATAGCAGCCTCTGGGTTCCCCCAACACATGAGTTATTAGGAACTCATTTGTAGTGTGAGAGCAGAATGACATCACAAGGAAAGAGGGAGAAAAGGGAAAAGAAACTTCCAAATAAAGTAATACAATCTTTCCCTCTTTATTTAGAAATAGCATCCCAAATTTGTTCAGCAAATTATCTCCTTCCCCACTGGCCATCAATATGGTATAAGTAAAGCTGACATGATTTATCACTTCTTCCCTGTTTGAGAAGTGGGAATAGACCCCGGGCTAACCAAGGAGCACTTTTTATTCCATGGTGACAAAGATTGGTTCATAAATGGGCACTTGAGCACGGTCAGGCCAAGGAGAATCAACTCTGGGTCATTTGTTGATGGAATTAGCAAAGAGAGGTTTTCATTTCTACTGAGGCCATTAGCTGTGTGGAGTAGAAATGTGGAATGTTTGGCAGTCATTATGGCACCATTTTAGAAGCAACCTCATTGAAAATAAAACCAAGAGGGAAGTGAAGCTTAGTGACAGAGCAAGTGAGATGACATCATTTGAACCCCTATAGCAAACCATACCTGAGCCAGACCCACCTCTGGAATTATCAGTCACAGGATAAGTAAATCCTTTGTTGCTCTCTGTCTCTGTCTCTTCCTCTCTCCTACTTTCTCACTCTCTTTCTCTCCCTCTCTTGGTTCTGTCGACAATTCTTGTCATAGTGCTGTGTATTTTCAATTTCACCTTATGTCTGGCTCCAAGCTTCCCCAAATTATAGAAACGCTGCATCTTTCTGTAGGCCCCATAGGCCTATTCAACAAATCCAAGCATAAGTCTTCAGAACTATTGAAAGACAAGCTGAACACTCAAGCAGAATCTCATTTGCCTGGGGGAATTGGCTCTCTAAATTAATAAAAAATATCTGTGTCTACATTGTGGAACACAAACTCATTTTCCCAGGTTTATAAACCTCCCAATAGATACCTGACTCTATTAAAATGTTGATGGCTCTTATGAAGCTATTCTAAAAAAGGGAGAAATCGATGCCTCTCTAAGTGATAAGCTCATGTGGCCCATGGGTCCCATTGTCATACTGGAGGTAACACAAGGAACATTGAGGGAGTCAGAGAAGTGAAAGGTACAATGAAGGTTCTTTACAAATCAGTTCACTGTTCAAACAGAAACAGGAAAACAATAAGCCAAGTCTTCATTGTGTCCAGCCTGCCTTTCAGATGGAAAATACAAACCAAATTAGATTTGGAAAATGGTCTATTATCCTGCCCTCATTGGGGAGAGAAGAGATTACAGTACATGGGGCTTCCTGGGAGTCAATTATTTCCTAATGAAATAATCATAGCTGCTGGGTAACTTCATTGTGACTTTTATAGAAGTTCAGTACTATTACTTCTCTCTGTAGATTTTTTAAATTCTAGATAAATTAAAAACTGAAAGTAAGAAGTAAAAAAGGAGAAAGGTTAAACTTGGAAAATTTTGTAATTTAGGGTTCCCTCTTCAGTTTGCTGTCAGACCAAGGAACAACAAACAGAAGGCTCCAGGTTTGGGGAACAAAAATACAGGATGCCCAGTTTAATCTGAATTTCAGAGAAACAACAAACAGTTTTTCTATATCCCAGGTAACAAACAGCTTTTTAAATCTAGCAACTCTAAAAGTAGAAAGGCTCAGAAGTAGGACAAAGCTTGGTGTAGTTGAGGAGAAGCAGGAATGGCACCGCTGGAGTTTGGGGGCGGGAGGAACATGGGGATACGGGACTTGAAAATAGAGGCAATCAAGTGAGAGGTTGAAGATTGAGTGTTAATGTGACGGGAAGCCATTGAAGGACTTTATCCACTGGAATGGGCTAATCTGACTTGCAGATTTAAGTGGTAGCTCAGTGGGCTGCAGGAAGCCACGTGAGAGTATAGAGCCAGACAAGGTGAGATCATGGAGCCGGAGCCAGAGCCAGGCAGAGGCTATTGCACTGGTCCAGTCATGAGATGATGGGAATTCACTCCATGGTGACACCAGCAGAGGAGAAGAGAAGCAGCCTGGGTCTGCTGGGTTTTTAGTTGCAAGTACCAGAAACCA
Organism: Homo sapiens; assembly: GCF_000001405.40. Taxonomy (NCBI): domain Eukaryota; kingdom Metazoa; phylum Chordata; class Mammalia; order Primates; family Hominidae; genus Homo; species Homo sapiens. The sequence goes on along the minus strand of NC_000003.12, from coordinate 63,004,528 downwards.
ACTCTGTCTTCATCTGTCTATTTTTAGCACAAACAGGATTTTTTTGTAAGTACAAGCATACTCAATTTCATTATGCTTCACTTCATTGTGCTGCTCAGATACTGTGTTGTTTTTTTTTTTTAAACTGAAGGTTTGTGGCAGCCCTGTGTTGAGCAAGTCTATTGGCACCATTTTTTTCAATAACGTGGTCACTTAATGTGCCTGTGTCACATCTTAGTAATTCTTTCAATGTTTAAAACTTTGTCATCATTATTGTATCTGTTATGATAATCTGTGATCTGTGATCTTTGGTGTTACTATTGTAATTGTTTTTGAGCACCACAAACCAGGCTCTTATAAAAGGGCAACTTAATAGCTAAATGTTGTGTGTGTTCTGACGGTTCCACTGACCAGCCATGCTCCCATCTCTCTTTTTCCTCTCCAGCCTCCCTATTCCCTGAGACACAACAATATTGAAATTAGGCCAATCAATAACTCTGCAATGGCCTCTAAGTATTCAAGTAAAATAGAGTCACCTGTCTCTCAATTAAAATCAAAAGCTAGAAATTACGAAGTTTAGTGAAGAAGACATGTTAAAAGCTGAGATGGGTAAAAAGGCCTCTTACACCAAACAGTTGTACATACAAAGAAAAAGTTCTTGAAGAAAATTATAAGTGCTACTCCAGTGAACACATAAATGCTAAGAAAGTGAAACAACCTTATTGCTAATATGGAGAAAATGTTATTGGTCTGGATAGAAGATCAAACCAGCCACAACATTCCCTTAAGCCAAAGCCCAATCCAGAACAAGACCCTAACTGTCTTAAGTTCTGTGAAGGCTGAAAGAGATGAGGAAGCTTCAGAAGAAAAGTTTGAAGCTATCAGAATTTGGTTCATGAGGTTCAAGGAGAGAAGCCATCTTCATAAAATAAAAGTGCAAGGTGAAGCAGCAAGTGCTGATATAGAAGCTGTAGCAAGTTATCCAGAAAATCTAGCTAATATCATTGATGAAGGTGGCTACACTCAACAACAGATTTTCAATGTAGACAAGACAGCCTTATACTGGAATAAGATGCCATCCAGGACTTTCATAGGTACGGAGAAGTCAATGTTTGGCTTTGAGGCTTCAAAGGACAGGCTGTCTTATTAGGGGCTAATGCAGTTAGTGACTTTAAGTTGAAGCCATTGCTCATTAACTAACCCGTAATCCTAGGGCCCTTGCGAATTATGCTAAATCTCTGCTGCTTGTGCACTGTGAATGGCACAAAAAAGCCTGGAAGATAGCACATCTGTTGATAGCATGATTTGCTGGATTTTTTAAGCCCACTGTTGAGACCTACTGCTCAGAAAAAAGATTTCTTTCAAAATATTACTGCTTGATTACAATGCACCTGGTCACCCAAGAGTTCAGATGGAGATGAATAAGAGATGAAAGTTATTTTCATGTCTGCTAATACAACATCCATTCTTAGCCCATGGGCCAAGGAGTAATTTTGATTTTCAAGTCATATTACTTAAGAAATGCATTTCATAAGGTTATAGATGCCATTGACAGTGATTCCTCTGATGGATCTGTGCAAAGTAAATTGAAAACATTCTGTAAAGATTCACCATTCTAGATGTTATTAAGAACATTTATGATTCATGAAAGAAGGTCAAAATATCAGCATGAACATGAGTTTGAAAGAAGTTGATTCCAAACCTTATGAATAACTTTGAGAAGTTCAAGATCTCAGCAGAAGAAGTAACTGCAGATGTTGTGGAAATAGCAAAATAACTAGAATTAGAAGTGGAGCCTGAAGATGTGATGAGTTGCTACAATTTCATGATAAAACTTAAATGGAAGGGGAGCTGCTTTTATGGATGGATGAGCAAACAAGATGGAAACTGCTCCTGGCGAAGATGCTGTGAACATTGTTGAAATGACAGCAAAGGATTTGCAGTGGCAGGGCTTGAGAGGATTGACTCCAGTTTTGGAAGGAGTTCCACTGTGGGTGAAGTGCTATCAAACAGCGTGACATGCTGCAGAGAAATCTTTTGTAAAAGAAAGACTCCATCAGTGTGCCAAAATTCATTGTTTTCTTATTTTAAGAAATTGCCACAGTCATCCCAAACTTCAGCAACCACCATCCTAATCAACAATGAGGCAAGACCCTTCAAGTCAGCAAAAAGTTTATGACTTTGCTGAAGGCTCAGATGATCATTAACACTTTTTTAGCAATAAAGTATTTTTTAATTACATTATGTATAATATATTGGGTTTTTTATACACAATGCTATTGCATACTCAATAGACAACTGTACAGTGTAAACATAAATTTTATATGAACAGGAACAAAACAATTTTTGTGACTCATTCTATTGTGATATCAGCTTCATTGCAGTGGTCTGGAACCAAATCCACATACCTCCAAGGTATGCCTGTATACATGAAGGCTGAAGAAAAATCTCTGAAGATGATCAGGGATGAAAAGGTCATAGGCAGCAGGAATCATCCAAGATCACGTCTTGACCCAGCACAGGTGCCAGCCATATAACTTGGTCCTTCAAAGCTGCATTCTCCATGGTACTACCTTCCTGTGAATATGTGCGCACTGAACCTGAGATTCCACATCATTCCCTTAAAGGTCAAAGCCCTCAGCAGGATCATCTGAACCGCCAGTGCAGTCAAAGGCCCACAGTTGTACCTCAGCTGCCAGCAAGCAGGGAGAGGGACTCCACGCCTCCCTTGGGTTTTGTAGTAAGAGGCTGAGGAGCCAAGAAGTATTCATCCCAAGGAGGAATCATGTTCAAACTGAGTAATTCAAAAAATAGTCAATAACCCCTTCATGCTTATTTGCTCTTTAGGATTAGGGATGCGACCTGATAAAACTTTGTAATTCTTGGGACTGTCTATAATTCATTGAAGAACAAAAATTAGAACAATTAGACGGATACTCTTAACTAAGATATAATTCCAGCACTTATATCCAAAAACTTCACCTGTGTCCATAGAGCAAGAAGAAAATAAAACTTATCAGTTTCATGTGTTATGAAGGCTGAGGGTTTTAATGGCTTGTAAACATAATCTGAATTAACAGTGAGCTGTGGCTGATCAAACAGCATAGCTCCCCATAGAAACAAAAACAAAAGGGATTAGAAGAAGGAACTGAGGGGAGAAAATATACCTGAGGCTCTCTGCTGGACTTGAAGTAGACTCAGGTATTTTTCCAGGGTTTATTTTTTATGGATGACATAAATGATCATAACGTTCTGACCATCGCTAAGCCCCTACCTTTTCTGACATTATGAAGTTATGTTGTTGCCATGAAGCTAAAAATGAGTTGAAACCCTTGCAAGGAGGTTAAAGGTACTACAGTAAACAGACCTAGATAGGGTAAGAAATTCATCCTAAGTTTTAGGTTAAAGTAAGAGGAAAATTAACCAGACTGATATAGTTATGGCAATAATTAAATGAGGTAATATATGGAAATTAATAGCTGATGACTAGCATGTGGTAAGTGATCAATAAATGTTAGCAATTGCCTTCACAAAAAAGGTTTCACAGCTTCTAAGAGTAGCCAGTTGTGTCTCAGAATTGGGCATGACAAGTCAATTAATAGACACTCATTGAGTTGAAATAATGGCTTAAAATTGGCCCATAGAAAGAAAATAAGGCTTTAAAACACATACACAGGAAATACACAGGAAACACATACACAGGAAATACATACACATACATAGGAAACACATACACAGGAAATAATCTGAATAACCCAATGCAATTCATTTCTCATCTCAGTACAGAAGAATCTTTTCTCATTAACAGGACACTGTTAATGTCCTGTTACACAAACAGAAAATTTGAAACCCAAAATCTGTTTCTGATTCTACTGAAATCAGTAGAAGCTACATAAACAGTTAAACTGGATGTAGCCATTATCAACGTGGATGTTGGACCGCAGCATTGAGCAAGTCTCTGGTCACACTCCATCTATTTTTTATCCACTCACTACCTGACCTTTTAACCAGTTACCTAGAAGTCTAGAACCAAATAATCATAAATAAAATTCACTATCTTCCCCTACATGTTCTGCTGAGACCTCATTTTATGAGTATATTAGAAAAAAAATGAAAAGGTGGTTGTTAAAAATTTTATGCAACAAGGAATATTTTATAGAAGGGAAATACACCCCTGTTACATCAAAACCAGAATATTGATGCCATACTTTATCATATTTATTTACTGTCATGTGTATGGTTTATATATTCTGCTTGATACTCTATAAAATATGTCAAACAAATCCTTAACTTTATAAGAATTAAACAATACTTGTCTTATTCATCTTATATTTTAATTTTTCATAAAAGCGAAAAAATAATCAGTAGAGCAACTGGAGAGGAAGTCAGTAGACAAGCTTTGCAAGCTTGGGAGCAGCAGACATTCACAGGCGAGATAAAAACAACATGCTTTAAATTCTAGGCCAGAGCTCTGTGAAGTATGTATGTTTTCTTGGAAAAAAAAATTGTCTTTAATAAGCCATAAATAAGGGCATGCTTGACTTGGCTATCTTTCTGTGGACTATCAAGTAAGCCACCTTTACTATCAAGCTTATTTTTTATCTCCTACATTCAGCCAGGGCTTCTACTCCTCTCTGCAGGGCACTTTGATGGAGCCAATGAATTCAATTTTCAGCATTAGTAAGGAGCAATCAGAAATCAGATCCAAGAAAGACTGTATCTCTATTCAGTTCTAAGTCAGAGAGCTAGCAGGAAGCAGTTTAGTTTTGCTTTGTTTGGTTTGTTTTAATGTGGTTTCTAGTGGATGATAAGGCAGTTTACCTGAGTTCAGCTTATTTATTCCTGAAATAGTTTTCCTCCATGTTATTGTGGCCTTCTGAATGATGACCTCTTTGTCCAAAATAGAATGATTTCTTTATTCAGTCATTTATTTATTAAATATACTTAAGAATATGATTATGATGAGGGCTATGATGTATTCTGGACAGGTATGGAATAGGCTATGCCCTCCAGGAATTCTAGAAAGTAGATTTTTAGTAAATTGAAAACTATGGTCCTGATTTCATCGTCATGACCTGACCTACTGAAAATTATTCTAATTGCTTTAGCCCAAAGTTACAATTGAGGCAGAGTAGAAGAAGCAGTTAGAGCGGCACTGGGTAACCATGAGAACTGGGAGTCTAAACTTTGTTTCAAGTGCCAGCTCTGATATCAGCTTCTCCTAGGACCTTAGACAAATACTTGATGCTACTCAGGCTTCAAGTATCTTTATCTCTAAAATAAGTAGGTAGGACAAGATGGTCTCTAAATTCTCTCTATTAAACTTCAAATCAGTTTGTGTCTCTGATGCAAGTATTTTTCTTATAGATGAGGACTTGTCCAAGTCCTCCCCAGCTAGTAAAAGCAAAGTAGAAATTGAAACCTAAGCCTTCTGCCAGTGGTTGCCAAGCCAGAAGCAACATCCTACTAGGGAGCTGATTAAATACAGCCCACAGACAAGAACTTTTAGCGAGGAAATCATTCTGTTTGCTTGTTAGTTCATTTAGTTGAATTAGTTGACAATATTCCAACATAGGGAGATCTCGTAATACACATGGATTCATAACTCCTCTTACAAAATAAGATTTTGAGAAGGTAATACTGTGTTATATTCTCATGTGTCAATAATTGGCTGGAGATCATTAGGGGCCACCCTTTCCAGTGAGCTGCTTAGCCAAGTTTGCCACAGTCCTCACTACTCCCTATTGTCTTATACAGAGCTTTCTCTCTTCCTTTTTATTACTTGCTTTGTCCTTCAAGGCAATGAGTTTGCAAACCCTATACTAAACCATAAATACATAGATGAGTTTGTGTGTGTGCAGGAGTGCGTGGGAGTGGAGAGGAAGAGGATACATTTTTATATAGAATTTACAAGTGTGTCTAAAATAAGAAAAGAACTGGACAAAAACCACTGGTATGTTTTATTGCCACTTAATAAGTAATTAAATTTTTGGACTTAATCTCTACTTATGTCATTAAATGGGCAAAACAAATTGAAATGCCATTCGCAACTTAGTTATCATTTAAATTACTCATCAACATTAGCTTTGCAGATATTCTTCTTCCTTTGTTTTTGTCCAATCCGATAACAACGATATGTATAGAGACTTTCAGATGAAACACACACCACAAGGGTAGAAAGCTTGGTCATGAGAAATGATATTATTTTCTTTAATGCCTGTGTAAAAAAGATCACACAGCTAAATTGAATCATTTTCAATCTTTTTAAATACTTTAAACTCAGCTTATCTTGCTGCCAGCTCAGGTTGGTTAAAGAAGAAAAAGAAAATGTCTTTGTCTTGTTTTAGTTACGCAGTTCTTTTAAAGTGCAAGCCATTTGCTTTATATATTTATTTAGTATTTTACTTCTGGATGATTTCAGCATGATTTAGTATTATTTTCCTTCATTTTTAATTTTTCCTTTGCTTAGTGGAAGATAAAATAGTTAATTATGTGTTCGTATGAAAGGTTGAAAATGTGTTTGAGAAGAAACAACTTTCTTCTCATTTGAATTCTCTCCATTCTAATCATTTTTCTTCATTGTTCAAATGAAAAAGCAACCATTCATGTCAGCTTATTCCTCCTTACTTATATACATTTTTCTTTCTCCAAGGAAAACTACATCCGCCACTCTCAATTTCCCAATGGTGTTTAGCCTTTACTGTGCTTCAGCTGACTAAAGGAGTTAAGATCAAAAGAAATTAAAATATCATCAGTTTACCAGGCTTTTTATTAACAAGTTGTCAAAGCAAAGAACCTAGAAAAGGCATAACTTGAGCAGAATTATTTTCTATCCAAGAAAGTTTTTTCTTTAAGATAAAGATACTCTTCTAGCTATGTAAAAGTCAGTCATTTGAATTCAGTGCAATCTTTCTCAAGATGACGATTTCTGCTTTGACGCTGAGAATTTTTACAAATGTTATGCAAGGTCTTAAATGTCCCCTGTCTTTCCTCTGACAGCTTGTTGTTCTGCAGCATTTACTGCTTTCAAACCATGATTTTTAAAGAGATGGTGGTTTTGCTGAGAAAAAGTGACAGTATATATAAGACATTTCCCCCTCATCTATAGATAAGAAAGGTGTAATTTTGAGATTGAGTTTCTTTCCTCTAGCTTCTGAAAGATGAGTTGCTCACAATATGCAATTATGTGGCTCAAGACAAATAATTTCACAGATATAGCAGTTACAGACTGACTGGAGGAGACATTGGTGACATTTTATGAAGATGTACATGATACATAATTCAAGAAATATAAGGACATTGGAAAGAATTTTAGAAAGTACGACTGTTTCTATTCAACTGTAGTCAATGTTTCTGTCCCTACCTATCGATTTGTTTGCTCTTCCCTCCATCATCATAAAGAATTTCTGGAGCAGATCAAGATCCACTGGTAATGGGGGAAAAATGTGTTTTCAGATTTTGGAACAGTATTCATTTCTGTTCATTCTTGTATTTTAATTCAAGGAATATTTATTTTCAAGGCAGAAGAAAAAAAAAGGAGCATAGTACCAAAAAAAAAAAAAAAAGGAAGAAGAAAATGATAGTAAGTTGATATAAATACAATGCTTAACAAAAATAAACAAAAAATAAATAAATAAATAAAATAAATGTGATTTCCAAAACTAGGATTCTAGAGTTTTATTTGCTGTAAAGGGCCTATGTTCCATTCTTTTGTGAAAATAATTTTAAAATAATTTGTATATGGTATTGTTTCTAATTATTTAATGGTATTCACTTTTTTCCTGTATTATTCAAGTTAGATTACACATGTGAATATTTATTAAAATTATTTTTTATTTAAATTCTACTATCCCTATTGATTTTATTTCTAAAACCATAAAATGTTTATGATTTTAATGAGTACATATGGGCACATATTTTATGTAGATTTTTTTTTTGTCCAGAAATGAGCATTTGGAAACAATCTTTGGATTTTAATTGATGAAGACTATCAATCCATATTACTGATAACCTGCTCTGGCTGTCTGTGTGGATCAGACATGCTGACAAATGAGCAAGGCTTCTGTGCATTTACTGCCAATTTTTCTGATTTTATCATCCCTCTGAGTTGTACTATGTCCCTCTGCCTGCCTTCTTTCCTCCCTCCCTCTGTCTGTCCGTCCGTCCGTCCCTTCCTCCCTTCCTTGCAAAGAATACTTATCAAGCACCTGCTATGGGCCAAGATAGGAACAACAAAAAAAATCCTCATATGTATGCAGTTCACAGCCCAGTAAGAGAGAGATACAAAAAATGAATACTTGTATCATGCTAGGTTAAAAGTGCGTGTTTGTTTTTTTTTTTTTGAAAAAAGCAGAGTTTGGTGATAAAGAATGATAGGGGCTACACTTCTAATAAGTTACAGAAAATATCATGTTGTCCCAAGGGAAAAAAAAGGAAAAGAAAAATAAGGATACCAGGAAAATTTTTTAAATGAGGGGTACTATTTACACACAAAAATCAAAAATAAAAAAGGGACAAAAACTTTCGTCAGTTATATGAAAAGTTCAGATGAATGAGAATGTTATATCCTAAACAGTATTCTTGAAAGTACCTCAAAGCATCTTTTTCATGATTATACATGCAGGCAAAATTATTATATAAGTGGTATATATTCCAATAATCATTTTAAAGAGCTTCCTTTGTGTTGGGCGCAGATCAAGGCTTTGGAAACACAGCAGTGAATAAACCAAGCCCTTTGCTTGATTGCAGGCTTACCTCATATGGCTGCTCAGGCTGTGCACTGCACAATAATTTTCAGGAGCACATTCACATAAACTATTATGTGCACCCTCTAGGGTTGTACAATACGGTAGCTCTGCTCTAACTGCAGCATGCATTCCAGTGAAGGGAAGACAGATCATAAACAAATAAGAATATCTCATGGAAGTGCTTTGGGGAAAAATAAAGCAAAATGAAAGAAATAAGAGTTAGGACAGCAACTTCAGATTTTGTGGTCAGAGCAAATGTCCCTGATAGGGTAATATTGTGTGACTTTATCTGACTCTTGTTTTGTCAGAGTCATTCTAGCTTCTGTTTTAACAATAGACTGCAGAGGGCCAAGGAAGAAACAAGGAGACTATGACAATAGGAGACCATTGCAAAATTTGGGTGAGAGATGACCCTAGCTGTGACCAGGTGATAGCAGGAGAGATGCTAATGTATTTAGAAGGCACAGCAGGATTTGCTAATGGATTAGAGATGGAACATGAGAGAAAGGGAGGAGTCCGGAATGACTAAGAATTTTGTCCTGAGCAAATGAAAGAATGGAATGCTGTTTACTGAGACATGGGAGGAGCAGTGTGCGAGTTCTGATTTAAACACGTCAAGTTTCAGATGCCAATTACAAATTCAAGTGGAAATGCCAAATAAGGGGTTGGAGACCCAAATATGAAATTCAGGGGAGAAATGGGGACTAGAGATATAAGCTGGAAGCTGTTAAGATATAGTTTATAGAAAGCCTTGAGAGTAGACAAAAATCACCTACAGTAATAGTTCTGAATCCTGGCTGTACATTGTAATCACCTGGGAAACTTTCAGAAAGTACTGAGGACTGAGCCCTATGCCAGACCAATTAAATCGAAACTTCTGGGGGTGACACCAAGGCAGTGATATTTTAAAAAAGCATCCCAACCGATTCTTCAGAGCAGCTGGGGTTGAGAACCCCTGACCTAAGGAATCAATGAAGAGATGACGAATGTCTAAGAACTAAGCCCTAGTAGATGGTAGTGTTCACAAATCAGGAAGATGGGGCAGAATCAGCAAAGGAGACAGTGAGATGTAGAGCAGTGGTCCAAAATCTTTATTTATAAAGGGAAAGAGAGTAAAGATGGTGGTTTTGTGGACCGTATGGACTCTGCTGCCACTACTGAACTGTGCTTTTGTGGCATGAAGGCAGCCTTAGACAATATGTAAATGAATGGATGTGGCTATGTTTCAATCAAACTTTACTTACAAACACAGGTCATGGGCCAAATCTGGCCTGTGGACTGTTGTTTGCCAACCTCTGCTGTAGAGCATCACAGGAATGGCTTTGGTGGCCTCCTAAGTCAGATTACAATGGTGAGCCTGGGAGGTAGGAATAAACAAGGAGCCCATGGAGCAGGAGTTCTCTCTTCAGTGACAGTCATGAAGATATCAAAGCCATTGGAGGGTCGCTAGACCAGGTGGGCAGTCCTTACTTATGTAAACATTTTTAAACTTTCTAATTGAATCTGTTGTGCCTAATAATACCTATAGATAGGGATTCTCTAATAGACATAGCTTTCTACAATTTCACAAAAGCATTTTTCAAATAAAATACAATGAAATGAGTAAAATACAGTTCAAAATGAATCCATAAACAAATTGGTTATTGTTTTTCCCTGAGTATACTGCTGCTTTCAACATAGGGTAACAGGGGTTTGTTAGTCTCAAGAGCCCTCATCTGGGGTTTCCCTGAAGAATTTAATTATTCTTTTCACTGCACGTAAAAATGAGGCAGAATGTGTTTTACCTTATGAGTTATCCGTGTCACACATGTGTAGAAGAGTATTACTGATGTTAAAAGCAGAAGCCTCTAGAAATTGTAAAGGACCTATTGAAAGTGCAACATTCTACGCAAGAAAAAAATTACAAAAACAATTTTTGAAGACCCAGACTGTTGCTTTTATTTGGTTAGCAGCTAAATAATAGCAATAATTATGACAATTTACAGTTTTATAGGACCTCTAACTCAGACACCTCAAAGGGTTTTGAAAATCCAAATTCTATTATTCCTTGGTTGCAACAAAGCATGAAGTTTATGAAAACTCAAACAACAACAACAACAAAAAACAGCAACAAGTGAAAATAAACGATTGCTCTAAAAAGTCAGAAAAGGTAGAAACAAATTCCAGGATCAGAAATCCAGAAACTTGGCCAACCCTAGAATAACTGAGGTGCCATGCCTATTTGGGTACTAGGATTCAATACTTAGCCTAGAGACTTCTGCTCAAAATTGTGAGAAGAATTCTACTGTAGAGAAGAGCTTCAATGGAAAATGGCAAATTCAAAGAAGATAACCAAGTTCCAACCCTTCAACAATGTGTAGATGGGTCTAACTGACCAAGACTTAGATTCCAGATCAACCAGCATTTACTGAGCACCTACTATGTGCCAGCTCTCCGTTGGGTTATGTTATTCAATGTTGATATGAAAACAGAATGGAGAAGACTTCCGGTTGTGGAGAAGATGGAGTAGTCCCACTCTATTCAGGTTTTCCCTCATACAACTAAAAATTCCTGGACATAGCATAATAAACAGCAAGGGAATGCTCTGAAAAATGGAGAGAAGAAGGAATACAGCCTACGAACTTTGGGCATTGAGGAATGACACAGTGGTGAGGTCCCTGGGCTTCTTTGTTACCTCTTTTCTATCTAGGACAGGGTGCTGCAGAAGCCTCTGCTCTGAACCACCAACTAGCATAGACAAAGAAGCTCCAACAAAAGCCCATTTTTCCTAACCAAAGGACCAGGAAAAGAGTAAACTAACAACAGAAAACCTTTCTGGTAATGCACAGCCTACGCTAGCCAAACACCAACAGAGCCACTGCACCCTCCCCAAGCCTAACCTCACCCCCACCCCAGGGTTACCAGGGTCAACCAGAGAGCTATGCTTACACTCCAAGGAAACAAGCCAACCTCTCATTCTCCCACCCAGTGGTGGTAATGGGGCCACAGGAAAAAGCTCAATTTCCATCCCTCAGCTGGCCCAATGGAAGCAGGAAGTACTCAAATCTTCGTTGGGGTGTGTCTTCAGGCCAACAGGGAAGCTTGGTTCTGATTACTATCACCATGGACTAGTTTTACCTGTTCTTGTACCTCTGCTAAATGAAACCATACAGTATGTATCCTTTTGTAGCTGCCTTCCTTTGTGTAACATAACATTTTTGATATTTATCCAACTAGTTGTATGTATCAACAGTTAGCTCTTTTTTATTAGTTAGTGCTATTCCATTGTGTGGATATACACAATGTGCTTATTCACTCTCCTTTTGATGGGCATTTGCACTGTTTCCAGTTTGGAACTATTCTTAGTAAAGCTTCTGTGAATATTCTTGTACAATCTTTGTATGGACATAATTGATTTTGACTTTATTATATAGAAAACATTTCATATATATATATCAATCTCTTGAGTATAATATATTCATCTATTTTAGCCATCTTCTCTTACTCAATTTATCAGATAATTGTTACATTTTATCTCATTTCATGCTGTTTAAGATCAGCCTCAATAACAAGGAAAAGAATGGGGAAATTGTGTGGTATGAATCCCGAGTGTTTAAAAGATGATAGTTTAGATTAATTGGATCAAGTAGAGGTTTATATTTCATTTATTCAACCCACTTATGGAATCTAAGTAGCAACACTGAAGATGAATAGAATGCCGTCCTTGCTGCTGATGTGCTCACAGCCAAGTTGGTTGATAGTATAAAAGTTAAACCATTTAACTTGAGGGAGTTTTGGGATGAGTGGAAACCTTATTGAATTCTCAGTCTTTGAATATTACCTCTGTATGACACTTTTCTGAGATTGGAAGTGATGAAACTGCATGCTGAGCAAAGCAATTGATAAACTTCCACAAACCAAAGGAAATAAGAATTTAAATGGTCTCCATTCCTAGGAAAGCACAAGATGATGTTTTGTGATGGACAGAATGCCAATTCATCTTCATTTTCAGAAGATTTCTAAGATGTTCTATTCTCTCCCCCATTAAAGAAAAAGAGGTGGTAGGTGAGTCATTTTTGAAACAGACCCAATGATGGAGAATCCATTCTTCCTAACATTTTAGAAAGCTACTGTACCTTGTCATAATTTAACCAGTGCCACCCATTGCAGTTAGATGAGAAATTGGAAAGCTAAGTTATTTCAAGCTGAAAATGCAAGCCAATACTTGCAAGAATGTATTTTGAAGTAGAAGTTAAAATAACACAGAGCCTATGATCCCCCCCACCACCAAAAAAGCTCTTAAATAAAAACCTATTAGGAAAGTGAATACCCTTTGTAGTCTCATTCCAATTTCTATCTTCATCCATAACTTTCAGTTTTATCTCTGCACCCTCACCTCTTCCCTGGGGCCCCGCTAAGCTTTCAGTGTTTCTAATGTACTAGGTTCAGAGTTTACCTGGCATTTCTCTGGAAGGCTCAGTAAATATCTCATCTATGGTGGTGATGAAGGTGGTGCAGAAGAGACAAAGGGCCCCCTATTAGATGCTGCTAAGTGCTTCTCATTTTTACTGAGAGACACGGTTCAGCTGTAAGAGTCCTAAGTAAAGGAGCCTAAACACAATGGGCCGCATTTCTAAAGCCTTTAGACTGATTAGGCAGATTCTCAAGGGAACACTAAGGGAAGAACTTAAATTATCTTGTTTCTGAGAAACTCTGGGGACTCAAGTCCTCATTTCCTTTATTCTGAGCTTCACAATATGCTTTTCTATTGATATTATGAATCTTTGTGTTGTAAGTTCACTTGAACTACAATAACGTCTTGATCAACTAAATTAAAAATGAGCTTGCTTCCCTCTCATGCATTCTACAAGTTGCTTTTTTCCCATTAGCTAGTAATGGTTTCCCTTTCAATGTGCATGACTTGACAGTTTTCAGGATCTCTCTGAGCCCTCCCTGGCACCCTACTTCTATATTCTGTTTTTGGTCTGTCACCTCCACATTGTTTTCTTTGTTGTTGTTTGTTTGCTAGGAAAGATAAATCTGCAGTTGTCACAGCTGAAAGATTATCCCATGTCAGGCAAGAATATGGACACCATTTACTTCCTGTGTAAAACCATCACATACCACTCAGCCTCAACATCCTCGAAGCATACAGTTCATTATAGTCATTTAACTCAACCATCAAGGAATGGCATGATAGTGAGTTCCCTGGGCTCCCATGCTGGTCACAAATGCTATAACTGATTCTCTCTTTGAAACTTCATGTATCTATGATATTTCAAGTTCCTAATAAGATATCTCTTAAACCTCTTTTCTAAGCCCCTGGAGTTTAAAGGTCACTAGCTTCACTGTTATCTCCAAATGCCAGAGTCAGCTGCAGCCATTCCAGCCTAACAGAACTGCTACTTACACGTAACATCTAACAATGAATAGACTGGTACATACTTGAAGATAAATCTAGAATTCAGAGGGCCCCACTGTATTGCTGTCTTATTCTGCCCAGAGCTGAGTTTGAGCCCAGGACGTGCATGGCTACCGAAGCTTAACTCATGGGTACCAGGTTTCCCGAGCAGGCCTGAATTGATGACTAGTTCTGCCATACCCACTGCTTCCCAAAATAGAAATGCATTCCTTCATTTGAGTTCTACCATGTATCAATTACTAGAGAGTGATTAACAAAATAAACAAGATCCCTACTCAAACAGAGCTTGCATTCTGGAGGAAGAAAAATACTATAAACAGATAAACAACAAATGAACAATATACCTCTAGACTTTAATAAGTGTTATAAGGAAAATAAACAGGATGAAATAGTGGAAGATCATGGCAGGGTCCCTACTATGGATAAAGTAGCCAGAGAAGAGCATGGGTTGTTTTGAGGAGAAAAGGAACGGCAAAAGCTGTATAAACAGAAGGTGTTTTATTGTTATTTTAATGTCATAGTCAGATCTTGGAGCATTTGTGAAACAGAATTACTAGGAAACACTTAGGTGAGGGTATTGGGGAGAGTATAATGAGGGACTACAAAGTTGTGAGCAGAATTCATGATTTAAATGATTCGTGATTCAAACCAAAATGAGTTTGTGACTATCCCTTTACCACATCTAGTCATGAAGGCACAAAAAGAGGGAGGAGTTTCTGGAACTTGGAGAGGGTTTCTATAGTTGTAAGAGAGATGCTCAAAAGTACCTGTGGCTTTAACAAGAAACCACAACTGGATCATGTTCTAGCAAAGTATGAGCCAGGGTAACAAAGACCCCAAACTCACTCTCCTCTTGTTTTTCATCCTCCCTCAGTGCCCCTTAATTAGTGAAACCCAGCCAGAAGCCAAGAACCAAGGGACCTTAGATGTTTAAGTCCACAGAGATCAGCCTCCCAGGGCACAAAGGTAAGTAGTGAGGGTAGAGACGTATTTGGAGGGCCAACAGAGACTAACCATCATGAAACAGAATGAGTCAGGTTCTGACAATGCTATGTGGTTCACCATTGCTGAAACAGCAATTACTACAAATATTCAACTGAAGATTGAAGAAAATCAATACACGACTAATGCCTCACCGTAAAACCGTCCTGGGACAGCCAGTTCATGGGGTAGGACCACCAAGACTGTATGCTTTACAAGAAGATACAATTGTCTTTGTAACTCAGCAATCAAAGTCTTTTTTATGAAGTGTCATTCAACAGAAAATCCTGTAATAATGAGATTGTAATTTTAGAAAAATCAAGACAGCATGACAATTGTAATAAACATGCTAAACAAGAGTGCACCAACAATTTGAGTGACTATTGGAGACATTCAAGATGACAGGCTTTGGGAGCTTAAGCTCTGGTTTATCCTGGATAAAATGAAAATTGCCTTCTGGCTGATCTTGCATAAATTTGGATTCCAGGTAATAAGTGACAAGATGAAATTTCCTTTCTAATCAAGTCACTTGTCACCCTTCAGTCCACCTTCAATTACTTGTGCTATCTTTAGCATTCAAGATACATTTCTATATATACACCAAATTGTAGGCAACTATGTAAGGGCAATAAAGCAATTTTCTTTTTCTGGTATGTGGTATCCCCTCAATTTCGAAGTCATACAGTATTGGTTTATTTTAATTCAAATCAACTCCACAACTTAGTAAACGTTTATCAAATGCCTATTGTGTGCCAGGGTCAGACATAAATTGCATATAATAAAATCACCTTTAAAACAATCCTAATGTACCATTGTGTGCCATACTGTATGTACGACTCTTGTGTTTAGAGCCCTGTATCAGTTTATCTATCTCTTTCTTGATCAGCATTACTCTATGACTCACAATTAATACCCGAATGTCTTTCCTTGAAGATATTGATATAGCATCACCACCTATTCACATGGCCACTAGACCAATATGCTTTACCTCCGGCCACTAGGTAGAACACCTCAGCCTGTTTTGACAAATGCATTGACTGGCAGGCTTACTTGCATCTGCTGACTGTTTAAAGCAGGAAATATGATGGTGGCATTACAAGCTGGCGCAGTTAAGATCCTGGAAGTCAGGTTTGCCTATGTTGTAACTGCACTATGCTGTGCCATGCACCGTAGAGACACAAAGAGGAGCCTTGTGCAGTTCACAGACTCAAGGAGATCCCCATCTTCTGTGGAAGAAACATGGTACAGAATAACTAATGCGTGGGTAGAAGGCAGTGTGTGTCTGCAGCATAGCAGAGAAAGGGGTTAAATTGGAGGGCTGAGGGAGGAGATGGCTTTGAGCAGGAATTGAAAAGACAGGTAGAATTTCAAAGAGCATAAATGAAGGGAAAAGAGGACCCGAACAGAATAAACATAAGCAAACTGAGAGCCATGAAAGAGCGGACGTGTTCAGTCAAAATGAAAATGCTCAAGGTCGTGACTGCTAAAGTAAGGAGACAGGGGGCGGGTGTTACAGTGGCAAGACTAAGACCAATACTAGGATGACACAAATCTAGATGCGAATCCCAACTCTGCCCGCATGTGACCTTGGGCATGTCATTCAACCTTGCTAAGACTCAGTGGCCTCATTTTTGAATAGGAAAACAGCGCTATCTCATAAGATAGTTGTGAGGATTAAAGGAGCTGAGGTATTCCTTTAATGCTAATACCCTTCTTCCACATATTATTCTTCTGAAAACATTGTACCTCCAAAGAAAGCAAAAGAAGAATTTGAATACTAATTTTTTTCACTTATAATAACAGTTAACACCTACTGAATGTTCAGTAAATGCCAGACACCAGGCTAAGTATTCTGTATGCATCTTCTCCATGAATCATGTTCTTTGAGTATACCCATTTTGCAGATGAGGAAACTGAGGCTTACGGAGGTGAAGTAAATGTCCCAAAACTATCTAGTGGTAGAGCAGAAATTCTGAGAGAGGCAGGCTGATTCCATGGCCCAGGTTCTTAAACACTATACTAAATTATGCCCTGGATAAATGGATGAAATTCATACATTTATTTGACACAAATTTTTTGAGCACATTGGATGTGCCAGGCACTGTCAATAAACCAAAGAGGAAAAATATCTCTGGCCCCATAAACCTTACATTCTGTACAGGAAGAAGGCCAATAAATAAACAAATAAGTAACTTGTATATAATAATTTGAAAGATGATGAGTACTATGGTGCAAAAAAAAAATGTTGGAACAGACAGTGGAGAGCATAGAAGGGTGTTACCGCATTTAAATATGGCCATCAGTGAAGGTTGCATAGTAAAAGCAACATAGGATGAAGACTTGAAGGAAGTGAGGGAGAGACCCGTGAGGATATCTGGGGTAAGAGCTTCCTGGAGGGAAGGACTGCAAATAAAAGGACCCTGAGGTGGGAGCAGGTGGAATCTGTTGTGGAAGCAGCAAGGTGGTCAGTGGGGCTGGGGCAGAGTGGGCTAGGAGGAGAGGAGCCAGGCATGAGAGCAGGGAAGTAATAAAGGCCATGCCTTACACCTTGTATAATGTGCCCAGTAAGGGCTTTGGCCTGTCTAAGAGTGAGCTGGGAGCCATGGGTAGATTTTGAACAAAAGAATGACATGATCTCTTATTATAACAGCATCCCTCTACTTGTGCTTTTGAGGAAGAGGGATCCGTTTGCAGGCTACTGCTGCCACCCAGGCAAAACAAAGATGGCTTAGATGGTGGCTGTATTCTGGATGTATGTTGAAGGTGGGGCCAATAGGGTTTTCTGATAAATTAAATATGGGATAAGAGAACAAAGTAGAGTTGATAATGAGGCCAAGGGATTTTGGTAACCTCCATAACAAGATTGTGCTGTGGTACTCCATTCATTTTCTTCCCCACTAACCAGCTTACTAGATCAAGAGAGGGAAAACTTCTCTTCTAGGACTCTCACATTTGCAGAAATAACCTGGGAACAGTAGAAATAAGGAGCAAAGGATTACAGGAGTACCAGTGTAGAATGCCAGCACTGACAGTAGGGAATTTCTGCTGCTATATTGGCCCAAATAGAACAATAGACTTTTTTCAGGCTCCCAGACACATGCAAAGCTGTTCAGTCTGAGAGGGAAGTGGGAGCCACTGATAGAACGTGGAATATCTATCTTGGGAGTTTTGCTACCAGTTTTGCTTTAATTACTCTACATTTTTTAAGCTGCAGAAAATATAAAAGCTTACCCACTCAGCCTAGATTTTCCTCTATGTCTGGGAAAAAGCCATTTCCTCCTCCTAATCTCTCCCTCTCCCTCTCTACAAAAATGCATGCATTTTCTCCTTAAGGGGAATCCTGGGTTTCTGTATGCATGAGCATGTGGCTACATATTCAAGGGGATCCCTAGTACCCACCACAACTCAAAGAAGGAGTGATCCAATTTGGGGCCAGGTGCTTTCACACAGATCATTAAATGAGGGTGTGTGTGTGTCTGTTTGTGTGTGTGTGTGTGTGTATGCTCTCCCAAGTACCTGCTGTGTGACCTAGGCCAACTTATTGAACCTGGCAAATCTTCTTTCCTTATCTGTATCATGGGGGACACATTAATAAGACCAATCTCTTAGAGTGATTGGAAAGTGAATATGAAGAGTGAAATAAAGCATGTAAATCCTTGAACTAAGGACCTGGCACGTAAGAAGTGCTCAATAAACATTGTTTGCCAATTTATTATGATTATGGTTAAGTCTGTGATTAGCCTTATCAATAAGCTTAATTAAGTGCATAGAATAAAGTAGATGCCCAATATTGTTCATCTGTTGCCCTCCTCTCTCAACAAAACTGGCTTCAGAATCTTTCAAAACTGGAGCAAATTATAATGATGCTTGGGAGGGAAGTACACAGTTGTATACGACAGCATGAGAAGTTTCAAGTGGTGAAGATAACCAGGTTAGGTGAGTGGCAGGGACAGTGATGAGAAGGGAATGAATTAGAGATATTCATCCAGGATATAGGATGAGTAAGACCTGGTGATTGATTAGAAATGGAAAGTGAGCACACATCCCCTACTCTTCCTGCCAAATAAAGCTGTTCTGCACTTTGCATCATTATCTAATGCTATAATAATGTACCACAACAAACAGCCAAAAAACCTCAGTGGCATATAATACATTAATTTTTGCTCATGATGTTGTTTGTCCATTGGCTAGCACTGCTGACCTGGGCCAGACTCAGGTAACCCAGCTGGGCTCACTTACGCATGTCCAGTCAGTTGGCAGGTCTTCTGGGACCTACCTGGGGGAAGATAACTGCATGTTACCTGGAGCAATGAAGTGACTGGCCCACTCTCTCTCTCATCACTCAGCAGATTCACTGGGCTTATTCACAAAGGGTAAGCAGAGTCCTGAGGGAAAAAGCAGAAGCAGGTAAGCCTAAGCCTCTTGAGGCCAGATTTGGGGCTGACACACATTCCCTTCTACCATATTCTATTGGCCAGAGCAAATCATTGACAACAATTGGCCATGCAATAGGTGTCGCTACAGGGAAAAGGCAGATGAGAACGGAGGTTATTTTTGCAATCAATCTACCACACACATCAATTTATGGAAGTCGAAGTTTGCGTGGGGAGGAAAGGGTATCAGCCCATAACCCCAATCTCCTCTTGTCCTCAGATGAATCTCCCTGCTACAAATTTATGACAGACTGACTGCCCACCATCAGTTATTTATATCCCCTCTAATGACTGAAAAATTGAGTGTTCAGCTTTTTGGATGCAGGGTCCCTGTCTAACCTTCACCACAATATCAGAGATCCCCGCTTTGCAGAGGCAATCTGTAAAAATTTCGTGCAGATTTGTAAACCAATCCTATTTCCCCAGAGACTTATTATTTTTGTTATCATTTTTGATTGACCTTGGCAAGATCTATGAGTCTGCTATCCTCTAACCCTTAGCTTCCAAATTTCTCTGATCCCAGCCTCTCTGACAAGCTGATTTGTAAACAAATACTTCCATTTATTGGCAGTGCTTATTTGTAAGGCAATTCAGTGACCAATCCTTTCTTAAGTCTGTTGTCTATGTTGGAAAGTTAGATTTTAAAAAACGGAGGCTCCCCTGGACATAGTCACTGGTGGACATGGAAATCAGAATAACAGTTTGAACAGTGTTTCCACTGAGGCTTTTAGCTAGCGTAATAAAAAATGCCACCCTTAAATAAACAAACTATTGCTCAGTGATTAAGCAACTGATTGAACAGTTCCTTAAGTGATTGTGCAGAAACCACCTTCCAAGTTGACTAACTAGGCAGTCTTCTTACAAGCTGTAATTTTAGGGCTGCGGAAAACACATCTATCCATCTGCTCAGTGATAGCTGAAATTGACAGTGTACGAAGTGTCTTATCACATAATTAAAATTAAGGGTAAAATTGCAAATATTTCTGTTGGCTCTAACACAAGGATTTGCATTCATGTGAATATGATTAGACAGGAAGATAGAGATTTGATCATTTATTGATTCATTCATTCATTCATTTATTTTTTAGAGACAGGGCCTCCCTCTATCACCCAGTCTGGAATGCAGTGGTACAATCATAGTTCACCGCAGCCTCGAACTCCTGGGCTCAAGAGATCCTCCCATCTCAGCTTCCCAGTAGCTAAGACTAATTTTTTTTGACTTTTTTTTGTGGAGACTGGGTCTCGCTAAGTTGCCCGGGCTGGTCTCCACCTCGTAGCCTTAAGCAATTCTCCTGCCTTGGCCTCCCAAAATGCTGGGTTTAGTTGTGAGCCACTGTGCCTGGCCTGTTTATTTATTTATTCATCCATTCATCAAATATATTCTGGGAACTTACCTGAGCTTTGTTCCTTTCTTTCCACTACCTTTTATCCTTTTAAAAAATATTCTTTCTTTGCTTTTCCTTTTCTTTAGTTCTTTCATCTTTCTTTAAATTTTACTTTTCAATATAAAGTAGTATTATGATGCTAGCTACAAACCTCAATGCAGAACTCTTAGCAGTTGGAAAGGACCAAGAAAAGGTGTCATCTGCTGAGTTAGTTGGGCCTAATATATTAAGCAAAGTTTTTTATTCTGATGTCTTCACATCTCGGGGCCTTTCTGACACTAGAAGGGACTGCCCCTCCCAGAGCTAGCTAATTCCTAGAGACAGCAGACAGCTGGCCCCAGGGAGGGCACCTTTCATATGCAAACCAACCAATCCAAAGCCCATACTTTCCAGTCTTCTTTATGGAGCTCTTACGTTCTGGGCTAATATTCACCTTCTATAATCACCCCAGGGCAAGGTACCAGACAACTAGGAACAGCTCCCAGGCCCAGAGCCCACTGAAAGTACCCCAACTAGCCAGTTCTAACCCTGTTTACCCCACCTGTCACATTTCTTCCTGCAGAAACCACAATAAGGGTGCTTGCCTTGCCATGTTCCTTCCTTACTCTGCCTCCTCCTGACCCTACGGCTTCCTCATGTGGCCCTATGTGGAATGCTGGGCTTCCTGTTTCTAGGTATCTGAATACGTACAGTCTTCCTGCCATTTCCACATCTGCATGTATCTCCATGCTTGATTAAAACAAATCCCAGTTAGATTTTAAAACACCTAAATACTTGGAATTAAACAAGAGATGAGAGGTGTCCATTTGTCCAGATCCCCTTCCCACACATGAGTCAGAGCTGACCACTCTGATATGAAGAAAAGTGAATCCAAAGGATACCTATCAGTGACAAGGAAAATAACAAAAGCAAGAGATGGGTTAAAAATCCTTCATGCTCAGCCCCTGAGCTGCCCAATCTTCC
Organism: Homo sapiens; assembly: GCF_000001405.40. Lineage (NCBI taxonomy): Eukaryota > Metazoa > Chordata > Mammalia > Primates > Hominidae > Homo > Homo sapiens. The sequence goes on along the minus strand of NC_000003.12, from coordinate 62,982,639 downwards.
TGCCCTGAGAGAGGAATCAAGATCCTGAACCTCCAGGCATGGCAGCAGCAAGCAGGGACCTGCTGAGTGTCAGATTCTGTTCTCTCTTCAGTAAATGGTTTAGAGATAGAAAGTTGAACAAAATGTGTCCTTGCTCTGAAAAGGACTACCTGCTAGTGAGGGGGAGATACAGTACATGAATAACTGCTTTGAACATATTAAAGTTCTCCACTCAGCTCTCAAAGAAGTCTTTAGGTACCGGTGACATTTGCGCTGAATCTTGAAGAATGAGCAGAAGTTTACTTAAAGAAGGTCAGGTTGTGGGTCTTTGATAGAGGAACACGATTCTCTGCATGAATAAAAGGTGTGTGGAAGGGTATGTTGAGCTTATGTTTAGAAACTTGATCATGTTTCCATGGTTTTGAATTTTTCCTGCTTTGGTATCTTTTCCATCAGTAACTGTACCTAGTCAGCAAATTCCAAGACTAGAGCAGAGCTGCAGAGTTGTGCTGTCAGGATAAATCATCCCTGGGGATTGCCAATTTGAAGGCAAGGGGACAGAGCCTTCTCTCTCCTCTTCAGAAACCAGATCATCTGAGAGCCAGGCAAAGGACAAAGCACTATAGTTTGCAAGCATGGGCCTTTTAAGCACCATTTGGAGTAATATCAGGGAGAGAAAAAAATGAGCTGATGAGTAGAATTTTTAGCAGCAGATTTATATACTACATCACTGCACTTTATTCCTTAGCAAACTGTTATGTGCCCAACCGAAAACATTGAAAAATGAGGGTGGGAGCACAGGGGCTACCATTCTCAAGATGCCAGCTACTAAGCATGGCAATCTTATTATTACGGTGGCCCAGATCCTTGGCAGTTATTGATGCTCACCAGTTCCCAAACTTCAAAGGTTTGCAAAATGTAGCCCTCTTTAAAAACTTAAGGCACTCCATTAACTTCAAATTGCTCTACTCTGCCCAAACCCAAACTGTACTTGTTTTCAAAGGAAACGACTCCTGAGAATCTGAACAGCCTCAGTTATTCTAAATCACTCTGCAAGAAAAGCACAAAATTAATCGGGCCTCCAGTATGTGTGTGTTTGGCAGCAGAAATGCGGCAGAGAATGCCATAAATAAAAACACCAAGTTCGGCTGTTGTCCAAAACCTCAGGAAAGTCTGTTTTCAATTGGGCAAAATAAAGCTTCACCAACCTGTTTAACACATTATACTGTGTGGGAGGAAAAACTGGAAAATGTCTCAAATAAATAAAGCCCTGATGAGCAGGGAGGTGCTTCTTTACTATTAACCTATTAGCAGAGACATTTGCTTATTTTCTTAAAATGTTAAAATAATTATCCTTATTTCCTGGTAGGGGGTCAGTACTGTTTCCAGCTAGACAATATTCAAGGTTTTCATGCACATGACCCCTGTAGGAGCTAAAAAGTTCTTTCCTAGTTTGCTTCCGCTTGTTCTATGTTTTAGAATCCAAGGATGCTATAAATGGAAGAAATCTTAGAGTTTCCTTTGTAGAGGAGATCAACATAAAACAAAACATTCTAAAGATAAATCATCATTATCATCATCCTGAGCACTTACCAAGCATTCAGCATGTGTGAGCCGCTATGATAAAAGCTTCATATGATAACTCTTGAATTCTCACAACTCTGAGAAAAGGCCTTTTATTGGCATCATTTTTGATATGGGAAACCCAGAGAGACTAGGTAAACTGTCCAGGATGACACCGCTGAGAAGCGGAGCAGGGATTAAAACCAAGTTCTACTGGACTGCAGACCCTGCCCTCCAGGCACAAGGCTGGACCACAATGCAGGTGGGGCCAGAATGAAGACTCAGTTCTTCAAACTCCCTTTAGTTATCCTCATACAGAATGTTGGCTGACAGAGTCACGGGAAAAGAACATAAGTACCTTTCAGCCCATTCCAAGATGATGAGTTTCTTAGGGAAGACACTATGTTTCTTCCTATTGTATACCCAACACTGACTACAGTCAGGCCTTAGGTTATTGATCAATTGATGTTACTGGATAAGGGAATGAATGAGTTTGACTCAAAGTCATGTTCCCATAGACAGTTTTCAAATTTGAAGTAAACAACACAATGCTACCAATTTCTAGATATATCAAAAGTTCCCAAGACAATTTGGCTTCCAAAAATATCCATGCATTCACTTAAAAGGAAGAGTCATTCCAAATTGTCATTCACATTTCACCCATCCTAACATGTACATCAGGCAACAAGTGGACAAAAGGAGTTCAAGGTAATTTTAAGGTTGTCCTGGACAAAACACTTGAACTTAAAGAGATTCCTGCCCACTAATAACAGCTTCCCAGCCTTTTTCTTAGACATAATCCAGTTAAGGGATAACGAGGAGAGCTGCAGCTGAAAATACTTACTAAAATAACAAGAGAAAATTGTGTAAAGTGACTGAGGCCAGTAATCCCAACATTTTTGGGGGCTGAGTGGGTGGATCACTTGAGCCCAGGAGTTCGAGACCAGCCTGGGCAACATGGAGAAACCGCAACTCTAAAGAAAACACAAAAATTAGCTAGGTGTGGTGGCACCTGCCCGTAGTCCCAGCTCCTTGGGAGGCTGGGGTGGGAGGATCACCTGAACCTGGGGAGGTAGAGCCTGCAGTGAGCTGTGATCGCACCACTGTATTCCAGGCTGGGTGACAGAGCAAGAGACCCTGAAAAGAGAGAAGAGGGGAGAGACGGGGAGAGACGGGGAGGGGAGGGGAAGGCAGGACAAGACAAAGAATGAGGCAACAAAAATCAGACTGCCTGAGTCCAGATCTTTGCTTTGTCATTTAACAACTATGGGACTCAGGCAAATTATTTTGTATCTTTGTGCCTTGTTTTCCTTAATGGTAAAACGGAGATAAAAATAAGAAATCTGAAGAACCAGAGGGATGCTCTAAAGACTGAATGAAATGGTACATACAGAGCATATAAAACAGTGCCTGGCTCATGGTAAATACTTAAGAAAGGTTAGATATTATTAATTTTTATTTCCAATTTATCCATGTCTTTAAATCTCACTTGGAAAAATGTGAGTTAAAGAGGGTCTACCATTCAAAGGATAGCCTTGGTAATGAAGCTGTCACCTTATTTGCCAATTTGATCTCTTAAAGATGCAGGTTCTATTTCCACAGCCCGGATAAGATGCTATTACTATACTCTCAATATAAATGTACTCAAGTTGCTTGAGATAAAACTGAATAAAACAAACCAAAAAATTTTACCTATATAGCCTTAAATATAAAAATAGGTGGTGATCAATTATGATTAACCTACTATGTATTGGCACTTCATGTAATTTTTAATGTTCACCACCTTAAAAGAACATTATTATCCTATTTCATAAATGTGAACCCAAAGGCTCTGGGAGATTAAGTAATCTTCACCAGGTTACACAGCTAGAAAGTGACTGAGATAGGTTTTGAATCCTGCTTTCTGAACAAAAGCCCATCTTATATATCATTTCTTCCATTGACAATGGTTCTCAGTCCTGACAGAACATTAGAACCACATGGAAAGCTTTTTAAGCTATCAGTACCCACAATCCATTCAGAACAACTGAATCATAACCTCTAGGGATGGAGGCAGGCCCAGTCACCTGTAATTTGTAAAGCATTCCCGTCAGGGCTGAGAACACTCGTCTAGACCCTGCTATCTCTCCAAAATGTCTAAAATAAAGGTTAACTTAAAGGTTAATTCACCTTTCACACTATCTATTCCATTAATTAGTTGAAAGTAGCTTAAATGAAAACTCATTTGCATCATTTACTCAATAAACTGAAGTTCCTTTCTTAGCCATCCATCCAAATTTTAATGAAGGACTCTACATCACTTAACTTGTTTCTAGATGATGAGCCATAGATTTTTTTCTAGTGATTTCCTATTTTCTTTCAAATAGTATTTTTGAGAGCCCCTCTTTGTGTCCTTATTGTGAGTTATCGGAGATATAAAGAAAAATAAGCCACCGTTCTCCTCAAGGAGCTTGCGATTATTATTGCAAGAAATATCTATTGAGCATTTTATTAATGCTGGACACCATATAAACCATTGGGTATATAGTGGCAAACGATGAACACGTAAGTCCTGCCCTTTGGGACTTATAATCGAGTAGAGAGACAGTTGATCAGCATATAAATCAATAAATTAATCGATAATTACAAATTATAGTAAGTGTTATGAAAAAATACATCATTTTTAAAAATATTTTTTCTTCCCCATTTATGTTTATATTTCTTATTATTGAAATATCCGGAATCTTGTCAAGTAAGAATAGTGGATATCCTTTGAGATCCTTGGGATATTCTTATATTTTACAAATTTCAAAGAAATTATTCTACAGGTTTCTGTTAAGTATGACATTGGCTACTGGGTTCAGAGAGATCATCTTACTCACAAGAGTTAGTGAGATATTCTTCTACATCTACTAATATATTTATATATTTTAAAATCAACAGTGACATCCATCTAGTCTTTAGAACATCTACTAAGATGGTCAAATCTACTTTTCCTTAGACTTTTTCACATATTGTAAATATATTCTTTAATACTAAAACATTCTTGGATTCCTGAAATTATCCTTTATCATATTATAGTTTATTATATTATCATTTAATCCTTTCAATATAATGCTGAGTATCCACTTGTGAACATTTATTTGGTGTTATTATTCTGTTTAAAAAATTGTGAGGCTTTTCTAAAAGTAATGTTTTATATCTTAATTATTTTTCTTATTGTAAAAGTGCTACTTTAGTATGGGAAAGATTGAAATAAGGCACATAAAAAGAAAAAAAAAAACTGGAATTCTCCCATGATCCTCCAACTCCTCCTGTGGAAATCATTACTATTAATTCTTCAGCTTATTTTGAATTTAACTAGTCCCCCATTGTAACATAAAAATATTACAATATTCATTCCAATATTGTTTGTAATAGCAAAAAGCCTGCAAGTTTTTTGCTATTATAAACAATATTGCAATGAATAATGTTCTATATTTACATATCTTTGCATACATGTAGGGATATTCCTTTTAAAGGAATTCCTGGATGTAGATGTGTTATATTTTAATAAATATTGCTAAATTGTCACTTTAAAGTATTGCACCAATATAAGCTGCCACTAAGTAATAATGCGTAAAAGAGTAATTGTCTCTCCACATTTTGGCACACTGGTATTATCAATATTTTAATCATTGACAATGTGATAGTTACAAAAGCTATTGCATTGTTTTAATTTGTATTGCTTTAATCAATGGGAATAAAGATCCTTTCATATATTTATCAGTAAAAAAAAAAAAAAAGAAAAAGAAAAAATAGAGTCTCCTTTAGATTGTATGGCCAAGGATAATTTCTCACAAACCAGCTTCAAAATTATGAGACTATTTGATAGTTGTCTGGTTTATTCAGTTATTAATTACATAACAATGAACATACCCAATGTATAATCTTTAGTGTCTGACTTTGTTCTCAGCATGTTCTTGAGATGCATCTATGTTGTTGCATGTATTAATAGTGCATTCCTTATTATTTCTAAGCAGAATTTCATTGTATGAATATAGCTTTAGTGGCTTATATGCCATATACATTCATTGTACTTTCCAAAGCTTAGTCCCAGTTTTGAAATATATGGCATGTTGTAGGTATTTAATACACATTAGCTGATTGGGTGAATTTTGATGTTCATAGATAACACCTGTTGTTCTATCTTCAATGTCCCTTCCCACAACATTTATGTGATTTTTTAAAAATTTAAACTAGGCATTAATATGAGCCAACAGGAGACAGCAGTGAGTAAGTATTTCCATGCAAGGCAAATAATTTATTTGGGACAGGGGAAAGAAATCATATCAACAGCACTATACCAATGTAGTCTCAGGATCCTTTAAAATCAAATGTGTCTAATGAGCAGACATTGCCCTAATTGTAAACATGTCCATGGCTGGATATTACTCTTAGCACTAATGTTAATTAATACCAAAAACTCAGATACATGAAGAGCTGAGGATACTACTACTGTCACTTCCTAGGAAAACTTGGCTTAGGTTTATTCATCTCTGCCTCCACTGTAGCCTGGGTCACAGCACTTAGAAGCTAGTAGGTGCTCAATAAACATTCCCAAAATTGAACTGAATGTAGATAAATTACTTTAATACCAGATATGAATGTTTACAATGTGCAGTTGGGAACAGTTAAGTGAAACCCTTACCCAGCCTGCATTTTTATGCAGGGCACATTTCTGAGCTGAGATTGACGTTCTCCTTAGTGTCTCCCATGAAACCAGACCAGCATTTAAAACAGTTAGTATGCCAGGAGGAGTCTGGGAAATGTCAGTGTGGTTTGCGATTACAAGCTGGTCTAAGTGAAGAAAACAAGCTCCCCTTAATAAACCGAGCTTTGTACAGGCTGCAGAAACCTATTAAAATGAAGGGAGACTGACTTCACTAAAATACTTAGACATATTATTGCCTATTAAAATGTATTCATTAATTAGAGGATAAAGCCATCAAAAGTGATTCCATTTTGATGGGAGGCAGTTAAAAGATAGTTATCGAGCTTTCAGGTTCTGGAGTCAGATAGAATTAAGTCTGACATTTCCTACCTGAGACCTATGGTAATCCACCTAACCTCTCCGAGACTTAGTTTCTTAGTTATAAAGAGGTAATAATACTCATAACCTTATTGAATTGCACTCTGATTACATTATATATTATAGTGTCTTGCCAGACAAACTGTGGTTGAAGTCCAGCTGGACTTCAACAGAGTATGTTGGGTGGGGGACAACAATGCTTTCCTCGTGACTTTTTCTCTCCCTGCATCAAACACTTGTGTGTGTTGTCTGAAAACCTCTAAGAGAAATAAGTAGTTGAGCATTTGGCCTTGACAATTCTCCATCTCCCTTGGGTAGAAAGCTGGGAGCATAGGAAAAGCAATGCATTCTTTATGAGCTTCAAATAGAAAGTTCAAAATGTGGAAATTTTTCAGAGCAGCATGCTGGCCCCAGAGCAAATGGACTGAAGATGGTGTCAGGCTGTAAAAAAGTTAATTTACTGGAGTCTCTTCTAAGAACCATCGAGTTATTTTAAATTCTAATGCAACATTTCTATCCTTCTACAACCATACCTGAACTGAAGGAGAAGAAATAGGAGGCATTTACAATGGAAGGTCTTAAAGGTGGAATCAGAAATTTGCCCTCCTGTTTGTGTGCTGACCTGAGTTGTTATTTCTCTCTGCCTCCATTGATCATGCTTTCTAGTCTCCTAAGAATTGTACCAAACTACTACATGGCGATCAGGTCTCCCTGCACATTTGTACATCATTTGGATAATGTTATCTGACATCAAATTGAGAAGGCACAACTTATCTTCAGTGACCGTTCCCTACCCTACACACACACACACACACACACACACACACACACACACACACACACACACACATTCTTCCTTCTTGGGCTGTTTAGACCCATACTTAACAAACTTACCTTCATAGGGCCCTCAAGGTTCCATGAGCCTCTCTTATTATAGAAGATAAATGTAATAAATCAACTCACATTACAATATTAGTGTCTGATATCACTTTTCTATTTTTTAACTTACTATGAGATGTTGAAGGTATATACAATTGACACAAAGGTAAAGACGTTTCTACAATATCCTCAAAAGACTTCCTATCTCATAGAGAATAAAATCCAAATTCCTGACACTGGCCTTGCAATCTTACATGAAATGCTGTCCCTACCCCCTAACCACTCTCCTCCTGGCACACCTGTGTCCCTGTGTCAGCCCCACAGCATTGGTGCTCGACGCTCCCTTTGTCTTCAGTACTCTGCTCCTAATTATCTGTTTGACTCCTTCCCCCAGTTTCTTTGGGTCTCTCTGAAATGTCGTATCAGAAAGGCCTTTTTCCTGGCAACCCTGAGTGAAATAGTTATCTGCCTCCCACTCTGGTCTCAGCATTTCATCTCCCCTTAACTGTCTTTGTTTTTCTCCATAGAACTAACCACAACTTTATAGAGCATAATTTGTTGTGTGTTTATTTATTATCTGGTCACCCTAACTAAATATTAGTTACATGAAGTCAGGAATTCTGTTTTTTTCCTTGTTACAGCCCCAGAACCTAGAGAACAGTCTGAGACTGGGCAGGGGCTTAATCGATAACTGTAATGAATGAATGAGTTCAACCTTTTCTGTGTTCACCATCCAGCTTAACAAAAATATAAAAAACACATCTAAAATAAATAAAAGATTATACAAAATTATGTATGTGTGTGTCCTGAAGTCACCCACGTATCCTTCCTGTATTCAGTACCCTCCCTCTCTCCCAGAAGTACTCACTATCCTGAATTTGGTGCTTATGATTTCCATGTATTGCTTTACATTACAAACATATGTATTCTCAAGCAATATGTAACATTGAAATAGTTGTACACTTTATTATAGCACAGCATTGCATAGTATAGTATGATAGTATAGTTTAATGGTATAGTAGAGAACAGTGATTCTCAAACTTTGATACATATCAGAATCACCAGGGGAGCTTTAAAAAATTCCAGTGTCCGGGCCCCATTAGAATTTCATCTGAACATCTCTGGAGATGGGACCCCAACATTGTTTCTTTAAAGCTCCCAGGTTCTTCCAATGGGCAGCCAGGTTTGAGAACCAGTAGATATTACCCATGATAGAATGTAGTGGTCTTGAATCAGCCTCACAAACCTGCTGGGATCTGAATCCTGTTTCCAAATCTATAGAGTCTCTAGGTGTTCCCCAGACACAAGACTCGGCCACCCAGGATGAATAGCACACAGAAGTTCTTCTCAGATATAATGCTACCTCTTCAGTCAGTATGTCTCCCGAGATATTGATCAGAACACAATGCTACCTCTTCAATTAGCCTAATCTAAGGTGGGCATTTTTTTCTGAAATATATTTCACTTAGTTACTTTAATATAACCTTCCATTTGCCTGTGACGATGTCCAAATAAATGGTAATTCCTTGCTTCATTAATTTGTCTTAATTTGTAAAACTTCATTGAAGTGCAATATATATATATAGAGGAATGCACAAATCATAATTGTGCAGCAGAATGAATTTTTACAAACTGAGCACACCCCTGTAACAAGCACTTAGATCAAGAAACAGAACATCACCAGCCCCCCAGAAGCCTCTCTCAGTCTCTTACACTCTTTGCCCTCCACAAAGCTAACTACTCACTTGACATCTAAGTTAATAGGTTAATTTTGCCTGCTTTTCAACTTTACATAAATAAAATGCTAGAATATATAATCTTTCATCTGGCTACTTTATTTGATGTAATACAAAATACCTTACTTACATTGTTTATGTTTTTTAAAAGCATTAAAAGAAAAACCATGCGGAAAAGAAGCCAAAAGGCACTAATTATAAATAATGTATTTGATTCACTACATAGGAAAGTCAAAAAAAATGTAAAATGTTCTATAATTTATTTTTTTAAAGACAGTTACCCATTTCTCTTCAAAGAATAGAGAAACTTTTAGATTGCCTATTTTACCAACTCATTCACACACCTGTCAGTGTGCTTTTGCATAATGCATATTTCTCAGAAAACAACATGAATATAGATTATTTGTAAAGGCATTGTTGCAAAGGCAGGTGAGGCCAACTCTTTGTGCCTTACTAGTAAATTACATAGTCCAAAATCTAAAATTCATTTTTATTTCAACTGGGGGTGTATGGTTTAAGGACTAAACGTGAACTCACAGTGATAATTTTAGGCTAATATTAATCTAAAATACTTTGTGATTCATTTATTCAACAAATTTTGAGTTCTAGGAACGTAATGTTGAGCAGTGCCAAATTCGGTCTCTGCCCTAATAGATCTTATAGTCTGGTGCGAGATAGACACTAATCAAATAATGCAAATAAATTTAAATTTAATGCTAAGGGCTGAGCAGAGGTAGGTACATTCCTATTGAGAGCATATCAAGAGGAGAACTAACTTGCTTGGAATAGTCAGAGAGGGTCTCCCCAAGGAAGTGACGGTAGAGTCCATGACTAAAAGCAAGATAACAAATGAATGATGGTGAGATTAAAAACAACCTCAAAACATTACAAACTACATATACAGCAACTGAGTGCAACACCTCAGGGTTCCATTCGTCTGTAATATTCTCCACCATTTACACTATTATCCACCACACACATATACACACATACACACACACATGTACTTTGCTGTATAGCTGTTATGCAACCTTCAGATGTCAGCTGAAATTTCTTTTCTTAAGGAAGAAGTCCCTAGATATTCTCCATGCATCAAAAGTAGGTCAAGGCTCTCCATTATATGCTATTATATCATTCCTCATATCTTCTTCATTGCATTTGTAGATGTTTCCCCTTTTGGTAAAGACACCATTAAGATGATGTAAACCATGAGCTTCACACAATGCCTTGCACATAAGTATGCAATACACATTAGCTCTTAATGCATGTAAGGTGTATAATCATTTTCTCTTGTTTTAAGTCTGTCTCTACAAAACGGTCTTCATGCTATGAAAGCAGGGACCCTATGTCACATTTTACCCAGTAACCCCAGCACTGGACATGGTGCTTGTCCTCAGTAGGCCACCATAGTACAGTGTTAAGTCCACCGGAGTTGGACTGTCTGTGTTTGAATGCAGTGCTAGTGGTGAGACCTTGGCCAGGTTGTCTAAACCCTCTGCCTACACGTCTCATCAGAAAGTAGACACTGTGACAAAACTTATCTGAGGGTTATGAGTGTCAAATAAGTAATGTTTGTAAACCAAAAGGAACAGCGTTTAGTTCATGGCAAGAGATTTATGCATTAACTATCATTATTATTTAGGGATTCAATAACTACTACTATTCTACCATGTCTCCTTTAAGAACATCTTAGTGCCATGAGGCCGTCTCTATAGAATCCAGGACAATGAGAACAAAATGTTATGACGTGGTTCCCACAAAGCCCCTTCATGCATCTGGAGTCCTTCTTAGTTGAGTTAACTGAGCCTTGGGGTAGGTTCATGAACCTCAGCAGGACTCATCAGAAAAAGTCCTAGATTGAGAGCCTGTTTGAAGAAACTTGCACTATTAAACACTGAGCTCTGATTTTCCTCTTCCCACTTTACCAACTGGGTTTCTCTCTAACTATATATAGCTCCATGCTCCTCAATTTCAAAGAAATTTCAGGACTTAATATCTGAAAAGAAATTTAATAATTATTCAGCACAACATCAGTGACATATATAAAGAAACTGAGGTGCAGAGACAAAAGGTGAGTGAAACAAGGTCGCACTGTGAGACTAAAGCAGAGGAGGGATGCATGGAAAGTATCTAGGGATACTCTTCCTTAAGAGGCACATGCCTGGCCAGGCGCAATGGCTTCCGCCTGTAATCCCAGCACTTTAGGAGGCCGAGGTGGGTGGATCACAAGGTCAGGAGTTCGAGACCAGCCTGACCAATGTGGTAAAACCCCATCTCCACTAAAAATACAAAAATTAGCTGGGCGTGGTGGTGCGTGCTTGTAATCCCAGCTACTCAGGAGGCCCAGGAGGCAGAGGTTGCAGTGAGCTGAGATGGCGACACTGCACTACAGCCTGGGCGACAGAGCGACACCGTCTCCCCCGACAAAAAAAAAAAAAAAAGAAAAAACAAGAGGCACATGCCTTGACTTGACTCCAAGAACAGTATTCTTTCAAACACACCATTCTATTTCCTAATTGCTTGAATTAATATTGTATTGGTCTTCATTTTTGAAGAAAACCACAGGAATGTGGCCCCACAATGGAATTAAAAATATGGTAACAGTATCTTTGTATTTCCTCAAATGAAAGCTGTGGCATAGATTTTTAAAAATATGCAATGCAATAAATTTTATACAAACTAAATACATTCAGAGCTAATATTTAATGCATGTTATGTTCTATTAGGCATTGTGTGAAGCACACGGTATATATTATCTCACATTAGCTCTTAAAAAATAGAGAGCAAAGAATGAACATTGCTATTATAAATAGGTCTCACACAGCCCAGAGCATTTAAATGATTTGCCAAAGGCTACACAGCTTATAAGACGTAAGATTTGAACTCAATGGTCCTATTCTAGAGCAGTTCTGTCCAATAGAAATGTGTTTGGAGCCACACATGCAGTTTTTAATTTTTTAGTAGCCACATTTAAAAAGTAAAAACAAATAGATGAAATTAATTTTACCAATATTTGTTATTTAACCCAATATCTAAAATATTATCATTTTAATATATAATCAAGGTAAAGATTAATAAAGTATTTAACATTTCTTTTATCATATTAAGTGTACCTTTCACACTTGCAGCACATATCCATTTGAATGCTAAATATTCAACAGGAATACTTATTAGATTTGATAAAATTTATAGCTGGAAAAGATTTCAGTTATTCTAAGCATACCTAAAAGCTTTCCAATTGCTGAACTCAGTATTCATTTTTTAATTTTAATTTTAATTAATATTAAATGAAATTTAAAATTCAGTTTCTCAGTTTCAGCAGCCACATTTCAAGTTTTCAGTAATTGCATGTGACTTGTAGCTAGCCCATCAGAGAGCATAGCTCTTGAGCCCAGGTCCTAGCCACTTTGCCTCTTTCGATATTACACTAACATAAGCACTGTGCTGCAAAGTCAAGTCTATAGAATCTAGGAAAATAAGAACTAGATTCTATGATATGGTTCACCCAGGGCCACTTCATGCATCCTAGGTTCTCCCTAACTGAGCCTTGGGATATTCCCATGAAACTCAGGGGACTCATTTGGAAAGGGTTTAAACTGAGAACTCAGTGAAGTCAGTTAAGGATAGAACCTCAGTAGAAACAAAGAAGATGTGCTATTGAAATGAATTGTTTTACAAAGATACTAATATCTGGGACTTCTGAAGCAGATAACAGAACTTACTAGACAAAAGAGAGGCCACGATTTTCTCTAGAGTTAAGGAAAATGATGGGTCACTTTTCACCTTTGAGTCAAGAGAATGTTTAGATAGAAATTTCATGTAAAAATGCCAACATGAAGTAGGGATGGGGGCAAATGGAAACACAGATGTTACCCATAGAGCATTTAATTCATCACACGAATTGTCCAAAACTTTAGATAATTCCTTCTGTAATTCATTTATTCAAGTACTCTTTTTTTCTTATTCAATAAACATTTACTGAGAAGCTACTATGTGTTATATACTTTACACTTACTATTTCATGAGCATCGTTATAATAACCCTATGGGGAACTTGCTCTTATTAATCCCGATTTACAGATAAAACTGCAGCTGTATTTCTCTAGATCTGAAGATATGCTATACAGATGTGTACAAAGAATATGTAGTGCTTTTCTTCTTACAAAGCGCATAGGTAAGAAAAAAGCACAGCACAATGCATTGGAGGAATCCAAAGAAACTGAGCATCCCCAGAAGGAAAGTATATATGAATATGTGGCAGAAGCTGAAAATAAGAAATAAAGATCATATCTTGTGCTTACTTAAGCAAATACTTTGAATTTATCCTGAGAAAAATGTAAAGTTATTAGGGGACATTTGAACAGGAGACTGACATAATGTTATTGGTGCTTTATAGTATATTAAGAATTAATTTTTGGGAAAAAAAGAAAACCAAATTCAACTGCAGACATTAACGAATATGTGTTGGCTCATGTAATCAAAAGTCCAGCGTGCTACAAGTAAGTTTTGACATAGGTGCTCAAAAAGTGTTATCAGAATTCAGTTTTTCTTTCCATTCCTCACTACTGGATCTGTTGTCTGCAGGCTTTCTCTACATACTCCCAAGGTAAGTATCAGCAGTTTTGAGAATACATGATTCTTTGTTTATGTCCAGCGGAAAAGAGAGAGCTTGCTTCTCTGGAAGCGTATAAGGCAGGCCTTATTTTAACCTCTGCTTGATTTGGTAATACATCCATTTTCGAATTTATAGGCCAGAGAAATGAAATCTATTAACTGACTTAGGCCTGAATTATAAGATCAACACCTAGAGCTGGGGGTAAAGTCAACTTCACTATGAAGCACTCAACTGAAATTGGAGAGAAGTCTCAAAGAAAACTGAGAATCCTGGCCTAATGAGACATTTTTCTCTTAAAGAAATCTAAAGTTACTCTATACTCCCGGACAATACCAGGCTAGGCGTGTATCTTTGCCTCCAGATACCAGATGCCAAAGCTTTTAAGTTTTAATGTGACTTAAAAGGAGAATTTTCAGAAGTAGTAAGTGTTCCACATGATACTGGGGTTGATGAGTCAATGGCTAAACAAAGGGCAGAGGAAAGGCATAAGTGGTAGAAAACAAAGGGAGAATTATGCTGGATGCAATTTATCATAGATACTAGTCAGAAGAAGAAATTCATTAATCTTTCCTCAAAATTGTAGCCATGGTCAAAGGAGACATTCCACCATTTTCCATCCCCGTAATTGGTTGGCCCTTTTCTATACTGACAGTAAAAATCTCTGTGTTGGGAACTTATAGCAAAATGAACTGCCATTCTCTGCTCTTATAAGTAGCAATAAATTTCAACAGGACAAAAATAAGGTTATTTCTGTAAAACAAAACCAGCAAACATTTCCAATTAGGGAAGTTAGCTCTGAAAAAAAAAAAAAAAAACACAGGAATTAAAATTTGAATTTCAGGCTATGAATTACATCTTTTATTTTCTATTATTGATTTTTGCTAATTAGAATGAGTCCTATGAGTCCTTATTAAATAAAACATTTCCACCAAGCAATACCATAAATCTTTACTGTGCCTTTTTATCTTTCTCCACAAATAAATTGTATTTCCTTGTGGTACTGCTTTTACTTTTAGTTCCTAATATTTTTCATAGCAAACGCTTTTATAAACTGGTAGTTAATAAAACAGATTAAAAAGAAATAATCTAAGAACAGTTTCTAGTAGGATCTAAATTTCACTGGATTGAGAAATTTAAAATTAAAGTTTAAAAATACAACTTTTCACAGTTTTGACCTGATATTTTAGTCTCTGCGCTTATGCAAAGTAAAACTTCTTGTAGGTTACTCTGCCTTCTTTCTTCTCCCTGCCTTCATTCTTTCACTTGCTTATGTCTGTAAGGGTAAAATTAACAGATTACACCACATCTTATTTCACCTTGATGTTAAGAACATCTGCTTGATGAGCCTGTATAATTCATATTTAAATCCCTCTAGGCTAGAACATTAGCTCAATGAGGACAGGGGTGGTTCTGCTTATTTCCATTGTATCCATGTCTCTCCCATGTAAGAGTTTAAGAAATTTGTTGAACAAATAAATTTAGGGTGAGAAAACTGATGTTCTAAGGGTCAAGTGAGTATGCAAGTCTTAAAGCTATGAGCAGATCAAAATTATAGCATGGGTCTTCTGATTTACCCTTACCCAGTGTTCTATTATTTAATTAGAATGAGAATAATCAAGGATAACATCCCTGGACATATTGCTTCCATCTCTAGCATCATTTCCCCTCAGCTATCCCATCAG
The DNA here is from genome assembly GCF_000001405.40 of Homo sapiens. Taxonomy (NCBI): domain Eukaryota; kingdom Metazoa; phylum Chordata; class Mammalia; order Primates; family Hominidae; genus Homo; species Homo sapiens. Next base: position 62,967,136 of record NC_000003.12, on the reverse strand, counting down.
CTCCTAGTTTTCATTGGAGATCCACAGAATCTTAAAAATGTTGACACCATGTTCAACTCCAGGGGCACATGGCCTGAGTTATGTCAATATTTGCATTCTACCTTCTGGTTGAAGTGATTGGTGCAGGGTAGGTATGTGTCCTAAGCTAATACAATGTGACTGACCCTCAAAACCTCTACAAGTGATATGGTTTAGATTTGTGTCCCCACCCCACCCAAATCTCATGTTGAAGTGTAATCCCCAATGTTGGATGAGGGGCTGGATAAGAGGTGGCTGGATCATGGGGACAGATTTCCCCTTGCTGTTCTCATGATACTGAGTGAGTTCTCATGAGATCTTGTTGATTAAAAGTGTGTAGCACCTCCCCCTTTGCTCTCTTCCTTCTGCAGAACTGTTAGCCAATTAAGCCTCTTTCCTTTATAAATTATCCAGTCTCAGGTAGTTCTTTATAGCAGTGTCAGAACAGACTAATACAACAAGAACTGCTCTTATATATGCTTTCTTTCTCTGGATAGAATGGAGTGTGGGCGTGAGGCCTGGAACACCTGCAGGGGCACACAGACTAAGGCCTGTGGCAGCTGAAGCCATCTTTGTCCTTATGTGTGGAGCCAGTCCAATGAAATACAGATTCACCTAGAGGATATAACTGAGAGAAGAAGGGAATGAGAGCCAGAGCCATAAATGCCTGGATCAAGCCACCCCGAAAAGTTTAACTCACCCTAGAATGTTCTGACACATGAAACAGCACATTTTCTTTATGGTCTGAGTTGGGTTTTTTGGAGAAAAAGAGTCATTACAAACCCAATAACATATGTAGGGCTTCTATCATGTGCAAGTATGGTGATAACACACAAGATTTTCTTTAATTTTTACCACATCCATGTGAGGTAGTAATTATACTATCCCATTTTACAGGTTAAGAAACTGAGGCTCTGAAGGGTTAAATGATGCACCCAAGATTATAAAACTATTAAGTGATAGATTCTGCCTCTAGAGCACACAAAATTAGCTAATGTATTATAACCCCTAAGATCACATGTCTCCTTTCAGATCCTCTAACACAACAGGCCCTTTCCCACTCGGAGCCTTTTAACTTGAATGTCCCTATGCCTAAAAAGGTTCTTCATATCATTCGTGTCTCAGGCCAATTAGCACTTCTTAAATGGCCTCCTCTGCCCACCTTATCTAAAGTAGGCACTCACAGAAACACTTTATCCCATCACCCTGTTTATTTTCTACATGATACTCTTCTCATTCTGTATTTATTCCCCACTAGAACGTAAATTCCATGAGGGCAGAAACCTTGAACTTGGTTCACTCCTACGTTTTCAGTACCTAGCCTAGAGTTTGACATAGGCAGGCTCTCAATAAACATTTGAAATTTTTGAATGAAAGAATGCCTCAATTAATTAGAAATGATTATGATTATTTAGATCGTAATCTCACTCCCATTAAGTGTATTAATGAAATAAAGTAGGGATGGAGAGAAATGGAGAGACAAAGATACTTTAGAGCTCTTGCAAGCCATGATCACTGATGGCTTTGTTTTGCTGGCACCTAAGCAATTTGATGAGTCAGCAGGTCTGCATTCATCTGTGAAGAGCCAACTTATCATTTTAAATGTCCGCTGGATCCAGTCACATGCATGGCTACCCAGACAGCTATTTAAGGGAACAGAAGAAGTTGACTTCAGGTTCTGTGATTCATGGGCACAAGAAGACCAGGGGGAGAGGAAGTGGAATGAAAATGAGGGCTGAGTAAGAGACCAGTCCTTGGCCAGGCCTGCATAGATTCAGAGGGCCTCCATAGCATGCCCCTTCCCCAATCTCAATTCTGCTGGAGCATTCTTGGCAGAACTCTCAACCCACATCTGTGCCCTGAGCCCACCTAATTTCAGAACTGCAGAGATGGACACTTCTATGTACATTGCCAATGTTCCACCTCAAGAGCAAACCTGGGGAAGTTTACCCACTTTTCTGCCTCAGAAGACAACTCAGCCCTAAAATGTGGAGTAACTAATGTTCCAGGGGCAAACCCCAGCCAATGGAGGACAGAAGTCAGTGACTAAGTGCCCCAATCCCCCGTTCTTTGATTGACAATTTATCCAAACTTTCCTCAGAGGGGCCCCAGCAAGACTGAGCTCTAGCTGCTCACAGTGGGAATCCACTTAATGTAAACTTTATTGGCTTTTTCCCCCTCTGTCTCACTCTGTCTTATTTTTCACTTTGCTTTCTGGTAACTCCTTCCTGCACCCAAGTCCTTGTCTCAGGATTTGCTTTCAGAGGTACCTTTGAGCAAATTACCCAAAGATCCTCAGAGATGTGTGAATGCAAAGAGGAATCCTCTCTGGTGGAAAAGTTAAAGAAAAAAGGCACTTCTTTCTTTGTGCTGCCATAGGCCCTCCTCAACAAGCATAACCTGTATTTCATTCAGCCCATGTCTCCTGCTGTCTAGCCCAGGTGATTCTGTGCAGCCCAGAAGTACACGGCCTTTCTGCCCTAGCCCCTAGGCACAGAAAGTGTCTAATGTAACAAAGACATTTCTAAGGTTTACCAAACATGTCAAATCCTAAAGCAACCTATCCCCCAAAAGTCAATTTTCTCCCATAGTAGTGGGAACATTTCTGTAAACCTCTTATACACAACCACAATGATCATAGTAAAGGGTACATATGTTTAAGTTTTGTTTCCAATATCATACATTACCTCACAGGTTTCTCACAGGTAGATACTATTCCCATTGGACCGATGAGAAAACTGAGGCTCAGAGAGGATAAGTAACTTGCCTGAAGCAAAACTAGCTATTAAACTAGGATGTGATTAATCCAATATTTAAACGCAGGTCTCATAATTCCAATTCTTAAAATCTTTTCAAAGGCGTGGTGCAGTGGCTCATGTCTGTAACCCTAGCACTTGGGGAGGCTGAGGCGGGAGGATCATTTGAGCCCAGGAGGATGAGACTGCATCGAGCTATGACGGAGCCTGGACAACAGAGCAAGACACTGTCTCAAAAACAAAACAAAACAAAAAACAAAACCAAAAGCCTTTTCACCAGCCCAAGCACCCTTGTAAGCAGCCCATGAGACAGACATTTTAGAAACCTAAATAGTCTTTCTCTTACTTTATTGAGTTCTATAAATTTCCTACTGATTTGCAAAGTAATTTAGAGGAATAAATGCATGGCATATATAACTCAATATATCTTTTTTCACTGAATGGATGAATAACTGAAAGGATGAGTAAGGAGAAAATGGAATTGCTTCTTTATTGATTCCCTAATACTGCTAATTAAAACCAAAATGACTAACTTATGACAACCACCACCATTTTACCAAAGAGACTCAGTTAGAGTAAAGAAATAGTGGGTTTCAAGTCAGACCAAGGACTGGAATCTTGCCACTTATTAACCTTGAGACCTTGAACATCTCATCTCACAGGGTTGTTTAGAGGATCAAATGAAAAAATATTTTTTTTAGTACCAGGGACAATTTCAGAAACATAGACTTTCAATAAAGAGTTGTTTTATTAATTAACTAATTAACATATACAGATGGTTCTCAACTTATGATGGGGCTACATCCCAATAAATCCATTGTAAATTGGAAACACCATAAGTCAAAAACGCATTTAATACACCTAACCTACCAAACATGACAGGTTAGCCTAGCCCACCTTAGACACACTCAGAACACTTACAATTAGCCTACAGTTGGGCAAAATCATCTAGCACAAAACCTATTTTATAATAAGATGCTGAATAGCTCATGTAATTTATTAAATACTGTATTGAAAGTAAAAAAACAGAATGGTTGTATGGATACTCGAAGTACAGTTTCTACTGAATTCATATAGCTTTTACATCATCATAAACGCAAAATTGTTCAGTCGCACTATTGTAAGTTGGAGACTGTGTTAAGTGCCTGCTCTATGTCAGTCACTGTACAAGCAACAAGGCAGGGAGGGACCCAATAAAAGATAGTGCCTGGTCTCAAAAAGCCCCAGCCTGTGGGGGAGATAGATTTATAAATCACAGGGTAGATTTGAAATGCTCTTGAGTTCTGACTGTCCCCTGGCCATGGGTTACAGTGACCCTCATTGCCTTGCCACTCTCCTATGAGTTCCAGGAAAATCACTTAGCCACGGCTTTGTTTAGGGTAATATGTGAATCATGGTCTGTGCTGAGTTTCTCTGTCCCTCTCTCATTTTGGATCAATCTGCATTTATCAAAGCCAAGTGATTCAGTAAAGTGCTGGAACACAGAATCAAATAGGCAGAAAATTTCCCACACTTCTAAGCTGTGGACTCTCACAAGAAGAATGTAGGCTAAGTGGACAGAGCCAGATATCCAGAGTTTTAACTAGTTCCTGTCCTGTGGCTAAGGCAGCAAATATGACTCTCAGTTCATGAACTTAGATGTACAAAAAATAAATAAAATAAAAACCTATATTTCTTTATCTTCTTTAAAGCCAAATTGGTTCCATCTCAGAGTCCACACCTTCTGGCTGACTGGTAGTAGCATTGGTTATTTGGGATTCTTTGAGATAACCAACACGCTGGAGGCTGTGAGCATTACATCCTCAGAGAAGCCTCTCTGGTCATTGACTTTAATCTTGCCCTGGTTACCACCAAGAGCCCACAGTGCCTCCAGTCTACATAGACCCCCATTTCTGGTGGCAATGCTGCTTCAGGGCCATGCTTAGGACCTGCGACCCTTGAAATGCTGGAACCTCTACTGTCTCCAGGGAATCCACACATTCCTTCCCCTTGGAGGTCTGGACATCTCTCCAGGGCTCTTCCGTGGAGGACAGAGGGAATCTCTGCTGCTTAGGGCACACACACACACCCCTGTCTCTCTTCAAGCTCCAAAAGTCCCTTTATCCTTCAAAATATTTTTTTTTCCTGCTTTCTACTCTTGTTCTTTTGTCCCCCCATCCCCTTCTCTCCTGTCTCTGCCGGAAGTCCAACATCGTCTACTAAATCCAAAACCCAAAAGGGAACTGTCCCCTCTGCTTTCTAGTTTGCTGCTAATCTGCCCTGAGGCAAGAGAGCAATCCTTGCTGCCTGCTTGAGTGAGGGAAAGGAAAAGAAAAATACTTGGGGAAAAAAACATGCAAATTAACATGTCTGTAAGTGATTCCACCACAGCTCTGGGCTACCTGAGTTTCAAATGCAGTAAGCTGGTAGTCAAGTAAGGCTTTGACTAGCTAAACGTCTGATATCATATATCAAACGATGACCTCCATTTCATAAAGGCATGTGTTTATAGATAATTAGAAGTTAGACATAAAGGGATATTGCTGCTGCAATGTTCATATTTGAGCAGAATTTATTATGATGAGATGCGAGAAAGACAAGGCTGCAAGAAGTATCACAGGCCATCCAAGCCTTTCTCAGGAGTGCCTGCATTGGCATCAAACAGCACAGGAGAAACAAAGAAACTGAGTAGTTGCCATTCATGGGGCATTTACTACATGCCGATAACTTTATTATATGATATTTAAACTTCACAAAAAGGTGGAATGTGAGCTATTCAAGGGAAGAGATTTTGTTTCTTTCACTGCTGCATTCCACAGCCATGAACAGTTCCTGGCACATTGCAGGTGCTCTACACATATTTGTCTGAAAAATGAATATGTTGGGGGAAAAGGATATCATAGTGGCAAAGGAATATGGGAATTGTATTTTTTAGCTTCCTTAACCTGAGAGCTCTTACTATGCTAATGTATGCTATCCGTTTCCAAAAAATGGAATACAGTCGTCCCTGATGCATGGGTTTCAGGACCCTCTCCCCCACCTAAGGATACCAAAATCCACAGAAGCTCAGGTCCTGTATATAAAATGGGGCAGTATTTGCATATAACATATGCACATCCTCCCATATACTTTAAATCATCTCTAGATTACTTATAATACCTAACACAATGTAAATGCTATGTGAGTAGTTATCAGTATAACTATACAGCATTTATTTATATTATTTAGTATTTTTTAATTTTTGAATATTTTCAATATGTGGTTGGTTGACCCTGCCAATGCAGAACCCAGGGATATGGAGGGCCAACAGTATAGGGCATAGCAATTTCTGAACATAATTACTTATCGACCCCTATTTTCAGCGAGCATCTTGAATGAAGGCCTAGAACTAAAACTCTGGCTTCCAATTTCCGACTCTGTAACACAAACCTTATCTCTATAGAAGAAAATAACGTTCCATACTCAGGTGTTTAACATAGCTATCTTCTAAGAATTTAATCATACTCACAAATGATATTTGATACTGAGTTGCAGTAAAAGGTAATTTTAACTTTTAAATAAATGTATGGTTTAAAGATGACTTTATAACAATTATGTGTGCTTTTTTAAAAGAAGGAATGAAAAAATGATCAGAATAAAATGTCTTCAGAATTTTTTTAAGTAATGGGCCAATTGAATTATCTTCATTTTCCAAATTAAAAACTAAGGTTTGAGAAGGCAATTACACAGTAGAAGAGATATAACTTTGACCTAGATCAGCTTAGTGCCAAAGATCATACTTTTTCTAACCTAAATCCTGGGAACTGACCAAAAAAAAAAAGAGAAACAGAGAAGACAAATTATGAAAGTCAGGAATGAAAGAGGAGTATCTCTATGCATCTTACAGAAATAAGAAGGATTGCAAAGAAGAGCTATAAAAAATTTTCCTCCAATAAATTGCATGACAGATGAAATGGACAAATTCCTGGAAAGTCACAAACTGGTGGAACTGACTCACTCAAAAAGAAATGAAAATTTTAAATAGACCTATAACAAAGAGATTGAGTTACTAATTTTAAACCTTCACATGAAAAGAAGCCCAAGCCAAGATGGCTTCACTGGTGAATGTTCCTAAATAGTTAAAGAAGAATTAATAACAATTCTCCATAAAATTCCAAAGAATAAAAAGAATGGAGCAGTGTGCAACTCATTCTATGAGGCAAATTCTACCCTGATACTAAATCCAGACAGAGACTACACAAGAAAAGAAAATTCTTTTGTAAAAATAATTTCAATCTTTACTTTAGATTCCAGGGGTCCAGGTTCAGGTTTGTTACCTGGGGTATGTTATGTGATGCTGAAGTTTGGGGTATGATTGATGCAGTCACGCAGGTACTGAGAATAATACCCAAAGGAAAAGAAAATTATAGGCCAACATTCTTATGCCTATAGAGACAAAAATCCTTAACAAACAATTAGCTAACTGAATCTAGCCAAAATTGCTTTAAATAATGATTGACCATGATCAAGTGGGATTTATCCCAAATGTGCAAAAACTGAGTTAGCATTCAAAAATCAATGTAATATAGCAATACAGTAAAAAAACAAAAAACATAATTATCTCCATAAATACACAAAAAGCATGACTCCAATCCCCTTTCATAATAAAAATACGCAACAATCTAGGAATGAAAGGACACTTCCTCAACCCGACAAAGTATATCTATGAAAAACTCACGGCTAACATTGTACTTAATGATGGAAGTTGAATGTGTCCCTCAAGATCAGGAACAAGACAAAGAAATCCATTTTCACTACTTCTATTCAACATTGTATTGGAGGTTCTAGCCAGGCTAATTAGGCAAAAGGATGAAATAAAAAGACGTCCAGGTTGTAAAGGAGTAAGTAAAACTATTTCTATTTCCAGATTAGCATGATTTTGTGTATAGACAATCCTAAGTATTCCACTAAAAAATGATTAGACAAAAAAGAACAACTCATCAAGGTTGCAGTGTACAAGATGAATATACAAAAACCAATTGTATTCCTATACACTAGTGTTATGGACTAAGTGTTTGTGTCCTCTCAAAATTCATATGTGAACACACTAACCTCCAATGTGTTTGGAGGTGAGAATTTTGAGAGGTAGTTATTTTTAGATGAGGCCATGAGGGTGGGATCCTCATGATAGGATTAGTGCCCTTATAAAAAGAGACCAGAGAGCATGTGCTCACTTTCTTTCTCTGTCATGTGAGGCTACAGCAAGAAGGCAGCTGTCTGCAAGCCAGAAAATGGGTCCTCACTAGAACCCTACCATGTTGGCACCCTGATCTGACTTCCCAGCCTCCAGAACTGTGAGAAATAAGTGACTTATTTAAACCACCTGGTCTTAGTTTGTTATACTAAACTAAGAGAACTAGCAATGAACAATCAAAAATGAAATTAAAAAATCAACTTATTTTAAAATAGCATCCAAATGAATAAAATACTTAGCAATAAATTTAACAAGCAGGGAAAAACATATGCTCTGAAACTATAAAACATTGTTGAAAGAAATTAAAGAAAACAACATAAATTCATGGTCATGAATCAGGAAACAACATGGTTAAGATGGCAATATTCTCCAAAATGATCTATAATTCCACATAATCCCTATAAAAATCTCAGCTGTCTTTTTCTGTGGAATTAACAAGCTGACTTTAAAATTCATAAAAATTTAAGGAACCCTAATAGAAAAGACATTCTTAAAAAAGAAGAACAAAGTTGAAGACTCGTGATTCTCAATTTCAAAATTTAGTACAAGGCCACAGTAATAAAATAGTATAGTACTGACATAGGAGAAACATATAGATGGAATAGAATTGAAAGTCTAGAAATAAATCCTTACATTTACAGTTCATTAATTTTTGACAAAAATGCTGATACAGTTCATTGACAGAGAAGAGTTATCTTTTCAACAAATGGTGCTGGGAGAACTGGACATACACACACAAAAGAGTGAAGTTGGATCAGCTTCTCATGCCATACACAATACTTAACTCAGAGTGGTCATAGACTTAAATATAGGAGCTAAAACCGTAAGACTTTTAGAGAAGATATAAGAGTAAATCTTTGTGACCTTGGGCTAGATAAAGCCTTATTGAATATAAAACTCTCCGTGGTTCCATGTGGTGGAGCAAGACTCTGTAAACATTTCCCTTCTTCAAGTTTGGTCCATGTTGATGTATCTCAGCCTCTGTTCCACTTGGTACTGCTCAAGTTTTAGCTCCAGCTCTTCTTGGGACCCTTGTACTTCTTCTCCTAGGCTAAGTGTCCTACCCCCAACACACACACACACACACACACACACACACACATATACATGATAGCCATTCCTGTATGCTGTATACTCGATTTCATAGAATTCAAGCTACTCATTCACACAGCCTTCAAGCTAGTTCAATCTCCAGGAAAATGAAAACGGTGGTGAGATTTTATGATCTGTATTACAGAAGATGTGGTTTCTAAACACAGACCACCCACTCAGCCAACTCATCATGGTCCAAGAGGATGTAACTAAGACTGTAGAAATCTGAATATCAGGATTTGGATGGCAAGAGTAGCAGATTTTAGGTTTCTATCTGCCCCATGTTCATCACAGGTGATCTACTGTGATGCATAATAAATCAAGCCTCCAACAGATCCATAATAGAATCCTACAGCACCAAATATTGGTGAGAGTAGAGCAGATTCCAAAAGAAATGAAAAGTGAAAAGTCATGAAACTAAATGACTGAAGTATGAGAATCACTTCCAAATTTAAATCATGCATGCCTGGTGGTCCAGGGCAGAGAATCTTAGAAGCCTATGGTAGAGGCAAAGTATTGCGAGAGTGGGAAAGCTGAGAAGATACAGTATCGTGAACACTAATGCACTGCCAGGATCCCTCTTCAGTGAAGGACTCATTGCCTGAGCTGCTAGGGCACACCAGCCTCAGCTGCTAGGAGTGCTGTCAGAAGGTGGCCTTCAGCTGTTAGCTCCTTCAAGATAGCCTCAGCTATAGGAATATCACCTGACCTTCCTGGGGAAACCTATATCCAATGGCCAGGTGTACTAAATACCTGGCCGTCTTAAACCAGAGGCACAGTGGCTCAAGCCTGTAGCCCCAGCACTGCGGAAGGCTGAGGCGGGTGAATGGCTTGACTGCAGAAGTTTGAGACTAGCCTGGGCAACATGGTGAAACACTGTCTCTGCAAAAATACAAAAAACTAGCTGGGCATGGTGGTGCATGTCTATGGTCCCAGCTACTCAGGAAGCTGAGATGGGAGGGTCACCACCCGAGCCCAGCAGGTCGAAGCTGCAGTGAGCCATGATCACACCACTGCACTCTAGCCTGGGTGACAGAATGAAGCCATGTCTAAAAAAATAAAAATAAGATAAAATAAAATAAAAATGCCTGGCCATCTTAGCCCCTTAGCCCCACTTGGGGCAGCTAAGTACTGCCTTTCTAGTTTCTGAGCTCCTTGTAGAGTTGGCCAGAACTGTTGTCAGGCCTATATTGCAGCTCAGTTTCTCTATCTGTTCAATCCTGCTACATTTTCCTTCCTTCCACAAGTGTTGATCCCAAGGGCACTCCTTAGATAATCCTCGAATGATAAACTCTATCTCAGCAAATACTTCCCAGAGAACTCAACACTTGACACACAGATATTCAAAATTCCTGTCTTTGATACACAAGCCCTGATCACTTTTGCACCACGTCCTCCTATATTATCTGTTGGCTGTCATCTCTAATGTCAAATATAACATCAAGTATGACATTTTACTTAGGAAAAAATACATAGTTGACTTGGGGAACTGTGAGGAATTAGAACTTCAATTTATTTGTTTCATTAGGGTGTCAGCTTCTTCCTCTTCTACCTAGAGCATCAGAGTAATTTATTCTTTCTCTTCAAAATCTCTATATAATGAAACATTCTGTCATTCATTTCTCCACTGATGATTAAATTTACTTAAACTGCAACCCTGTCACACATGCAGCCCTCCCTCCCTGTAATTGATTTGCATGTTTAGATTCATCCAGAATATGACAACACTTAATAAGCACCTTGTTGTACAAATGTCAGGCACTGGAAGTAGAAACAGCTAAACAATCCAGACATTCTCAGGGCCCTGTGTATGTATACCTCTTGCCTTACCAATTCAGTGTCCTCTGGCTTCCTCTAATGGATAATAGCTGCTTCCCTTCAGTCAGAAACGCCAGCAAACCAACACACACCCTACCATGAATCTTTAACCATCCAATGAGGGATAGGAGTTGGTATATAAAAACTCCCACACCCTCAGCGGGATAATTCTGAGGTTTGTTGTCCACACCATTCCCCAGTCCCACGGCAGGAACAACCAAGAATACTCTAGGGGTAACTAGATGTTACCTATCTAAGGATAATACACGTGAATTTCACTACCTTACCTTCCCTATCTTGTTTTTTCCACTGCCCTGCTCGTTACTGCACCTCTCAAACTATGTACACTTGAACCTTTGCTTCAAGATCTGCTTCTTAGTGATCAAAATTAACGCATATGTCATTCCTGACTGTGAAGACTGTATAAACTATTAAAGATCAATATAGACACAAAATGACAAAAATACATGCAAGCTTCTGTGATCCAAACAGAATGTTCTATTTCTGTCTTTGAGTAAATAATGAATTAAAATTTTACCTCAGTTGTTTTTTCCACTGCCCTGCTAGTTACTTCACCTCTCAAACAAACTAGGTACACCTGAACCTTTGCTTCCAGATCTGCTTCTTAGGGATCAAAATTAAGGCATATGTCATTCCGGACTATGACGACTGTATAAACTATTAAAGATCGATATAGACACAAAATGACATAAAAATACATGCAAGTTTCAGTGATCCAAACAGAATGTTCTATTTCTTTGTCTTTCTTTGAAATTGAGTAAATAATCAATTAAAATTTTACCTCAGTTGTTTAGCATAATGGCTGTCTGTGGTTACCATAGAGAGTTGTTCGTTAATCCTATCAAAGGCTGTCCTCTTGCTGAAAGAATAGCCACCCCTCCCATCCTCTACACCCTTCCCCACCAGGGGCCAGATCACCATTAGCACCTCCCTGACTGCAGATTAAACAACTAGAGAAACACAGAAAGACTCATTTTGGGAACCAAGAACACTGTTCCGCTTTGGTTTCAGAATCAAAGAGACGTTTCAATGTCAGAAGCTTTGATTAAATTATTAAAGCTTTAACGTTGAAGGAAAAGTCACTTTCAGCTCTAGTTCTTTCTGAATAGCCAGGGAGGAAATATACACATACACAACACGTAGAAAGCTAACAAGTGTCAAAAAAAAAATTGTTCGTTGTCCAGAAATCTTTAGAGTAAGAAAATAACAAGAATAATGTACTAACATCTAACTTTTCTTGAATATTTTCTGGGTGCCTAGCACTCTGCTCACAAGAATCTGCTAAATTTAGCCCAAAGCTGCCTCCTTACATTTAAGAACAGCCCAAAGGTTTCTCTGTATATAGTGAACTGCAACCTAACTGGATGTGTAAACAGACAGCAACCCAGTCTTGGAACAAGTAGTCCAGTCTCAGCCAATCACAGTGGCCGTACTTCAAGCACTCATAGGCAGCCAACTATTCAAAGCAAGTTCAAATAAGGCAAACCACTGAGCTGTAACCCATATGGCTGTTTCTGTACCTCACTTCTGTTTTCTGTCCACAAATCTTCTCTAACCATGCTCAGCTGCTCCAGAGTTGCTTTGAACCTATTCTGATTCAAGAATCATTCTTTGCTGAATTAAACTCTGTTAAATTTGTCTTAAGTTTTTCTTTTAACATACACTAAGAGTTAGGTATTTTTAAGCCCCATTTTATGGATGAGTAAACGGAGACTTACAAAATGCAGTTGCCCAGATACTGAGGGAGCAAACAAATATAAGCTCCATGAGAGTAGAAATTATATCTTGTTCACAACTGTATTCTCTTAGTACAATGTGCAGTGCAAAGTAAGTGTTAGATAAATGTTTTTCTTTCTTATTTTTTGTGACAGTCTCACTCTGTCACCCAGTCTGGAGTGCAGTGGCACAATCTTGGCTCACTGCAACCTCTGCCTCCTGGGTTAAAGCAATTCTCCTGCCTCAGCCTCCAGGAGTAGCTGAGATTACAGGTATGTGCCACCATACCAGGCTAATTTTTTGTTTGTATTTTTAGTAGAGATGAGGTTTCACCATGTTGGTCAGGCTGGTCTCTAACTCCTGACTTCAAATGAGCTACCCACCTTGGCCTCCTCAAGTGCTGGGATTACAGGAGTGAGCCACTGCATCCAGCCAGATAAATGTTTTTTCAATGTTGGATGAATGTTGAAAGTCTATCTTGAGTAGCAAGTATTCAAAATCAAAGGAGTCATCTAGGGCAGCTGCAGCAAACATTTTCTGTAAAGGACTAGATAGTACATATTTTAGGCTTTGCATGCCATAAGGTATTTGTTACAACTATTTGGCTCTGCCATTGCAGTGGAAAGCAGTCACAGGCAATACATAAGCAAATAGACATGGCTATTGTTCCAATAAAACTTTTCATGTATAAAATTGGCAGAAAGCAGGTTTTGGCTCACTGACCGTAGTTCGTTGACCTCTGATGTAGGAGCTTGTTACCCAAAGTGGTGTCTGGGAGCCAACAGCATCAGCATCACCTGGGGTGGAAATGCAGCCTCTCAGCCCCATCCCTGACCAGTTAAATTTAAACCTACCTTTTTATAAGAGACCCAGGGATTTATATTCCCAAAAATATCAGGCAAGCACTGTTCAAGGAGACTTGGATAGTGCTGTCTGTCAATTAGAATCGTTATATGACTTTTTAAATAAACTGTTACGTATTTCCATTCAAAATATCAGGTATGTGATGGCAAAATTTGCTGGGTTTCATGTGATTATTCAGGTCTGCACTGGTTATTGTTCCTCACTGGTGAAGAAGAGAATAGGAAGAGCTGAGGAGGATTCATTCAAAGTCTACAAAATTAGAACAGACCACCAAATCTGAACAGTCCAATTTAGTACAACTTACAGGTAATCACACTATACCAGAGAACCAAGAAGTCCCCAGGCCTTCCTTTCCTTTCCCAACTCAGTAGAAATAGCTTCTATTGAACCAAACCCAAACCAATCAACCCTGAATCTGATTGGTCAGATGTGTGCACAAATAATTTAGATGTCTTTGCCATCACAGGTCATTAAATACCCACAAAGTGCAGGGCTGTTTCCATAAACATCCGGCTCAAAGCCTTGAAAAAAAATAAATGGCTGTCTCCAAAGACTGAAATATCTGATTATTAAACTCACTGATCATTTTGTGTTTCATCAAAGATAAATCTATAGCAGAAAGAACCAAGAGGAGACAGTGCGGGGTTGAGAGTACTGCCCTAGAGTGAGAAAGCGTTGCCAACTCGCTCTTCCTCTTATTAACCATGGGAGCCAGAGCAAGTCAGTTGAGTCCACAAAACCACAGTATTCTCATCCAGAATATGGGGATTAAAAACATGGGATCCTCCCAGCAATTTGGGAGACCACGGCGGGCAGATTACGCGAGGTCAGGAGTCTGAGACCAGCCTGGCCAACATGGTGAAACCCTGTTTCTACTAAAAATACAAAACTTAGCCAGGTGTGGTGGTAGGCACCTGTAATCCCAGCTACTCAGGAGGCTGAGGCAGGGGAATCACTTGAACCTGGGAGGTAGAAGTTGCAGTGAGCTGAGATGGTGCCATTGCATTCCAGCCTGGGTGACAAGAGCAAAACTCCCTGTCTGAAACAAACAACAACAACAAAAAATTGGCTCCTAATTTTTCAGCACCTATCAAAATTTTACTGGCTGATTGTATTAGTCCGTTTTCACACTGCTGATAAAGACTTTCCTAAGACTGGGAAGATAAAGAGCTTTTAATAGACTCACAGTTCCATGTGGTTGGGGAGGCCTCACAATCATGGCGGAAGGCAAGGAGGAGCAAGTCACATCTTATGTGGATGGTGGCAGGCAAAGAGAGAGAACTTGTGCAGTGGAACTCCTCTTTACAAAACCATCAGATCTCGTGAGGCTTATTCACTGTCATGAGAACAGCATGGGAAAGACCTATCCCCATGATTTGATTACCTCCCACTGGGTCTCCTCCACAACACATAGAAATTGTGGGAACTACAATTCAAGATGAGATTTGGGTGGGGACACAGCCAAACCATATCATTCCACCCCTGGCCCCTCACAAATCTCATGTCCTCATATTTCAAAACCAAGCATGCCTTCCCAACACTCCCCACACTCTTACCTAATATCAGCATTAACTCAAAAGTCCACAGTCCAAAGTTTCATCTGAGACAAGGCAAGTCTCTTATGCCTATAAGCCTGTAAAATCAAAAGCAAGTTAGTTACTTCCTAGATACAATGGGGGTACAGACATTGGGTAAATACAGCCATTCCAAATGGGAAACATTGGCCAAAACAAAGGGGTTACAGGCTCCATGCAAGTCCAAAATCCAGCAGGGCAGTCAAATCTTAAAGCTCCAAAATGATCTCCTTTGACTCCCTGTTTCACATCCAGGTCACACTGATGCAAGAGGTGGATTCCCATGGCTTTGGGCAGCTCTGCCCCTGTGGCTTTGCAGAGTTCAGCCTCCCTCCTGGCTGCTTTTACAAATTGGTGTTCATTGTCTGCAGCTTTTCCAGGCAGACAGGGCAAGCTGTTGGTGGATCTACCATTCTGGGGTCTGGAGGATGGATGGTGGCCCTCTTCTCACAACTCCACTAGGCAGCACCCCGGTGGGGACCTGTGTTGGGGCTCCTACCCCACATTTCCCTTCCATACTGCCCTAATAGAGGTTTTCCATGAGGATACTGCCCCTGTAGCAAACTTCTTCCAGAACATCCAGGCATTTCCATACGTCCTCTGAAATCAAGGCAGAGGTTCCCAAACCTCAATTCTTCACTTCTGTGCACTGGCAGGCTCAACACCACAGTGAAGCTGCCATGGCTTGGGGCTTGCACCCCCTGAAGCCACAGCCCAAGCTGTACCTTGGCCCCTTTTAGCCATGGCTGGAGCAGCTGGGACACAGGGCACCAAGTCCCTAGGCTGCACACAGCAGGGGGGCCCTGAGCCCAGCCTACAAACCCATGTTTCCTCCTAGGCCTCTGGACCTGTGATGGGAGGGGGCTGCCTTAAAGGTCTCTGGCATGCCCTAGAGACATTTTCCCCATTGTCTTGTTGATTAACATTTGGCCCCTCATTACTTATGCAAATTTCTGCAGCCAGCTTGAATTTCTCCTCGGAAAATGGGATTTTTCTTTTCTACCACATCGTCAGGCTGCAAGTTTTCCAAACTTTTATACTGTTTCCCTTTTAAAACTAAATGCTCTAAACAGCACCCAAGTCACCTCTTGAATGCTTTGCTGCTCAGGAATTTCTGCTGCCAAATACCCTAAATTATCTCCCTCAAGTTCAAAGTTCCACAAATCTCTAGGGCAGGGGCAAAATGCTACCAGTCTCTAAAACATAGCAAGCATCACCTTTACTCTAGTTCCCAACAAGTTCCTTATCTCCATCTGAGACCACCTCAGCCTGGATTTCATTGTCCATATCATTACCAGCATTTTAGTCAAAGCCAAACAAGTCTCTAGGAAGTTCCAAAATTTCCCACATTTTCCTGTCTTCTTCTGAGGCCTCCAAACTGTTCCAACCCCTGCCTGCTACCCAGTTCCAAAGTTGCTTCCACATTTTCGGGTATCTACAACAGTGCCCCACTCTACCAATACCAATTTATTGTATTAGTCCGTTTTATCACTGCTAATAAAGACATACCCAAGACTGAGAAGATAAAGAGGTTTTAATGGACTCACATTTCCGTGTGGCTGAGGAGGCCTCACAATTATGGCAGAAGGCAAGGAGCAGCAAGTCACATATCACGTGGATGGCAGCAGGCAAAGACAGAAGTGGTGTAGGGAACTTCTCTTTATATAACCTTCAGATCTTGTGAGACTTATTCACTATCGTGAGAACAGCATGAGAAAGACCCACCCCCATGATTCAATTACCTCCCACTGGGTCCCTCCTACAGCACATGGGAATTGTGGGAGCTGCAATTCAAGATGAGATTCAGGTGGGGACACAGCCAAACCATATCACTTATGGTCTTTAACCCTTAGGTATGCTTTTAAGAATATGTTTTCTATAATTTTCACATATGTATGCAAAGGGTTATACTGACATATGTGCATTCAATGCTTCTTTAATAGTAAATCTGGAAGCAAACTAAATGTTCAACAATATGAGAATAGCTAAATAAATTATGAGACAACTGACTATAATAGCCAGTAGTTTAAAAACAGGTGGAACTATTTGCCCTGAAGTGAAAATATATCTGTGCTGTTCCATTAAACAAAAACAAAAGATGGCATGGTGGCACACACCTGTAGTCCCAGCTACTAGAGGATCACTGGAGCCCAGGAGTTCTAGGCTGCAGTGAGCTGTGATTATGTCACTGCACTCCAGCCTGGATGACAGACAGAGACCCTATCTCAAAAAAAAAAAAAAGAAAAGAAACCAACAACAATAAAAAAAAAAGCTGCCATATTTCATCGATTTCAAGATGTTTATTTTGCACATTTTCACATTATTATGAGTTCTATAATTGCTATTGTCTTACAATTTTTATTGGCCAGGCAATAGTCTTGATGCTGTACATAAAATAATGTCACATTGTACAATCAGTGGTATCTTATATTTAATATATTTGTGCAAAAAGAACCACATATATATGTGAATAGATGTGTTCATATGTTTCTTTACACTGTGTATGTCTATGCTTAGAAACATACACACATGTATAAGTGTACATATGAGAGCACTGAGAAATATCTAGGAGTGTGCATACCAAATAAGCCATAATCAGTTCCAAAGAGAAAAATTAAGTAAATAGGGTTGGAGACTGAAATAGGAAGAGTAGTTTTGGTTTTTAGGTTTTATATTTTTTACACTTTTTGTATAGTAGTGACAGAAAATATGTTTTAATTTCAAACTAAAAAAAAAAAGAATTATGTCTTTATCCCTAATCTCACAAGATTAAGGTGAAAAAAATGCTATCATCCACATGTAAGTGCTATAGAGCTGGGTGACAAATCTACTTACTTTTTTTAGCTACAGAGACTATGCATAAGACACAGAAACCGGAGACATTTAGGGCTGCCACCTTTTTTTATTTTCCCTCAAGTGCAACATTTATTCTGTGAGAAAATGAGACAGGATGCCCCATGGCAACAGGAGAAGCCAATCTTTGGCTCATTGGGGTATTACTTCCGATCAGGAAAGTATCACCAGGCACTCATTCATGAGGCAAATCAGCAAGGAAATGTCAAAACATCGGCAAATTGTGAGTAAATAGACTCAGACGCTTTGGTGCAAACTTGCTGAGAACAGAGACTGTGGTTTCCATATGCCCCAACAAACTCCACTGGGTAGAAGGCCTCATGAATATTAACTAATCATACATTTCAGGGTGAATAACAGTGGCACAACCTAGCATGCCAGCCTCACTCCTGGAGAAGAGCCTGGCCCTGGGGCAAGGGATGCCGGGGACAGTGCAGGGGGTGCGCAGAGCACTGAAAGGAGGACAGTCCGGTTTGGTACCACAAAGGCTTTCTCTGGGGGCTAGAAATATGATGTTCTGAGCAAAGCAGTTTTCTCAAAAAGGGACATTCAATCATGTTTGATGAAAGACATGACTGTGGCTTGTAGACCATACAGCACCCTGTTCATTCTTACTTTGTAGGTGTATAAGTAAATTTCATGGCAATGTCTACATTTTCAGCTCCTTGAACTCAGTTCCTTCTATTAACCATGCGCTTTAGGGTAAACAGAGTTTAGCCCACTCCAACATGCACAAGGCACATTTTTTTTCAGACCAAATTAACACAGATTCTGAGCCTCCTTGAAAGTACTGGAATATTTCATCTTTATTCCTGAGGATCTGCAGGGTGAGTTATCCTCAAATGGTCTATAGACGGAGAAGTCCACATGGAAAATTAGAGCAAGTGGACATGAGAAAAAAATGGATGGGGTTATCAACGAAACAAAATTGATGTGTGTTACTAATTATTGAAGCTGAGTGATGGGTGCATAGAGGTTCATGGTGCTTTTTCCTCTACTGGTGGGTAAGTTTGAATTTTCCATAATAAAAAGTTAACTAAAGTAGAAATTAGTAGGAGACTCTTAAGAAGGATTGCTGAATTTCTGTATCAGGAGGGAGAGGCTAGTATGTCAGCAAAATTCCTGTTATTATATTCTCAGTTCCTCTATTCTAAAAAATAGAGATAATACCAACTCACTGGATTGTGACAATTAAAGGAAGCACTGTGCCCAAAAGCGTGCTACTGTTACTAAGATAAAAATACATTTAAAATGCCAACATATTAACAATAATTGAATGGTGGAATTATTTGTACTTGTTTTCTTTTAACTCTATTTTTCTCATTTTCTATATGGAGCATGTATATCATTTACGATTTGGAACAAATAAAATAATCTTTATTTGAAATCTTTATTGACATTAATGTTGGCTCATTTTTATCCATACATGGAGGAGTCTGAAAAACTTGGACCTCAAAAAGATTTAAAAACATTCCTAATGATTTAACTTTAATTCCTCCCAGCCTGAAGTTAAAGGATTTTGGAATATTATCTTCGGTTTGATGTTCCCTTGAAGAGCAATTAAAAAGAAAACAAGCCAAATTACAATATACTGATCTCTTCTACCTGTTAGTTCCAACAGTGTTTAAATTAGCTGTTGGCCATGCCTGTGTAAAGTTAGTTTGTGATTTTATTTGACAAGTGATGGGTTACAGTAATTCACCCTGCAGTTCCCTCAGGGATAAACATGAAGTATTCTACTACTGTCAAAGAATCTAGATTGCTATTGTTTTTTGTTTTTTTGTTTTTTGCCTAAAAAGCATGTATCATGTGCCCGTTGCCTCTGCTTTTATTAGGAACATAAAATAAATAGAAGCCATTGACTCCCAGGAGTTTTTGATGTTGATGCTGCTATGAAATGGTCACATCTGCTGTATCAGTGATTAATTGTCACAATGATGCTATGTAACTAGGCAAAATTGACATAGCAACATAGATTCCTTGTTAACTATTCCTTGAAATAATAAAATATTTTTTGTTTTTCCCCCAGGCTACTGCAAGGTCAGCTACTGCAACCCTCAAGCTATCTGTAGGTAGAGGAAATCCTCATGGAAAACTCAGTAGCCTACAATAATAAGCATTGGTTTAGTTTATGAGTCTGCAGGGTGCAGTTGATTAGGCTGGAGTTGGCTGATCAGGATTGGACTAACTCTTGCTCACAAGCCCAGGGAGTCACTGGCTGTGGTTCCTTCGGTAGTGGTGTTGGCTGAAATAAAGGGGCCAGGGGCTTGGCTCTGCTCTGCTTTTCATGTTTCTCACCCTGCAGCAGGGTATCCTAGATATAGTTTCCTGATGGGAGAAGAGCAAGTACAAGCAAAAATGCCCAAGTGCTTTTTTGTTTCCTCATATTTTGCTCAAAATGCATCTTACATTTTCCCCTCATTTTTTTTTTCCAAGGGCCTTGTTAAATTTCTGTTTGTGCCCTATCTGCTAATATCCTATTAGCCAAAGCAAGTAATTAAGGCATCCCAGATTCAGGATGAGGAAGTAGACTCTGCCTGTTTAGCGAAAGGGACTTCAAGATTACACAGCGAAAATTGGAGTTACAAGAGAGGATAAAGAATTGAGGCCATTAAAGCAAACACTATGCCTTATAAACTTAAGTAATAAGAACTAATATTTCTCTGTGATGTTGTGCCATTTGCAAAGCATTGTCATACATCTTCATATGTCTAAATACATCCCTAAGGACTGAAGAAAGTTAGTCCTTTCACTAGGACAGCTGTTTCAATGCTGAAATTTAATTTTATTTCTAGTATCTTGTCCCCTAATTTGAACATATATGTTATCATAGTTTGAAGTTAAATTTCAGAGATCAGTGAATAAAACTGAATAAAACCCATCTTTCAAGTTCCATCTATTATGTCACCTTTTCCAGGAAGCCTCTTCGGTCTCTCTAGATAAAATTAATCACGCCCTTTTCTGATTTACCTCTGTGCCGTATACCTAATTCTGCTTTCACTCTTCTCTGTTTGTTTAAGCTAGGATCTGCCTCTCCAGAGTCTCAACCCACTGAGAGGAGTAAAGAGCATAGGTTTGGAAATCATTTGCCAATGTCCAAATCCCAGGTCTGCCATTTACTGCATGTGCAACCTTCAACAAGTTATTCATCTTAGACTCTAGGTGCCTCCATTTTCTCATCTGTGTAATGGGAGCAATAATTGCACTTTCTTAAAAGGCATATTGAGAGAATTAGGTGAGCAATAAAAATGTATAAAACACTGGACACAGAGTATTCTAAATTAGCTACTTGCAATTATAGTTTTATTATCTTTAATTTTATTTAGATGACTTTATACCACCTTGAAGTAACTTTATAACATAAGGTCTACACTGAAAAAAAAAAAACCCCACATAGATCTTTACATTCTAACCAGGTCCTTTCAAGTCCATTGCTTAGATTCAAAATATTAATGATATTGCAACCAAGACCTAAACGAGAAGGGGGCAAAATATTAATAGCAGGGCAGTAGAACAAGCCTCCATAGATAACCTCATTCTGACCCTGATACATAATTCCCTGAGGATAAAGAAAATACAGGAGGATCAAAATGTACCCAAATAATATTCATCTTCATATATCTCACTTCTAGGTCTTGTATTTCTGTGCCTCTGAGCACAAGATTCACTTAAATCATTTCAATAAGTTCAAATAAGACAATGTGAGGACAATGGGAAATAAAATGAAATGGAATAACCCATTCCCGAGGCTAGAAGAGGTAATGAAATAGAATTACATAAGCTCCCTCTAAGTCCTCAATTTGAATGATTAATTTACTTTGAGATGTCTCATCTTCAAAATGGGTGAACTGAGGATTAGAGGAATTGAGCAGATGGCACCTTGATAAATGGAATTAATACTCTGAAAATGAGGGAGGAGAAATTGTATATAAAAATCAGAAAGTATTAAAAGTAGTATCAAGTGTATACTATTAATATATTTTGAAGCATCTGAACATTAATTTTAATATTTGTGTCATCACCATTATTTTAGCACATTTTGAAGGAAAAGAATCTTAACAAATGGAAAGATATACTACAGCGTTTATGTACTACCAAATATTAAATTCAAAAGATGAACTTGTTATATGGATATAAACATGTCGATGTTGTCTTTGGCCAGGGATAGTGGCTCATGCCTGTAATTCCAGCAGTTTGGGAGGCCGAGGCAAGAGGATTGTTTGAGGCCAGCAGTTTAAGACCAGACACTTGGCAATGTAGCAAGACTCTGTCTCTGAAAACAAACAAAGTGTCTTCCTAGAAACATACAATTGGGATTTTTAATAGGTGAAACACACACATAAAAATTTAAAACTCAAAACTCAAATAGTACAAAACAATACATAGTGAAAACTGAGTCTCCCTCCCAATTCTAAGTCCTCATTCCTCAAGTGAAACACATTACCACTTTCTTATATATTCTTTCTTTTCTTGTATGTGCTTATACACTTATAATTGTATACAGCTTGGGAGTACTAAAGTTTTTTTTTAGATTTTTACCCTTATTTTGCATATACCTTTTGAAAAATGAAAACATTGCAGCCTAGAGAATTTACATGATTTGGGCAGGTGCTCAGTGAATCAATTAGGATTAGTTTGGTTTTAGGTGACTTAAAAAAAAAGAAAACTGTTTTAATCCTATATATGCTCATGGGAAAATCTCCAGGGCATAGATGTGATAGCTTCAAACTCAGCTTGAGTTTGCAGAATGACAAAATAGTTGTCATCAGGTCTTGCCCCACCTTCCTCCTAGTTTCAAATCCAGCAAAATGAAAAAGGACTCCTCTAGCTATTTAACAAAAGTCTGAAAATTAATTCTTACTGTTCTAAATTGTCTCATTCCCATCCAAAAACCAATCACTGTGCTAAGAGGAATGTTCTCCTGCTCTCACCCTCCAACTCCCAAAGTATGTGGTCAAACAGGGAGGGAAGTTGTATCACCCAGAGGAAAATCGGGGTGCTATTATCAGAAGAAGGATAAATCGTAGGCAGATGGGAATCACAGAAGTTCACTGCACTCATCTAATTAGGAGAAAGATGGGAGTCATTATCTCTTGCTGCACAGTAGAAACTAGTCATGCCTAAGATTGGGGAAACTATGTCCTCTATAACAACACACAGTTGTTTATTTTCAAATCTTATTTCTTATTACAGGATAAACCTCAGTCAGACGTGGTGTATAAGTTATCTATCTAAAAGCCAGTTCAATGTTTTTGCTTTCTACAATACTGACTTGAATTCAATAGTACAATAATTTAGATTTTGGTCTTTTTCCAATTGCTTTTCAAAATCATTCCCAGCAAACACATGGTGATAGCTTTATATTTTTCACCCTTTCAGAAAGCCCATTACTGGAATGCTGTTAGCCACTAAACTAGCAGCTAAATTTTCCCATCACCCAGATAACATGTATCCTAAACCCTATCAGATGACTTCCATCAAATTAGAGAAATAAGAGGTAAGACTCAAATAGAAGATGTAAACTAAAAGGTTATACAAGGCAAAACATCTCTTCCTTAAGATGAAAATTCCAAGCGACATATTCATACATATATATTCACTAACTGTATTGACTAACATTGAAAATATATTCTTTTTAATTGACATTAAAAGTGAATATATATATTCACTATATTGACTAATACTGAAAATATATTCTTTTTAATGTCAATATTACGGTAGATGCAGACTGAAATAAAGATCACCTAGTCTAGTCATGTGGATATGTGATGGACCAGATCATTGGGAATAGAGTCAAATTAAATGCTGGCTTAAAATGCAAACTGCTGGCCATAACCTGGATCTAACGATCTAATGACCTGCAGGTGGGATTTGAAAACCCGTATATGAATTAGCTCAGGTGGTAATGCTTTTGCAGACTAAACTTGAAAAAGGTGGATGATCCAACCCCCTTATTTTATAAACAGGGCTGTTGAAGCATAGAAAAGGGAAATTATTTGCCAATAAATGGCAGAACTGGGATTAAATTTGCACTTAAAACCATACTGATTGTTAGACTTTCTTACCTCTTCTCTTGCTTTCCACCTTTCTGTGTACCCATTTCTGTAGGGTTATTGAGAATGAATCTGGCTGACAATCAAAACTGGTATGAAATTCTATTAGAAACATGTCTGGTTGTCAAATTACCATATCAGTGGGCTTTAACTGTTCCTTAGAGAATTCATTTTTTTCTGGCCATACAAAGCATCTGTTTGGTTTAATGCTTAGTCAGTTGGTTCTCAAACAAAAGCATCCCAGATAAGGAATAGTGATTCCCTTAGTCAAAGAGCAATATTCAGAAGATCAAAATCCATCAACTCTTGAACTTTCCAGTTCAGGAAACACTGGACCTGAAATGGTCTACTTCATAGCACAATTCTTTCTTATTGTGTTCTCTACAATAAAAGCAGAGAAGAGACAGGAGATTATCATACTGAAACCTTCCAGATTATACATTTTTGCGGGTATCTTAGGTCTTCTTTTGCCATACATACAATTGTACCTGGATAATTTATTTGAAGTGATGCTTTACATTTGAATTATTCAGCCTCCAAAATCTTTCAATTTCCAGTGGGTGAGCTTTCCTCTTCCTTATTTCCACTGTGACTGATTCAACTTTGCATCTTCTGCATTCAGCATGAGGCCTGTACATAACATCACAGTATTTGTGGAATTTATATGCCTTGGTAGTCAAGACACAGGGTCACTGGTATGCTGCTAAGTGTTTAACAACCGACTCTTTAGGGCACAGAAAGTCTCTATTTGTAGTACTTGCCAATCTCCATGGTGAAAACAGTCAACCGTGGCCAATTTCAAACTAGCAGCATGGTGTCACTGAATGCAGAGTTGTAAAGAGATACGTCATAGCCTGCCATTCTATAATAATTCTGTCATTAAGATTCAGAAGACAGAAATAACCTCAAGATATGGATAAAGTAGAATGGTATAAAATAACTCCAAAGTGATCATTTTAAGTATTTATTATTTTGTTTTTAATGTAGTTTAATCAAAATTTGTATAATTTAATTTACGATAAGGACTATATTTAACAAACCAATACTCAAAATTCCTGAACATTTAACAATTGGTTTCTTGTAAGCCAGTATGACATGACTTCAGTTGCTACTGGAAAGGGGTATAGAGTCAAAAAGATTTGGATTTGAGTTGTGTCTTCTCCAACTACTAGCTTTGAGATTGAGCAAATCTACTTCACCTCGTGCCTCATTTTCCTTACCTATATAAGGAATAATAGTGTCTCACTGGTTACATGAAAAATGAATGAGAGAGTACAATAAAATTAGTTGTACTTGGAAATTAGTGATTTTTTTTTAGAGTTCAATGAATGTTAGCTTTTAGTAATAATAATAATAAATGTCAACTCAGTGATAGATGATGAGTGAATAAATGTGTAGATACATGGATGAATGAACAAACACAGGGGTGCTTTTAAAGTGAGAGGGGAAAAAGCTTTTTTGATTGCAAAAACATAATAATAATAAAAATGATCTGTGTTTACCCCAAAAAATGTCTGAAGAAGATATAAAATCCTCCATTCCAAAATGCTGGGTGGATTTAAGCAACCTCTCTGCTTTCTGTGGACTTCGGTGGCTTAGCATTACATAGTAAGAGACACAACATGACTTGCAATTAGTGGTGTCAGCAGACACTGAAAAAGCAGGGAACAAGCAGTGCCTGTTACTCACTCCTAAATACAGTAGCCTTCCCTTGGGAGCACAAGTGTTAAATCCCCTCTTTCAGACATTATTTTTGTGTGCTCACAGCCTCTTTTCTTTGGAAAAGGGCTGAGTCAGTCTTTTTCAGAATCACACCTCAGCTAATATCAAGTGTCATTGTGTTCCCTCCAGCTACTTGCTTCTGAGGTCCTAAGACCTCCGAAGGAAACATCTCTTTCCTGCTCACAATAGCTTGATCCCAGTACGCTTAGCAGTGCCTTGTGGGATTGCCTCTCGCCCAGAAGGAAAGTCTGACATTTTGGTAACTGTGCTTCCTCTCAGAACGAATGGAGCCCTCTCTTTCAGAACTGCCTCTTCCTCCTGAATCCAGTTAGGGCTTTAGTTTGCTTTTATGTGCCAGGAGAGAGGAGGGAAAAAAGATCTCCTGGCAACTGAGGGTCCAGGATATGCTGTGCAATCACGTCGCTGGGAAAAACTAGCTTTCTGAATAATTCAAACAAATCCCCAAAGGGTGATGCAACCAACGTGAAAATAGGTGACTCACAAAGAGGTCTTTGGAAGAGTCTGTGTCAGTGTCTCAAGAAGAGAATACTGGGCCCCAATATTCAGTTTCGTATTCAAAGTAAGTCTATAACATTTTTCAATTAAACTCTGCTGCCTTTTTTTCATGGGGTGGGGAGAGTTCTTGACACATAAATAATGTGCTTATTTTTGCTTAGTTCATAAGCTAAACGCTAAGAGTATTTATGTGTCTGAGGGTACAAATCTACCTAGTTCTTTTATCCTAAACACTTTAAAATGAAGTAAAAGTATTTTTAAAATCTCTGACAATACTGGTAAACAAAGAAAAAGGAAAAGTTTCTTCAAAAGACAACAACAGAAAATGAATGGAGACTTGGAATAGAAGGAACACCTTAACTTGGTAAAGGATACCTACCAAAAGCCTAGAGAAAGTCCAAACTTAGTGGTGAAGTATTCCTCTTAAAATCAAAAGAAACACTAGGTAATTCACTCTGATCGTTTCTATTACCCTAGAGGTGTCAGTGATTACAGCAAGATAAGAAAAAGAAAGCAAAAGTATAAGGATTAGAAAGGAAAGAATGAAATTGTCATTCAAAAATACAAAAAAGCTCAAAATAATCTTCAAATAATTAGAAATAATGAGAGTTAAAGAAAGGTTATTAGATATCAAATCAAAGCATTAAAAATAAATCTATACGCCAGCATCAAACATTTAGCAAATTTATTTTAAAAGTCTCCACCTATAACATTTTTATGGTACTGGGGAATAAAGCTAAGAAGTGCCACTGTTAGCAGCAGGGAAGCTGTATGGGTCTGCAGCAACTTATTTCTTGCCTCCATGAAGGAAAGCATTCACTCGAGGAGCATAAGGCAAAGTGAGAGACTGAGGCAAGTTTTTGAGCAGGAGTGAAAATTGATTAAAAAGCTTTACCACAGGAACAAAAGGAAGTAAAGTACACTTGGAAGAGGGCCAAGCCGGCAACTTGAGAGATCCAAGTACGGTGTTCGACCTTTGACTTGGGTTTTATAGGTTGGCATAGTTCTGGGATTTGCATCTCTTCTTCCCTTAGGGTGGGCTGTCTGCATGTGCGGTGGCCTGCTAGCACTCAGGAAGCGCTACACGTGCAGTGTGTTTACTGAAGTTGTGCGCATGCTCACTGGAGGTGTTTTTTTTTTTTTTTCCCTTACTGGTCCAGTGTTCCTAGAGGAAGGTCACATATCAGTTAAATTCTTCCATTTTGCCTCTTAGTGCACATGCTTGGGCCCACTAGCCCAACTCC
The DNA here is from genome assembly GCF_000001405.40 of Homo sapiens. Taxonomy (NCBI): domain Eukaryota; kingdom Metazoa; phylum Chordata; class Mammalia; order Primates; family Hominidae; genus Homo; species Homo sapiens. The sequence goes on along the minus strand of NC_000003.12, from coordinate 62,939,677 downwards.
TGAGATTTTATCAGGAAGCTGCTCATCACCAGTTTCAGGTGTTTTCTATCTATTGAGCAACTGCCTTTTCCTGGTGCCGGCTGTGACCAGTTATTATTTTAGAGAGACAATTTAGCAACCACCTTAGCATCACCTGATGGTCGTCTGACAATCATAGGCTAGAGGGGAGCCTCTCCTGCCCCGTTTATGTCTGCCTAGCTATTTACTCTAACACTACCATGTTAATGGATAGGAAGATTCTACACCATAAATCCATCAATTCTCTCTAAAACGACTGATAAGTACAATTCCAATCTAAGCTCCTGTAGGGTTTTTTAAAAAGTATTTTAAAAGCTGATTCTAAAATGTATATAAAAGAGGACAAAGATAAGCCATGACACTTTCGAAGAAACCAGAGTTGGGAGAGAGATGTCGTCTAGATATCAAGACGTAGTATTAATCTACAGTCATTATGACAGTGTAGTTTGTCTTAGTTATAGACAAAAAACATAACAGAATAGCAAAACTAGAAACACCTGGGAATCGTTGTGGGTTGAATTGTGTCCCCGAGAAAGATATGTTCAAATCCAAACCCCTGACACCCGTAACTAACTTTATTTTATAAATAGGGTCTTTACGGATGTAATCAAGCTAAAATGAGTTCATACTAGATTAGGGTGGGCACTAGACTAGTTACTGGTGTCCTTATAAGAAGAGACACAGAGGCACAGAGAGAAAGAGAGACATGCAAGGGAGAGGGCAGAGATGGAATTATGCTGATACAAACCAAGGACTGTCAAGGCTTGCCAGCAACCACCAGAAAGAAAAAAGCAAGGAAAGATTCTTTCTCAGATCCCTCAGAGGAAATATGGCCCTGCTGACACTGTGATTTCAGACTTCTAGACTCCGGAACTTCGAGAGAATAAAGTCCTATTGTTTTAAGGCACCCAGTTTATGATCCATTGCTATGGCAGCCCTAGGGAATGAATACAGGGCTATATACAAACAAAACCCTAAAGTAACAAGCCATAAAGAGAAATGTCAACAAATGTTCTTAATGACTTTAAAATGAAAAACAATTTTTTAAATATTTTGGAAAAAACTAGAAAGGCATATCTCTGTTTCCTCTTATAGGAATTCTTTATGTATTTTGAATACTAATCCATTATCAGATCTATGCATCTGTTTTATTGTTCCCAACCCCCTTTTGGTCAATGATTCATCATCTACTCAATTATTTAAGTCCCAAATCTAGGAGATTTTTTTAATTCTTCTGTTTGTCTTGCACTGATATTCAATCCTTCAGCAAGTCCTTTTGATTCTCCCACCATATATATCCAAATCTGATGCTGTCTCACCATTTTTGCTGCTATCTCTCCAGTCAAAGCTACTATTCATCTCTAGGCCACTGTTTTAACTCAGCTCCCTGCCACTGCTCTCCAACCCCCACTCATCCTGAACAGATAATTCTCCAGCAAGCTACTTGCTGTGGACTGAATGTTTGCACCTGTCTCCCCATTCACATGCTACAGCCCTGATCCTCAACGTGGTGGTATTTGGATGTGGGATTCTCATGATGAGATTAGTGCTCTTGTAAGAGACCAGAATTTGGTTGTTTCTCTCTCTGTCTCTCTCTCTTTGTCTCTCCCCTCTCCACCACCCCAGTAAGAAAGAGAGTAGGAAACAGCAAGAAAGCAGCTATCTGCAAGCCAGAAAAGGAGTGTTCACCAGAACCAACCATGGTGGCACCTTGATCTCAGACTTCCAGCCTGTAGAACTGTGCAAAAATTAATTCCTGTTAAGTCACCTAGTCTGTAGTATTGTGTTACAGCAACCTAAGCTGACTCAAGATACTACATAAGTAATCTAAAAAAATTAAAAATAATAATAGAGGTTATCACACCCATGCTTACAATCCTGCAGTGACTTCTAGAGGGCTTAGAATAACATCTAAGCTTCTTAACACATCCTATAAGACATTATGTGGCCTTTGGCTCCCTGGCTACTCCTCCTACTGCCCCCTAAGGTTACACAGAACCATCCCAAACAGTCTTCCACATCGTAGCTCTGTAATAGATGTATCTAGAAGCTAATGCCACCTATTCATTTGTGCCTCTCATCTTCACATTAAACATCCAAGTTTTGTCAAAAGTATCTCATGGGACAAGGTTATATGCCCCTTAATCTTGTAATTGTTTAAAATTTTTATTTATTTCTTTATTATCCAAATAACACATCAATTCTTATTATTTTTAAAATTCAAGCAATGTGTTAAGTATATAGAATACAACTTGAATGTCTCTTTTCATATTCCTTAATCTAACTTCTCTCCCAGGCAGTATCAACTACAAATAATTTGGCATGTTCTTTCAGATTTTTATCCCTTTATTTATCTACTTATATAAACACATGTTACAGTAGGTAGCTAGTAAAACATGAGCAGGGCAGGAGAGTGCCCACCCTCCCCCCAACTAGGAATGCCAGGCAACCATCAGGTGATGGTCAGACGGCTGTTAAACTGTCTCTTTAAAATAATAATTAGTTGCAGTTAGCACCAGGGAAAGGCTGTCTCCCACTAGATAGAAACACCTGAAGCTGGTGATCAGCAGTTTCCCAGTAAGACCTCAGGAGTCGGGCGAGTGGGCTTGAGCATGCGCACTAAGAAGCAAAATTGTATATGTGAGTGGTGTGTGGCCTTCCTCTAGGAACACTGGAGTGGTAAGGGAAAAACACCTCAAATGAGTGTGCATACAACTTCAGTAAACACACTGCACATGTGGCCCCTCCCAAGTGCTGGTAGGCCACTGCACATGCATACAGCCTACCCCAAGGGAAGAATCAGGGGAGATGGGTTGCAACCACCCAGAAGCATGCCAACATGTAAAGCCTCAAGTCAAAGGTCAAACAGCACACTTGATCTCTCAAGTCACCTGCTTGGCCCTCTTCCAAGTATACTTGGCTTCATTTCATTCCTGCTCTAAAACTTTTTAATAAATTTTCACTCCTGTTCCAAAACTTGCCTCAGTCTCTCACTCTGCCTTATACCCCTCAGTCGAATTCTTTCTTCTGAGGAGTGAAGAATTGAGGTTGCTGCAGACCTATATGGATTCACTGCTGCTAACACACATACGCAGTTTTTTAAAAAACAAGTAGAATTACATTATTCCGATTATCATACAACTTAATTTTCCCCTTCTCTGATATCTTCAGGACTTTCCATGTAGTACATATGAATGTATTTTATTTTTTAATATTTCATAGGATGAATATACCAACATTCCCACTATATACCAAAATGTAGTTAATGTTTCACCTATTAAAGGAATTTAATTTTCTTTTCTTTTTGCAACAGCACATAATGCTGCAATGAACATCTGTGCACACACAATTTTGTGCAAATGTAGGAGCATCTCCTATGGAGGTATCATAACATACACATCAATACTTAATTCAAGTCTGATAAGAGAAGTTATATTGGTGAAACCCTATAATATGGTCCAGAAAATTCACGATGTAAAATCACAAGATCTCTGAAGATTCTCTAAACACTGGAAGCAAGTGTTTGTCAAATAATCATGTTTTCATGATAATTTTGTCCTCTTGTTTTAATCTTTTATTAAAATCACTTACTGTTTGAAAGGAAAAGTCTGTATCAGGAAGCAGAAGCAGAAACTCTCAGGAGGGCAGTAAAGTGATAAGGAGAATGAGCTTTGGAGTAAAAACAAACTTGCTTTGTGTCCTAGGGCCAGTGAGTTAAACTCTGTCTCTGTTTTCTTGTCAGTAAACTGGGAAAAATAGTAACTACTTGTAGATTTGAGTGTAGGTAGGAGTAGGGAGAAGAATAACATTATGAATGCAGAGTACTAGCCTAGTGCCTAGGCTATAGTGAGGACTTATAAATAATAACTGAGAATCTATTCATAGTATTTTATTTATTATTAATGATGTAATTATTATCATGAAGTGACTCCATTTGACACCAATCATTCTACACACATAGTTTTATTTAATCTACCCAACAGCTATCCAAGTGCTTGTCATACAACAGTCTAAGCAGCCTTTGTGCTGTGTGTACTAGGAAACATGTGGTTTGTATACAGGAAAGAGAGAACACATTCAAATTTGAGGAGAAATTAAGAAAGATATCATTAACAAAGGTAAAGTAAGCCCAGAGTAACAAGAGGAAGGAAATGGTCATCAGAACCTGGAAAGAAGGAGAGAGTGAACTAAGAGGAGCTATAGCCTTCCTTAGAGGTGGCCAGAAGGGAGGCAGCTAGAGAAATAAACACTCTGACCTCATGCTCCTCTCACCTTCAGGTCTGCTGGTGCTTCCACTGGACAAGCAGAATTCAGAGGGTGAGGGAGCCCATTGAGATAGTCTGTATAAGTCAGTCTTGCAGGTTGAAAAGGGGGAAGAGCGGGTCTGAGGGGGAGTGGTTCTATTTTGCACACGTAGCTGATTTTATAACCTTTGCCACAATTCTAGGGGATGTTTAGAACTCTTCTCCCATTTTCAGAGGAGGAAACTGAAGCTTAGAATCGTTATGCCAATTGTCATGGGCTCTGAGTCTAGACAGTCCCAGTCATAAGCTATGGAGTTCACTTCAAACGTAAAGATGACACCTCTCCTAAAGGTAGAGACTAAGTCTTTTTGGTTTTTTTTTTTTTTTTTTTTTGGAGTTGGCGTCTCGCTCTGTTGTCCAGGCTGGAGTAGTGCAGTGGTGCCAAATTGGCTTACTGCAACCTTCACCTCCCAGGTTCAAGCAATTCTCCTGCCTCAGCCTCCCAAATAGCTGGGATTACAGAAGTGTGCCACCACGCCCAGCTAATTTTTGTATTTCTTAGTAGAGGTGGGGTATCACCATGTTGACCAGGCTGGACACGAACTCCTGACCTCAATGATCCACCCCCCTCGGCCTCCCAAAGTGCTGGGATTACAGGCGTGAGCCACCACCCCCAGCTGAGACTAAGTCTTAATCAGGTAAAAAGCCTGACCAATCCCAAAAGAAAGGACTAGCATTTCCCAGTTCTGCCATATGAGCACCCATGACATAGGAATCCACGAAGAGCAAACACTTGATATTTTTCCTCATAATAACAAATGACGACCCCAATAGTACTAATTGAACTACTCAACTGGTTATCACCTGAAGTAGGGGAGCAGACATCTTTAGAAATTGTGGAAAATCATCATAGTGGCACAGAAAATAGCAAGGAGAAGACTAGTGTTTGCCAACCTGCATTTTATAACTACCTGGGGGTGCCTAGAGATATTCTGAGGGTTTATGTTGTTATAGATGTTGAGGTTTTGCTTTCATATTTTATTTATTTTATTTTATTTTTTTGAGATGGAGTCCTACTCTTGTTGCCCAGGCTGGAGTGCAATGATGCCATCTCAGCTCACTGCAGCCTCCGCCTCCTGAGTTCAAGTGATTCTCCTGCCTCAGCTTCCCAAGTAGCTGGGATTACAGGCATGAACCACCATGCCGGCTACAGTTTTGTATCTTTAGTAGAGACAGGGGTTTCACTATGTAGGCCAGGCTGGTCTCGAAATCCTGACTTCATGATCCACCCGCCTTAGCCTCCCCAAGTGCTGGGATTACAGGCATGAGCCATCACGCCCGGCCTCATTTTGATTTTTTTGAAAGACAAAATAATTAGGTAAAGCTTTTTGTGTTTAAAAAAAAAAAAAAGAACAGTTTGAACACTTGCAGCTCTTATCATTGGTAATTTTAAGGTATGTAGTTGTTTTTCACTGAGCTAAATGGTGTTGACCAACAGTTACACAGTTTCGATTGGCTTCACTTATTTTTTATTCACATATTGCATAAGTTATACTCTAACAAAACAGAATAAAGATAGGAAGCATGAGAAAAGCGGGAAATTAATGGCCATGAAAAGGACAAGCTTCTTAGAGCCTAAAAGATTGATGCCTTCTAGATTCATACATTGATCTACTTGATCAAATTCATATCTTCTAGATTCATGCATTGATCTATCTGATCATAATTTTTAAAGAACTCATTGGGGTGTCTCTACTGCATCCACTCCCACTGCTCAATAAAGGAAATTCTGTGGTGATTTAGTTAACTTGGCTTTTGATTTATTAGAGATAATAAGAACTATCCATATAATGAGTTATTTGCAGAAATATGTTGCAAATAGAAGCCCTGAATTTTTTTTATTAACTTGTTGTTTGGAAAAAACCACAAAACCATTAAAAACAAAACTGCTAGCTTTATTTAAAGTGAAAAAATTCAAGCATTCCAAACAACCGAGTCATGAAGCCGTCTTAGAAAATCTATTCTGATGCTGGAACACCTGTTAAATTCTAATCTCTGTTTTAATAACTATACAATCCCCAAACAAAATAAGATCTGATATCCTTTTACAATGTAGTTTGCTACAGAATTAATTCAAAGTCAACTAACTAGTGTTTCTGCCCTTTTCTAAAGGAGAAAAAATGGTGTTTCTTTTTTGCTTATAACATGATTACTATTGATCACTTTGAAATTATTTTATTATATACGATAGATCTAAATCTTTTTAAAAAATAAAATCACTTTTTATGATATGCCATGAGGAAATAATGACGTTATTTATTAACCTGACAAAGGATTTATGACACATTGCTGTATGTAGTAGAAGTTTATTGTTTTTGTCCATTATTCATCAACATTGTTTTCTCTCTTTCTGGCTGCACTGGCTGGAGTTTCCTCTGTTTACTACCCTTTCCCAATTATAGTCCCATATGGCTTAAGTGAAGCCGGACCGACTTTGCCTTATTGATGGGGCACCCTGACCTAGACCAAGAAAATCTGGACATGGAATGCCCTGACCCCAGTGGTTGGTTCAGAACTAGACCATGACCTACACTGGGCTAATGACTTTTACTGCAACCGGTAGAATAAAGAAGCTCACTTTTGGCTGGAGCCACCAACATGGAAAGACATAAGACTGGAATTACCTTAGCACTGCATAAGAAGAGCTGCCTGAGAAGAAAGCAACACAGAGAAAACTAGAGCCAGGTGATGGATAGATATAGATTACTGATGACATGTTTGAGCACCTGGATCCAGCTGTTACTGAACTCTGTTGGATTTCACTGCTGGAATTCTCAATTATGTCAAGCAATAACTTGATAGATGACTTTGAGTCAATTATTTTCTCTGAATTTCAATACTCTTATCAGCCAAAGTAACGAATAGAGAGAAGCTCTCTAAAAGAAAAAGATGTTTACTTGGAATAGAGCATTGCAATGGGAATACTTGTTCCGTAGTAAAGGATTTGCATATTCAGAGGAAGACAGAGGTTTTTAAAGGAAAAAAAAATGAAGAGGATTACATAATTGTTTTGAAATAATTATACTTCACTACAAACATCAATAATAAGGATGATGCCAGTCTGAGGTTGGACAGGGAGTTGGTGAGCAAATGTCCTCGCAGAAGTATTCTTTCGTATTAGGTTGCAATGGCCTTCATGCAAAGTTGTGGGTTTTGTAGAGCCTTTTTATTATCAGGCATACAAGCGTGAGAACCCTCTTTTCATGGCTTTCCCTGGCTCTATATGTCAAGAGTATTTTTTAACACTAATGACTCCATTTTGATTCTGACAACTGTTACATCCTCATCTATAAAATGAAGGCATGAGATAAGATGACTGCCTAAGATCTGTTTCAAGTCTCACATTTTTTGATATTGTAATTGACCATTCATTAGTGTTTATGTTCATCAGTGCCTGTTCCTTTTCCTCCTGGCACACAGACTATATATATATTTCCCTGCCTCCTTTGCATCTGGATGTAGACATATGACTGACTTCTCTCTGGTGAAATGTGAGAAGTGGATTTGTGTCATTTTCAGACCAAAGTAGTTAAGTCGTGAGTGTGCCTTCCCTGTGGCTCCATTCTGCCCAGCTGAATGGAGAGGACACTGAGCATTTAGAGGAAGAAGGAACCACAAAATGGAAAGTAGAAGGCTGCCTGGTCAGGAGTACTCTTACTGGGCTGTGATGGGAGTGAGAAGTAACCTTGATATTTTTACACCATTGCAATGTTAGGGTTACCCGTTAATGCCTCTAACTCAACCTGAAAGGCTATGTAAGTTGATGGTGGGTAGAGAGAGAAGATAGAGCAAAGTAAAGTTGGATTCCAATTTAGGGAGCTCTCTGCCACCTACATGGATATGTGTTTCTCAACCTGCAGGTGAAAGTCGTAATCCCTTGACTTATTCCCTCTTCCTGGAATCCCCATTGATCCATACTAATTTCCATCAGAGTTTTAAAAAGTCCTGGTTTTCACGGTTTTCTTTCTCCCCATATGACTTAATTTCTTTTTCCACTTCATCCTAAAGCAGAAGGAACTTGGAAATCGAGTCATATTTTTAAAATCTGCCTTTTGGAATTTGTCCAAAATCTTTGATTAGCCTGAACCCATGCTATCACCTCTCAAGCTCTCTTTTGTTATAAGTCATATCTTGCACTTTTAGAAGTGAATATTTTCCCTCCATGCCCACAAATTTTGGTGCTAGACAAGAATAAAATATGGTAATTTCCTGACATTGAGTTTGTTAAATTATGCACTGATGAGGCTTCATATTTCTTCTTCTAATTAGAGGGTAAGATTTGAGTAATAGCAACTAAATTGCTGCAACATGTCTAAACGTATTATTTTATTTTGAATGACACGCTAGTAGTAAAAAGAACTAGTTTCACAACAAATCCTTTTTCTTTAAAGGTCAAAATATTATATATTTTTGAAAGCTTTCCTACCTGTGAAACATATTCTGGGAAATTTAATACCCTGCCTTACGGGGAAAATAATTAGCAAGGGATATGGATGCTGTCTATCAAAGGATTATTAAAATAGGAAGGATTACATAAAAGAACTTTTTCTTTGCATTTACTAAATTGTACAAGTAGAATTTCATCAAATACATGGGAAACTGAAGTAGATAACTACCAGGGTAATTCATCAAATAAGGGCAAGAATACTTAGGATCATGATATAGGTTGCCAGTGACATCTTTGATTAAGTTAACATGAACATTTGCCTTTGAGTTCCATAAAAATGAGGATGCTATGTATAAAACAATCTTTGTAAATTTTTTGTTTAGGGTCAGAGACTCAGGAGGATGATTAGATGATCTCTCAATACCCCTTCAATTATGACTAAATTAAGATTCACTCTTCGTTATCTATAAAGAGAGCAAAGATGTTCAGTGCTATTTATTTTGTCAACCGAAATTGGGTCCCTTTAAAAATTCTATATATGGTGTGGGGTGCAGTGGCTCATGCCTGTAACCCTGGCACTTTGGGAAGCTGAGGTGGGAGGATAGTTTGAGCCCAGGAGTTCAAGATCGGCCTGGGTAACATAGGAAGACTCCATTTTTATTTAAAAAAAATTTTTTTTCCAATTCCCTAAATTGGAATCCAAGTTTGCTTTGCTCTGTCATCTCTCTCTACTCACCATCAACTTAATATAGCCTCTTAGGCTTAGTCAGAGGCATTAACGGGTAACCCTAACATTGCAGTGGTATAACAAAATGAAGGTTATTTCTCACTCCCATCACAGTACAATAAGAGTACTCCTGGCCAGGCAGCCTTCTACTTTCCATTTTGTGGCTCTTCTTTCCTCTAGATCCTCAGATTCCTCTCCATTCAGCTGGGCAGAATAGAGCCACAGGGAAGGCACACCTATGACTTAACTACTTTGCCCTGGAAATGACACAAATCCACTTCTCACATTTTACCAGACAAAAGTCAGTCATATGTCTACATTGAGATGCAAAGGAGGCAGGGAAATATATATAGTCTGTGTGCCAGGAGGAAAAGGAACAGGCACTGAATAACATGTTATATAGACTCTGCTGCACTGCCTCTCTCTCTTTCTCTCCTTCTACTATCCTTACAGAAGCAATATTGCAGAAATGTTAAGATGCAGAGTTAAGTATGCTCTAGCATCAGACTTCCAGAATTGAAATTCAGGATCTGCTCTTAGTAGCTGTGCGATCTCAGGCAACCGTGTGAGCTTTCTGTGTATGCTTCTCTGTAAAACAGGAATAATGCAAGTACCTTCTCATAGCATTTTTGTGAACAGTAAATAAATGAATGCCCATAAGGAACTTAGAATATGCCTGAAACTTAAGTTACTTCTCAATATCTGTATCAGTGAGAATTCTGGGTTGCAACAGAAACAATTTTGTTGACTTAAGCAAAAAAGAGTTTATGAAGAAATAGGCTTAGAGGCCGGGCCCGGTGGCTCATGCCTGTAATCCCAGCTCTTTGGGAGGCCAAGGCAGGCGGATCACGAGGTCAGGAGATCGAGACCATCCTGGCTAACATGGTGAAACCCCGTCTCTACTAAATATACAAAAAATTAGCCGGGCGTGGTGGCGGGCGCCTGTAGTCCCAGCTACTCGGGAGGCTGAGGCAAGAGAATGGTGTGAACCCGGGAGGCGGAGCTTGCAGTGAGCCGAGATCGCGCCACTGCACTCCAGCCTGGGCGACAGAGCGAGACTCCGTCTCAAAAAAAAAAAAAAAAAAAAAAAAAAAAAATATATATATATATATATATATATATATATATATATATATATATATATATGCTTAGAAAACAGGCAAAAAGCGAGCAACCTCTAGAGGGCCAAGCCTCAGGAACCAGAGCAATTCTCCCAGCAGACCAGATCCATTTATAGATTCACAGGTCACTTCCGCTGCTGCCTTCCTCCAGTTGCCACCACACCCTGGAACACTTATTCAGATTCTAACAGGAGACTGTCTCATTAGCCAAGCTGAAGTCGATTCCCTGCCCCTGAACTAGAGAAAATGAATTTGGTTCCACTTGCTTGCCAGGTCCTAGGAATGCACACAATGGCACACTTCTAACGTGAGAAGAAGTTTTAATTGTCATGGTACCTTGTCATGATTGGATACTGGATAACCAAAATAATAATAGTAATAATAACTATTCATTATATGATCCATCTCCCCATCCATGCACCTTCCCCCCCATCCATCTATTCATCCATTCATCCTTCCACTCACACATACATACATACATATTTGCCAATAAACACACATCACCAGATTTCAATCATGTTCTTTATATCCAAGAGCCCATAAAAAATGAGACTTTCAGAGACAGCTTTTATGGACCTAATTTTCCCCAAGGCTTATGTCTCCCTGAGCAGTAGATAAAAAACATTGCAGCCTGAAAAGAATTGACTTGAAAGAATTAGAGCCCCTGCCTAAATGCCTAACATAATACAAAGGAGTTGACTCCAGCCCCAGGGTGAATGGGATCTTACGTTTTATAAAGCAAGATATCTGTTATGATAACAGGACAAAATGGCTTTGGTCAAATCTCAAATCTACTGCATCTAAAGCAAGAATGTCACTCTCAAATTCAGATTAAAAATTCATACAAAATGCAAACAGTGTGTACAAATTCTGTTTAAAATTCTCTTTACAGAACCAAATGAGTTGCCATTGCTACTAAGCTCCTGTTCTACCTGAGATGTATTTAACACTTTGAGCAGAGTTTAAGTCTTTCTTCTGGAACTAATAACCTCACTTAATTTGTAATTTCCATATGAGAACTGACTCAAATTTTTTTCTTAAATCACATTATAATTCAGTAAAATTCCAAATTGGCCCTTGGGATCCCCTATTATGACAGCCTCCACAAAAGATTCTGTATTTTAAAGGAGTTCATAGTTTTGGCATTTTAATGTCATGTTTTTCAGGAATCAAAATTCAGTCACCAAAATGTGCTATAATGCAGTTATAACAGACACACTCTTGCATCTACCTCCCACCCCTGACTGTTTAGGTGCAAGGCACCATACTAAGATATTTACATAAATCAGTTCATTCAGTCCTCACAACAACTATGACATAGGCTTTTTTTTTTCTTTTCCATTTTATACATGGGAAAATTGAGACTTGCAACATAAGCTATTTACCTAACTTTACACATATAAATGATGATACGGGAAATCAAACCCAGTAGTCCTAGTCTAGAATATATGCTCAACCACTCTACAGCCTTGCAGATCCATTTTTCTGTCTCTCTTTAACAGAGTTGGTTCATTGGCAGCCATGACTGGTATATTTGTCCTCATTATCTTGATTAATATTATCAAGGTTGGATGCCTCATCCAAGGACCAACTGGGGTAGTTCTACTGGAAATCTGGAATTGAGATTAACAGATTGCTGTTTAGTCTGTGTTATCTTCAAAACATGGATGAGGTATAATCTGAGAAGTGTTTGGGTAGACATAGTCTCCACATGATATGGGGCTGAGTAATAGGAAAATCTGAATGGCAGACAGCAAAAGAATTAACAAGACATGCCAAGAAGAGCTTTGCATATTTCTTACACCATTTTTTAATTTGTTTAATTAACAGTTGGTAAAACAAGTATTTAATGGCAACCTCAATGATAATAGCAATATTAGAGACACCCCATCCCAGATTTTCATAGGTACAACCATTTCAGTACACAAGAAAATCTGTAGAATCCAATAAATTAGACAACACTACCGGAGCATATAACTGTTATTTGCTTTGCTATCGTGCTTCTAATTGACATTTTAAAGCACTTTACTTAATTCATGTTAGCAGCCCCAGAAGTATCTTACTTGTAGGTTATTATTCTGAATAAAGTGCTGGTACTTAATTGATTATTTTTAAGGGTGTCCTTTTAAAATAAGGTGCATTTTTCTATATGATAGAACTTTGTAAGTGGCTTCCAATTTTTTTTAAGTTTTTTTTTTGCCTGTAAGTTTATTCAATGCAAAATAATCCTCTCTGATTTTACTGAGGTAGCTGACCACATCCATGACCAAATCTGCCTCTAAACTGGAATTTGGTTGCTGACCCAGCCCCAGCCTCAGCTTTCTCATCGGCACCAGGGGGCACAGCACTCCGTCTGTAGGAATGCTATGGCACAGGAAGCTGTCGGCTTCCCCTCTTGTGAGTCTTACAGGTCGCTCACCCTCCAGACCTTTAGGCTGAGGCCTGCCATTCTCTGGATGGCTGCAGCATAGAGTAACAGGCACAGTCTCCAGGGGCAGATGAAGGTAATCATGGAGATACTGGATACCCTCATTGGTAAGGTACCAGTAGAAATGCCTCCAGGCAAAATGTTCTGTGTTGTAGCCTCGGGACTTGAGAGACTGCATGGCCTTCATGACATGAAGGTTGGGCACATTCTTGTCTGCCAGCTCCAGGTGCTTAGGCATGTGGACATCCTTCTTGGCCACCACGACTCCTTCCTTAAAAAGGAGTTCATAAACGACAATGTGGTTCTTCTTAGGCACCAACATCTCAGTGGCTGTAGGGTCCAGGGCCGGGTTTTTTATAATTACGTTTAAGTATTATAAACATTAAGTTAAGAAAATACTACCCATGCTGTTGTTGGGTTTTCAGCAGTTCAAATCCCTCATAAACCTGGTTGCATTTCTTCCTTTGAGTCCTAGAATTTGTCCCTGTACCTGTACAATGTATTTCCCACTGTGTTTAAGATCACTGGAATTGCTTGCTTTTCTTTCTTTCCTTCTTTCTTTCTTCCTTCCTTCCTTCCTTTCTTTCTTTCTTTTTCTTTCTTTCTTTCTTCTTTCTTTCTCTCTTTCTTTCTAATTTTTATATTTTTGAGACAGGGTCTCACTCTGTTGCCCAGCCTGGAGCGCATTGGTGTGACCACAGTTCACTGCAGACTTGACCTCCCAAGCTCAAGCAGTTCTCCTGCCTCAGCTTCCTGAGTAGCTGAGACCATAGGTGCATACCACCATGCCTGGTTAATTTTTATATTTTTTGTAGAGATGGGGTCTCACGACGTTGCATACACTGATCTCAAACTCTTGGGCTCAAGCAATCCTCCTGCCTCGCCAGCCTGGAATTGCTTTCTATTGCTTGCAACCCAAAATGTTCTATAAGAAAGAGAGGACAGATTTTGTATATATTAAATGTTAACTACCTGGTAGGATATTTAATTTTGTTAATTTAATTCTCATGACATTCTTCCCTGGAAGTATCAAGTTCAAAGTGTTTAAGCGATTTGGAGAAGTCAGGATTTCAGCTCTGGTCTCCTGAACTCCAGAGCCCAAGCTCTCTCTCTTACTAAAAATCAAGAGAAAGAAACTGTCAATTGTCAGAAACTCAGAAATATTGCTCAAAAGCTAAACTTTGACATCTGTAAATTATAAAGGTACAAACAAAATATGACAGTTGCTTGCTTCTAAAATTTATCTCTGTCTCCTCTAAAGCATTGAATAATAAATGCCTATTTTTTTTAAGACCCTGCGTATCAGGATTCTAAGAACCTATACAGTTACTGTCATACCTCGCACAAAGCGAGTTCTCTGTGCAAGTTACGACATTGTTCTTACAAGGCTCATTGTTCTTACAAGGCCCATCATTTGGAAAATAGAGGCAACAAAGAAGAAATGAACGAAGAATAAAGGAAAGAATAGTGCATGCAAAACTACGTTTATATTTGGTGCTCGCTTTACTTTAGCTTTTTGTCCACAAGGAAGATACTCAAATTAAGACAGGAAAGTTTATGGTTATTCAGGGAAACAGGGATCACAGAACAGAAACCTAAGTATGAATGGGCATCAGAGAGTCAAGAGCAGAAGCCAAAATGACACAAGAGAGCTTGGCAGTGGGTTTGGCAGTTATTCCCACCTATGCTCCACCCAAAAGGGGACCTGGGTACTCTTTGTTCCTTCTTTGTATGTTTGTGCTTCTCCTCTTACCGCCAGCCAGCTTCCCTGCCCACTAATCTATGTTTTTCTCTACCTCATAGCTTGTTGCTCATGGTTTCTGCTTCTCACAACTTCTGCATACAGTGCTCATAGCTTCTCCTACACACTTATGGACCCCATGACTCCAGCTCCTCTTAATAGTACCTTTCCACTTCACCTTGGACTCTTAGCAGCCTGGCTGACTTCATACTTTCCAATTCAAAGCCCTGGAGCTACAGTCTGACTTCCTGAGCTCATCTTTACTTGGACAGAGCCTTGTTTATTTGTTTGTGGGTTTGTTGGCCAGTCCCTGTCAGTCAGAGCTGCCCAGGGGACCAGCTGCCCCTGGGTCAGATGCTCATCCCTGATCCATACACTTCTAGGTATTGTGTGTGTGTGTATTGGGGGGCTTGTAGGGAGAGTGGTAGAGACAAAACACACATTATAGAACTCACCACAGCCATCAGGGGCAGAGGTGGGCTGGTTTACCTTAGGAAAAGCTGTGGTAGCCCCCAGAATGGACATGTTTAGTTCAGGTTTTACCTTAAGTCTCTGTGTATTAATAAAATAATAGCTATCATGTGCCAGCCCCCTACTATGCGCTTAATACTATTCTAAAGGCTTTAACATACATAGTTCTGCACACTGCTACATAATACCTTTATCACATAGGCCCCCATTTTGAGGTGCTTTATGAAGTAGGCAGCCATTATGGAGTATTATTTCAATTTTGGAGTTGAAGAAACTGAGGCACAGACAATCTTCACTCTTAACCATGACATACATTAGAAGTAGAAAAGGGTTGGGGTTGTGGAGTTTGTTAAAGGAAGAAGGAAAGATATCATTCAGAAAGAGGAACTGGGGGAAGTTATTGTTTCTCTTTGGAATTTCTGATCCCTGATAAACTAAATATTTTTCAAGCTCCTAAACAAACAAACAAACAGCCAAGGATGGAGGGTGTTCCCCATTAAAACTAAGTGGCAGCACAATATTCAAGATGAAATTAAAGTGTCTGACCCTGGAGATACTCTAAAGAAGTCTTCTTTAGAGTCTTCTTTCCAAATGGAGGTTGGGAAAATAAACTCTCCACAAAGCGATGAAGGAGTACATTGACAAAAACAATACAGCCTCTCTCTTGCAATCTGGGTGCTTAATTGTCAAAGGGGAACAGCAAAGGCCAATCCAGATTTCATCTGATATTAAGATGTGAAAAATTCCCCTCCTCCAAGAAGATGTCCTTGATCATTTCAGGATCTCTCTTACCCAAGAACTCTTGAACTCCCATTGCATTTATTTTGTGGCTCACACCAGAATGCTGTCTGCAAAAGAGAAAAAGAAGGAATGAAGGAAGGAAGGAAGGAAGGAAGGAAGGATGGAAGGAGGGAAGGAAGAGAGAGGGAGGGAGCGGGAAGGAAAGGAAGGAAGGAAGGAAGGAGAAAGAAGGAAGGAAAAAAGAAGAAGAAATAATTGTGGTCCAATATCTAAGCCACTTTCTTGCAGCTATCTGAGCCACTTTCTTGCAGCTTCAACTGTGCAAGCAGCAGAGGCAACAGCAGCTGCCAAAATATTAGCATGAGTAACTTGTACAGATGCTAAAATCTAAAAGCAGACGTGCATCTGGGGGCCTTTAAAAATCCTTGCTGTGGGTGGTTGCCATGACCTCTTCCTTCTAGTGCTTTAATCTCTTTGCTCTTTGGAGGGTTTGTTCCCAGGTTCTGAGGAAGCTGGTGTATCTTTATGGCGTGGTCAAAGGCCATTATGTGTGGGTGAGTCCACTCAGTGATCAGAGGGAAGGGAGGGTAAACACAGTGAGGAAACAAGCTGCCAAATGAACTAAAACAAAACAGAATGGCATAGAGACCTCCTTGGTGACTATGCATTTGAATATCTCCACCTAACACAAACTGAAGAGTTCAAGGTGACTGTCTCCCTCTCAACCTCAGCAAAGCCCTTCTGTGGCGCATGGTGCTGTCTCTTGCTCTCTGCCTTGGTAAGAAGAAATGTGCAAATATGTTCCAAATCCATCCCCCATCCTCCTGTCTTTCCCTGCCAGAAAATAGTTACTACACTATTTCTATCACTATTTCTAACTGCAATTCTTCTATAAGGGAAATGCATAAGGGCTTTTTCTTTGTTTCTCTCAAACTCCAGCATATTCTTTTTATGTTTGTGTGCATAGGTTTTCAGGGAACAAATTCCCTGCAGAAGCAGGGTCACACACTGTATTAGTCAGGGTTCTCTAGAAGGATAGAACTAATAGGATAGATGTATATTTGAGGAGGAGTTTTTTAGGAGAATTGATTCACATGATCACTAAATGAAGTCCCACAATAGGCCATCTGTAAGCTGAGGAGCCAGGAAGCCAGTCCTAGTCCCAAAACCGCAAAAGTTTGGGTTTACAAAGGAAGTGGTTTCAGAAGAGGCACAAGCCATATCTGATTGAGAAACTTAAAGAAGATGATTCAGAAGGTATAATCAAAGTTGAGTCTTGAAAGGGAAGGCAATAGTGCAGCCTTCATCTGTGGCCAAAGGTTTGAGAGACCTTGGCAAATCACTGATGTAAGTCCAAGAATCCAAAAGCTGAAGAACTTGGAATCCGATGTTCAAAGACAGGAAGCATCCAGCATGGGAGAATGATAAAGGCCAGAAGACTTAGCCAGTCTAGTTCTTCCACATTCCTCTGCCTGCTTTAATCCTAGCCACGCTGGCAGCTGATCAGATGGTGCCCATCCAGATTGAGCATGGGTCTGCCTTTCCCAGTCCACTGACACAAATGTTAATCTCCTTTGGCAACACCCTCACAGACACACCCAGGAACAATACTTTGCATCCTTCAATCCAATCAAGTTGACACTTAATATTAACCATCATACATACTTTATCAGATCTGTGTTGAATTCTCCCCTATCAGTTATAGAATCGGAAAATGTAGACTTGAATGTTAGAGCCACTCTGTGTGTATTTGTGTGTGTGTGTGTGTTTTATTAAGGCCAAATTCTTTGTTAGCCAGAATTTGACTGTCTTTTAGAAAAAGAAAAACAACACTGATTCAGTAAGTTTTGCTTTTTTAATAGCACAGTGGTTTTCTCTTTGGGGGAATTTCTTTCTTGGGTGGGGTCTTCAAAAAATAGACACACATATATTTTCTTCACCTAGCCCAGGGTTTCTCAGCCTCAGCATACTGACATTTTGGGCCTACATTAGTCCGTTTTCACACTGCTGTAAAGATACTACCTGAGACTGGGTAATTTATAGACAGAAGAGGTTTAATTGACTCACAGTTCCATATGGCTGGAGAGGCCCCAGGAAACTTACAGTCGTGGCAGAAGGCAAAGGGGAAGTAAGGCACGTCTTACATGGCGCAGGAGAAGGATTGAGTGCAGGGGAAACTGCCACATTTAAACCATGAGATTTCGTGAGAACTCCCTCACTATTACAAGAACAGCATGAGGGAACCACCTCCATGATCCAATCACCTCTCACCAGGACCCTCCCTCGACAAGTGGGGAGTACAGTTCAAGATGAGATTTGGGTAGGGAGACAGAGCCAAACCATATCAAGGCTGGATAATTTTTTGTTGTGAATGACTGTGTTGTGCATTGCATATACATATACACATACTTGTTTAAGACAGAGTCTCACTCTGTCACCAAGGCTGGAGTACAGTGGCATGATCACAGCTCACTGCAGCCTTGACCCTCCTATGCTCAAGTAATCCTACCACCTAAGCCTCCTGAGTGGCTAGTACTACAGGCATGTGCCATCACACCAGGCTAATTTTTTAATTTTTTATAGAGACAAGGTCTCACTATGTTGACCAGCCTCAAGCAATCCTCCCACCTCAGCCTCCCAAAATGCTGGGATTAGAGGCATGAGCCACCACACCCAGCCTTCATTGAAGGATATTTAACAGCATTTGGGACTCTACCCAGTAGATGTCAATTCACTCTCACCCCAATATATAACAACCAAAAAGTATCCCCAAAGGTTGCCAAACATCCCCTGCAGGGAGTGGGACAAAAGCAACCCCAGTTGAGACATAGAGAAGAGACACAGGGCTCTCACACAGTAAGTACTCAATCTGTGGGTTTAAGTGTGAACAAACAAAAGTGTTTCCCACTGCTCTTGAGGATAAGGCACAGCATCTAATCTTGGGCTTTATCACTAATATGGTCTGGCCACAGCTTGCCAGGTAATTTGGATTTCAATCCATCCATCCCCTGCTTCTTTCTCTCCATCCACACTCACTGCTCTTATGGGGTTTAGCAGCAGTTAGTGCCTCTCTATATTATGACCTTCTTTCCTTTCTTGCAGGAACCTAGTTCCTGTTTATCCTTCACAGCTCACTCAAGTGACACATCCTCAGGGAAATGACAGTGAGATCCTCCCTTTATGGGTTTCACCCTCTGTTACAGCCACTCTTCATACTTTGTCTCTCCTTAGCTCATCTTGGTTGAAAGTTTGTATATGGCTGTGGATTTTTGATAAACGTCTCTCTTCCCCACTAGGCCGTCTGTTCCTTGAGGACAGGGACCACGACCAGCTTTATTTTGCTCTTCGATTCTCATTTTTCCCAACTGTTGCCCAGCATCCAGCACAGTTCCTGGATCACCCTGGATACAAGTATTTGAATAAATGAATATATGAATAAATGACTCAAAGGGCTGTTTCCTAGCAGACTATTTTAAATATCCTACTCCCTTGTTCCAGTAGGTAAAGACATTTGAATTCAGATAGTTGCTTACAATCAACAAGATGTCCTTTTATTTTAAAATCTTGACTTAGCTTTGTCCATTCAATCGATCCCTCAAAGATGTAGAAATAGCAATAATTTACAAGTGATAATTTGAATTAAAATCACCTAAATCAGAACACCCCAGAACAGTGGTTCTCAAAGATGAGTGCATTGAAATCACCAGGAGTGCTTGTAGGACTAAGGTGAGCCCGCCTCCAGAGTTTCTAAAAGTAGGCCTGGGATGTGGCTCAAGAATTTGCATCTCTATTCGGTTCCCAGGTGATGCTGATAACCCTGGTTGGGGCACCACATTTTGAGAACTTCTGTCCTAGAACAAGCAGAATCACAGAAAGCCTGTGGGGGTCTGAGCATCTCTCAGTTGTAGCTTTTTTGCAAAAAACAAACAAACAAACAAACAAACAAAAACTCTTCTAACTATTCTTATAACCCTTTTACTGAAAATTGAGGTTCAGAATGGTAAATCAGAATTAAAGTGGCATAACCACCCAGCTATCCAGTAAACAGCAGAGTCAAGAAAGGGATCCAGCCCTGATTACAAAGCCTGTGCCCTTTAGCTGTTCCTCTAACTTGCCAAATGGGAAGAATTGCTGAAGGCATTTGTTAATTGTACAGGCAAGTCTCCTGATGAACTGGGTTTGAAAAACCATGCACTGGCTTTACTTACCCAGAGACACAATTGCTGTGACTGGGACTACCCCTGGCCCCATCTTTTGCCTGAGCTACCCCGAGGCTGTTCCATCACTGAACTATGACACAAACCAACTTACCTGGTACTTCTTCTACTGGGATCTCTCCAGAGATGAGCAATAGTGTGCTGCAGTTATGCAAAGTTGCAGAGCAAAAAGGGCCCTTTTGATTTTTTTCCTTTTTTTTTTTTTGAGCATCAAGTTTTATTCCTTGGTGAGCAATTTAAGACACTTTTTAATTAAAAACAGGGCTATTATAGACTGTGTGTGTGTGTGAGAGAGAGAGAGAGAGAGAGAGAGAGTGTGTGTGTGTGTGTGTGTGTGTGTGGTGTGTTTAAGGTAAAACACAGACTTCAGCCGAGCCTCATGCTTGAGATAAATGAATCATTCCTCACCATCATACAACTCCAACCAGAAGTATTACAATATCTTTTCTACTGTTGGGGTAATTTGGTGACAAGTTTAAAAGCTTGTTTGAATCAATACATGAGAAAGTTCTAATATCAGTCAGGGAAACAGTAAGAACATCAAAGGATAATCTACTTTTTATCAGGGGTGTGAAGGTCAATTTCATTCCTGAATGGCAGATAAAAAGGTGAGTCAGACATCATTCGTACCTAACTTCATGAAATCACAATCCTTTGGGGCTAGGGTTGCCAGATAAACTACAGAATGCCTAGTTAAATTTGAATAACAGATAAGAATATTCCATGCAACACTTGGGATTATACCTATACTAAAAAAGTTATTTATTATTTATCTGAAATTCAAATTTAACTAGGTGTCCTGTTTTCTCTCCACCTAAGTCCAACAATCCTAAATGGGGCAGTAAGCGAGTATCTATGCGGTTATAATGCATTTCTGATACTGGTTGGACAATGAGAATTACTTCAAGAGAATTACAAAGGAAGTGGTTTCAGAAGAGGCAGAAGCCATATCTGATGGAGAAACTTAAAGAAGATGATTCAGGAGGTATAATCAAAGTTGAGTCTTGAAAGGGAAGCAAGATTTAGAAGAAGCAAGATCTGGGAGAGTGTTCCTGTCTTGAAAGCAAAGGTACAAAGACAGGAAAATATATAGTAGATTTAGTTAAAGGGAGTATAGATTTTGCATCAAGGACATAACGCTGGAAAGGGGTGATGAAGCCAGGGTACAGAGGTCACAGTGAGCTAAGGCACTTAAGGTTAATCAGTTCCATAGGGACTGGGGAAACTCTGATGGTTTCATTGGATCTGGGCTTCAAGGAAGGTTAATCTAGCAAGAGTTTACAGAATGGATTAGAAGGGCAAGATCAATTAGATGGCTATTTCCTGGTCTATGTCAGTGTTTTTCCAAATATGGGTTACAGCTTATTTAGCAAGTTGTAAAATCAAATAAATTGGTTGTGGCCAGCATTAAAAACACACAGGCTTAATAAAACATAAAAAAATTAGTGTATATCAGCAATCATCGCAGTTTAGTGTTGCTTTTAAAAACACTTGTTTGTTTCATGAAGGGGTGGGTGGTAAGTGATAGATTGTGATATAAAATGTGCTTCTTATGGAGTTGGGGTCCAAAATATTTGAAGGCCATTGGTGTATGCTGTGGATGCGTCAGTTGGTTTCTTTGCTTCGTCCATGCTACCTTCTCAAGGAATCAGTTCTCTCCCACTGATTTTGGCAGTGGCAGCTCAATGTGCTCTATGATCCCAGCTCAACCGAAGACACCTAGATAAGGGTGAACATCTAACCCAAGAGAAAGGAATATATGAACAACCTGAGCCAATCATCCCATCCTGAGGAGAGGTCCAAAAGACATCCCCTGAGGTTATGTGCAATTGTGGGCTGCAGCTGTAAGAACATAAGAAGCACTAGCCAGTCCCCAAGAGATGGAGAGAAGCCCAGTGAAGCTGTTTATGCGCAAAGAGAGTGATTTTGAGTTCTAAATTTCCAACTCTAGTCCTTATGTGGCCAGGCTCTTATTGCTGACCCGTGGATATGTGAGAGATTGCCTGCAGTGTCTGTGTTTTTATTTGCAATAAATTTCTTAAGCATGCTGGAGTAGGTTCAGTTCCTTGTTACCAACTGCTCTCTCACCAAGGCAGACTCTTGGGGAGTGATAATATCAACAAGTAAATATTTATTGTGTAAATATATAATGATAACTATTTGGTGCCTCTGTGTGCCCAGAAACCATAGGCATGACAATCCACTGGTCATGGCCACCGTAAATGTGAATTCTACCAATATCCTATAGGTTCTATATCTTCAGAAATACAATCACTAAGTCACTAAGAGATTAGGCAAATAGCCTTGGGTCACCTGACTACTAAGTGACAGCAGGGACTTGCCTAGGCTCATCATCCTCCACAATCAGTACTTTTGCCACCATATCATTTGATGTGGTGAGTAAAGAGCAAAGACAAGGCCAAGATGGCAAGATCGCAGCCCCTTGACTATGAAAGCTGTTTAAACTCAAGCCCTGTTGTTCTTTCCCTTTAAGTTTCTCCCTTCAACTTTATATTCTGACAGCAGTCAATCCATCCTGCAGCATGAGACTATTTCCATAAAACCCCAAATGAAGTGGAAATGACTATAATACAGTTAATTTGACCAACAGGCAAACCACACAATAATTCAGATTTTAAAAACAAACAAACACTTAGCCCAAAATCTCATTAAGCTGATAAGCAACTTCAGCAAAGTCTCAGGATACAAAATCAATGTGCAAAAATCACAAGCATTCTTATACACAAATAACAGACAAACAGGGAGCCAAATCATGAGTGAACTCCCATTCACAATTGCCAGTAAGAGAATAAAATGCCTACGAATCCAACTTACAAAGGAAGTGAAGGACCTCTTCAAGGAGAACTACAAACAACTGCTCAGTGAATTAAAAGAGGATACAAACAAATGGAAGACATTCCATACTCATGGATAGGAAGAATCAATATCGTGAAAATGGCCATACTGCCCAAGGTAATTTATAGATTCAATGCCATTCCCATCAAACTACCAATGACTTTCTTCACAGAATTGGAAAAGACTACTCTAAAGTTCATATGGAATCAAAAAATAGCCCACATTGCCAAGGCAATCCTAAGCAAAAGGAACAAAGCTAGAGGCATCTCGCTACCTGACTTCAAACTATACTACAAGGCTGCAGTAACCAAAACAACATGGTACTCATACCAAAACAGAGATATAGACCAATGGAACAGAATAGAAGCCTCAGAAATAACACTACACATCAACACTACACATCTACAACCATCTGATCTTTCACAAACCTGACAAAAACAAGAAATGGGGAAAGGATTCCCTATTTAATAAATGGTGCTGGGAAAACTGGCTAGCCATATGTAGAAAGCTGAAACTTGATCCCTTCCTTACACCTCATACAAAAATTAATTCAAAATGGATTAAAGACTTAAATGTTAGACCTAAAACCATAAAAGCCCTGGAAGAAAACCTAGGCAATACCATTCAGGACATAGGCATGGGCAAGGACTTCATGACTAAAACACCAAAAGCAATGGCAACAAAGTCAAAATAGACAAATGGGATCTAATTAAACTAAAGAGCTTCTGCACAGAAAAATAAACTTCCATCATAGTGAACAGGCAACCTACAGAATGGGAGAAAATTTTTGCAATCTACCCATCTGACAAAGGGCTAATATCCAGAATCTACAAAGAACTTAAACAAATTTACAAGAAAAAATTAAACAACCCCATCAAAAAGTGGGTAAAGGATATGAACAGACACTTCTCAAAAGAAGACATTTATGCAGCCAACAGACACATGAAAAAATGCTCATCATCACTGGTCATTAGAGAAATGCAAATCAAAACCACAATGAGATATCATCTCACACCAGTTAGAATGGTGATCATTAAAAAGTCAGGAAACAACAGGTGCTGGAGAGGATGTGGAGAAATAGGAATGTTTTTGCACTGTTGGTGGGAGTGTAAACTAGTTCAACCATTGTGGAAGACAGTGTGGCGATTCCTCAAGGATCTAGAACTAGAAATACCATTTGACCCAGCAATCCCGTTACTGAGTGTATAACCAAAAGATTATAAAACAAGCTACTATAAAGACACATGCACACGTATGTTTACTCTGACACTATTCACAATAGCAAAGACTTGGAACCAATCCAAATGTCCATCAATGATAGACTGGACTAAGAAAATGTGGCACATATACACGATGGAATACTATGCAGCCATAAAACAGGATGAGTTCATGTCTTTTGTAGGGACATGGATGAAGCTGGAAACCATCATTCTGAGCAAACTATCGCAAGGACAGAAAACCAAACACCACATGTTCTCACTCATAGGTGGGAATTGAACAATGAGAACACCTGGACACAGGGCAGGGAACATCACACACTGGGGCCTGTCATGGGGTGGGGGGCAGAGGAAGTGATAGCATTAGGAGAAATACCTAATGTAAATGACAAGTTAATGGGTGCAGCAGACCAACACAGCACATGTATACATATGTAATAAACCTGCACGTTGTTCACATGTACCCTAGAACTTAAAGTATAATAAAAACAAAAAACCAAAACAAAACAAACAAACAAATAAACCAAAAAACCTTCTTTAGAAATGGTTTGTCTTCCCTAATTGCTGGTTCCAGTTCAATACTGGCTGCATGTGTAAGACCAGCAAGACCCTGGGGAGGCCATCAACAGGTGCAGAATGGCAGGACCCTTCAATCCTCACCTATTCCCTTGGTCCCTTTAGTACTGTGTCCACCTTTCTTCCTTCCTCCCATGTGGATTGAGGGTGACCCAAGGCTGCTGTGTGCTATCTTCCTGCTCTAAACCATTAATGGTTCTATTTCCTTCAGGACACAATTCACATTATGATATTCAGGACCCTCCAGAACCTGGACCTGACCTGAAATAGAAGAACTCCCAACTTACATTCCACAGCTCATTCTTACATTCATGCATGCATTTATTTGTGCATGTATTTGTACAAAGAACGTTTGTGTTTTTACCTTGTTCCAGATCTGTTTTAGCTTATTGGACACTCAAAAATTTAATAATAATAAAATGAACATTTATCATGTGCCAGACATGGGCCAAGTTCTAGGCTAAGCGATTTATCTGCACTAACCTATGTTGTCTTCATCACAAATATAGGACATGAGTAACATTGTCTTCCATTTTACATTTGATGAAACCAAGGCATAAATAAGGTGTTTACCTTCCTTATTGTTCCCACTGCATCTCTAGAATGAGACCTACCTAGCTCCTGTCCATAAGCAGCTCATTGTCTAGAAGGAGAAACAGATGTGAAAACACAATTAAATGCAAATGGAGAGTATTATAAAGAAAGTATGAAAAAAAGGGTCAATCTCATCATATCAGTTTACGTATTATACCCCAAGCACCAGTAGCAAATTTCTACCCTTTGCCTTTGCTCACAGATCGCCCTTGACTGGGGTCCACTTCCTACCTACCTAGTTTGTCTAACCTCATTGCTACATTAGGACATATGCACCTTAGAACCCTTTTCAGAATGCTTATCTCAGAATCCTTCTCAGCACTACCCTCAAGGCAGCTGCTATCAATCACAGAAGTCCACCTTTCTCCATGGTTTCATTTTCCTTGGTTTCAGTTACCCACAGTCAACTGTAGTTCAAAAATATTAAATAAAAAATTCCAGAAATAAAAAAAATTAAGTTTTAAACTGTGCACCTTTCTGAGTAATGTGCTGAAATCTAATGCCATCCCACTTCGTCCACCCAGGGTGTGAATCATTCCCTTGTCCAGCAGCTCTAGGCTGTCTATGCTACCCACCCATAGTCACCTAATGGTTATCAGATTGATTGTGAAAGTGTTAAAGTGCTTGTGTTCAGGGAATCCTTATTTTACCTTTGTTTCAGTGTATTATAATTGTTTTATTTTATGATTAGTTATTGTTAATCACTTGCTATGCCTAATTTGTAAATTAAATTTTATCATAGATACGTATGTATAGGAAAAAAAACAGTACACATAGGTTTCAGTCCTATCGGCAGTTTCAATAATCCACTGGGGGAGTCTTGAATCGGTTCCCCTGCAGATAAGGAGAAACTACTGTAACTGGAATTGGCACATAATATAAACGTATTTTGTCTCTCAGAGTTAAACTACCTTGACTCATTTTATAATTGAGAAAGTTGAGGCTTGGAGAGCTTGAATAACCAGTCTAAGTTCACACAGTGAGTTAGACAGACCCAGACCCAGAAACAAGCGCTCTTCCCTGCCACTCCAGGGCTCTTTCTCTTGCCTCACATCCTCCCATTCTTAGCCTGCCCATGTCATCTATTGCCAATCATAAGAAATGATGGTAAATGAAATCCAAGTAAGCCAAGAAGGAGAAGGGAAGTAAAATGCCAATTACTCAGTCCTGACAGACTGGGCGCCCGCTTGCAAGCTGCAGAGGGATACACCTACAGAAAATGTCTTTAATTAGAGACAGATTCTCATGAAAGGTTGGCAGTGTCTCTGAAATCCTTGTTTTCATTTAAATGCATGGAACACTATTCATTTATATCATTTCCATGCCATATTTGAGTTGAGGAATATTAAATATTTATTCCCCATCAGTTTCTGAGTAACATGCTGCTCAACTTTCCTATTTACTAACACTACTGATGTATTTAGTCCATCGCTACATTTCCAGTTGCATATTTAAAATATTACTTTAAGTCAATTCTTAGGTATTTAAAGAAAATTTAAATTTACAAACAAAAGCATAGGAATTATACACCTGTAAGATAAAGTACTAGGCTTCTCATGGTCATTAAGTTCCATGGTGTAGTGGAAAGGGCCTTTAGAACCAAGACTGGAGTTTTCATCAAAACTCTGTTTTTGCCTGCTGTGTGGCCTTGACAAGTTAATTAACCCCTCTGAGCCTGGTTGCTCATCTCTCTCAGAGATGCAAGGTTGGTATTTGACAAGAAGAACTATATTATGTCTGATTCCAAAAATGGTAGCTATTGTTATTCTTCATCCCACCCTCCACATCTTTGCTTATGCTATGCTACGCTTGGAAAGCCCTCCTGGATGCTTAAATTTTCCACATCCAGCAGGTCTATTACAAGTCCCTCTTCAGTAAAGCTTACCTTGTCCAGTCCCACCCACGATGATCACTCCCTCCTCTGAATTGCAAGACTGCTTATAATTTTAGCCAGTCATTTGGATAACTGATATATATTTCCTTAGATTGTTATTTAACTTACAATGTGTATTTCTGCTTTCATGCTAAAAATGTTGTCTTTTTTGTCTACTTTATGCTAAGATCATAATAGCAAATAGTTAGTAAGCACTTACCCCATTGCCAGCTATATGGGCCTCTTTGTGTGGTCGCTGCACATGTGTGAGTTTGGGCTTTCTCACTGAATGGTGGTGGAGTCCCAAGGACAAGTATCTTGGCGGAGTTAGAGCGCCAGGCCCTGATCCCTCACCTGGAACTTACATGGCATCACTTCCACTATGCTCTATTGGTTGGTGCAGTCACAAGCTCATCCAGGAACAAGAGGAGAGGCAACAGACTCCACTTTAGATTGGGGAGTGACAAGGTAGTAAAAAAACATGAGAGACCAGAAATATTGCTGTAACTATATGGGGGAAATACAGTATGCCACAGAATATAAGTGCCATCAGGGCAAGAAATTCTGTCTGTTTGGTTCTCTAGTTGGTTCCCTTGTCTAGGGCAGAACTAACCCCCAGTATACACAGTTCATTTTTGTTGGATGAATGAAAGAATACCAGTTTGCCAGACCTGTGACTCATCAAATGCCTTGACCCCCTGAAGAGAATGGATCTGTCTGAAGACAGAGCTAAGACTAAACCTGGAATTGCTGCTTCCAATCTCACATTCTTTCCACACCCCAAATTCTGAGTCTCTTGGATGAAGTTACTGGGAAAAGCCAAGAGTAAAAACTACATTTTGATTTGTTTTGAAGCTCCCAGAGAGCTCCTACAAGTAACAACCCTTCTCCCAACAAAATATCAGTACTATAAATTGCTAGTTGTTAAGAAACTTGTAGGAGTGCGCTATAGTCATGGAAATAGCCGAGGCCTAGAGAACAATTATCACAGAATTGATTGCCTATGACTCAATCCAATGAGATTTGGATTGTCCTGTGTTATGAGGTGGCAATGAACCCAGTGCTGTAATATTTTGGAAGGACAATTCATTGCCCTCTAAATAGGATTTCAAGCAATTTAAGCCAAAAGAACTTCTGCATGGGACTTCTGATGGAATTTTGTGCAGCTCCTTTGCAATGTATGTTTAGAAAGTAACTGCGAGGCTGGTTGCAATGTGTTAGTGTTCTGGTTTCAGAACATTGTGTAGTGTTTATATCATCTAATTAAACCAATTTGTTAGCAAGTTAGTATTAGATGATACTGTTAAACATCATCTAGAGCAGACAGAGAATAAATCAAAGGTCAGAGCAAAGCCTGCAACATTTCCCAGTTAGAATACTGATAAGATGAAGGAAAGACAAGACAAAGCTTGAGAGCAACAATAGATCCAAGTGGTTAGAAACATTAACTTTGCCACCAGGTTCTCTGATTCAGACAGCCCCTCCATCATCTATTACCTGTTAAGACTTTGCAAATGATTCAAGCTTCCTATCCCACAGTCTCCAAAATGAAGATAATCATGTACCCATGGCTTTGTTTGAAGCTCATGAAAATTCTCAAATATAAAGCATTTAGAAGAGTGTTTTGGACATGACAATGCTATATACGTATTAGCTGTGGTTATTCTTATGCAAGAGATTCATCCACTAAACATTGGTGCATCCCTCAGCAAAGAATTATTTGCATCAATAGCCATGAACCTCTGCTTCTAGAGCAGAAACACAAACTCCAAAGCCATATACCCAGCCTCTATGCCTTGACATCTCCATCATGAAGGCTCTTTATTTTCCCTTTTCTAAGCACTGCATTTGCAGTTATCGTTAGCTGAAGGAGCCACCCAGAATCTGCTTTGACAAACCATTTTCCTACAGACACTGGAGGAGGAGGAGAAGCAAAAGCTGAACTTCCACTATAAGAACCACGGTCTAAAGCGTACTGAGCTGGGTAGTTTCCCTGCAATGAGGCTGTAGGGAGAGAGATGACAAGGAAGCAGCCCAAAGGATGCCCAGACTTGGAAAAAGTAAAGCTTGGCAAAAAGCATGAACTATCCTCCCGCTCTTTAAGAAAGGAGAAGGCTCACTACTCCTGCTCCCATCCCTCACCATGGCTGGCTTGATGATTTCCTCTATGTTTGCCCCATAATGTTCATCTAGACAGACAGAGGCCCTTTTTCCCTGACTTCTCTGCTAGATCTTTTTTATATAGGGTAGCTATAGAAAGCCAAGTGAAACCCCTTGTCTCTTCCCACAGAACTACTTCCAGATGTGGGTGACATTAGGGTGACATCAAGCCTTGACATTGTCTGAGCAGAAATCTGAGTTGTTGGACCCCTGCTGCTTTACACAAAATGTTACTGAGCTCCCCTACCTGCTAAGTGTTCTGTCAAATCCTCACCACAACCCTATGAAGTAGGTGCTATGACTGTACCTATTTCCTAGATGAGAAAACAATGGCTCAGAGAAATTAAATAACTTATCCAAGGTAGCATAGGAAGATCAAAGCTGAGATTCAGACTAAGACCTACCTGGTTTTAAAACCTATGCTATCAAGATTTGTGGGAAACTGGGTGCATACTCCAGAATCCTGGTGGCTGCCTGCAGGGCCTAGGTTGTTCTGGCCTCTGGTTTCCTCTCTAAACCCTTCTCTCTCCCTCCCTCATGCAATTTCGACCACACTGGCCTCCTCAATATTCCTTAAAGATGCCAGGCATGGCCTTGCCTTAGGCCATTTTTCTAGATATTTTCTAAGCATGGAACATTTCAGCCAAAAATATCCCTCGAATCACTGTCTTACTTCAAGATTTTGCTCACATTTCACCTTTTATTGTTTTTTAAAATAGCAATGGATCAGATTACTGTATTCCTGTTGAATCTAAAAATTTTTTAAAGGGGGACTTGACCTTATATATCTTTTAAAATTCTATGTTCCTTTTTTAAAAAAAAACTTTTAGGTTCAGGGGTACATGTGCATGTTTGTAATATAGGTAAACTCATGTATGGGAGTTTGGTGTACAGATGATTTCATCACCCAGGTACTAAGCCTAGGACCCAATAGTTATTTTTTGTGATCCTCTCCCTCCTCCCACGTCCACCCTCAAGTAGGCCCCACTGTCTGTTGTTCTTCTCTTTGTGTCCATGTGTTCTCATCATTTAGCTCCCACGTATAAGTGAGAACATACAGCATTTGCTTTTCTGTACCTGCATTAAGTTGCTAAGGATAATAGCCTTCAGCTCCATCCATGTTCCTGCAGAAGACATGATCTCATTCTTTTTTATGGCTGCAACATCTCAGCTCTTCAATCAAACATATTCTGACCTCTTCAATACTACAAACTGCCTCCCTTCCTCCACTCACCCTAATCTCTTCAACCAGGTTGACTTTCTTTCTTTCTTTCTTTCTTTCTTTCTTTCTTTCTTTTAATTTTTTTTTAAATTATACTTTAAGTTCTCAGGTACATGTGTACAACGTGCAGGTTTGTTACATATGTATACATGTGCCGTGTTGGTTTGCTGCACCCATTAACTAGTCATTTACATTTGGTATTTCTCCTAATGCTATCCCTTCCCCATCCCCCCCCAACCCCACAACAGGCCCCGGTGTGTGATGTTCCCCACCCTGAGTCCAAGTGTTCTCATTGTTCAGTCTCCACCTATGAGTGAGAACATGCGGTGTTTGGTTTTCTGTCCTTGCGATAGTTTGCTCAGAATGATGGTTTCCAGCTTCATCCATGTCCCTACAAAGGACATGAACTCATCGTTTTTTATGGCTGCATAGCATTCCATGGTGTACATGTGCCACATTTTCTTAGTCCAGTCCATCATTGATGGACATTTGGGTTGGTTCCAAGTCTTTGCTATTGTGAATAGTGTCACAGTAAACATACGTGTGCATGTGTCTTTATAGTAGCATGATTTACAATCTTTTGGTTATACACTCAGTAACGGGATTGCTGGGTCAAATGGTATTTCTAGTTCTAGATCCTTGAGGAATCGCCACACTGTCTTCCTTTTATCTTTTTCTTTTTCTTTTTTTTTTTTTCCCATGATCTTGGCTCACTACAACCTCTGCCTGGCTCAAGCCATCCTCCTACCTCAGCCTCCTGAGTAGCTGGGACTACAGGCACGCACCAAGCCCGGCTAATTTTTTTTCTTTCTTTTTTCTTTTTTTTCTTTCGGAGAGACAGGGTCTCACAATGTTGCTCAGGCTGGTCTCAAACTCCTGGGCTCAAGGGATCCTCCAGTCACAACCTCTCAAAGTGCTGAGATTATAGGTGTCAGCCACCAAGCCCAGCCGACCTTTCTTTCTTCTCTATTCTTATGCTTGCAGGTTTTCACACGCCTGAATCATGTTTCACAAAAATCTTTCCAATATCTCTCAGTATTTATTTAGAATTTGACGATATTATATTTACATTCAGCATTTTTCTCCACAATCTTTAAGATTTCCTTCCTTCCTTCCAAGATGTGATGAGCCACCTACTACAAGCCTGGCACTCTACCAGTTTCTGGCAATGAAATGATGAAAAATGTACCATCTTTGACCTCTAAAAGATCATGTCTTCGAAGAAGATGCCCAGTCCTAGGTTCATTTGCTAGTGATTTCTTCAGCCCTCCTGGAAGAAAATCAGGAAAGGATTTGGAAAATCAGGACAGTGGGTGGAACAAATTCAATCAAAGATGCTATTTTTGGCAAAATCTCAGCCTAGAACTGATCCTGTCAAGGAGGTCCGGAGTCTAATTTGCCTCTGAGAATGTGTCCTACCTACAGGCCAAGGAGCTGGGCTTTCCTATCCTCAGCCCAGTCAGTCCTGAGCTAAGCACTGCCCTGGAATTGAAATAAACCCCCAGGCACTTCCACCTCTGTACCTGAAGTAGCTCTAGAAGCCCCAGGCCAAAGAGAGCTGCAGGTGCTGGCCATTAGGAGCAGCAGCACAGGAAGATGACCTTGGGGGATGCAGTAAAGGAGAGTCTATGGGACTTGGGTGGGGCATAGATAGTGTCCCCTCTGCTTAACTCACTTCAGGAATCAGTTTGGAACTTGATTGTTTTCTATTTTTTGTTATGTTTCTCCCACTCCCACCCCCACCCCTGTGTCTTCCACATTTCTTCCTCCCTACAGGTGTGTTTGCTGAGTACCTGTACTGGACCAAACACTGTGCCAGGGGCTGAACACTCATCCTCTGTTCTCACTGAGTCGCCTGCTGCCGCTCACTGAAACACACCATGCACCTTTACTACATGGATGTTTGTAGCATAAATAACTCTCATTTCCCATTTATTCTATTGAATATTTACTTAAACCAATTGGAGGATTCCCCATTACCTTTCTTTAAAATGTATTTGATTTCCTCTTCCCAGGTACTCAGCATCTATAAGGTGTTTAGAGAATTCCTCCCAGTTTTGTGCAACCCATGAATCTAGTCAGTAACAAGTCACCCACAGAATCATACTAAAGATATGTCTAGAGATAAATGTCTAGATTGGCACAGGTACAACTGACCAGTACTTCTGGAAATGTGTGCTTAGTCAGTTCCAACAGGCTTTACTCTCTGGATTATTTTTTTTCCCTTTTGGGATTTCATAGAAGATTCTGTCACATTCATTTAACATAATCCAGTCATGCCATATCTGTGGCATTCTCCTGAATTGCCTAGAGCTTCACGGAAGGAATGCCTTGGAGTCAGAATACTTAGTTCAAATCCTTGATTCATCACATCTCACATGTTACCTGGGGCAAAACACATTAAATCTCAGGTGTTTTGTTGTTCTTGTTATTGTTGTTGTTTTTGGGGTTTTGTTTGTTCATAAAATGGGGGAAATAGACTATCTCATAAAAATATTCTGAGTAACTGTTACATACCCAAAAAAGTGGTCAATAACTTGAACCTGGGAGGTGGAGCTTGCAGTGAGCCGAGATTGCGCCACTGCACTCCAGCCTGGGTGACAGAGCAAGACTCCATCTCAAAAAAAAAAAAAAAAAAAAAAGTCAATAAATTGTGGCCATTTCTTACACTTTTCTCATTAAAAAAAAGAAAAAAAACTACAGTTTTGCATCTTTGTCCATGAGGAACAATACTATCTCAGTTATCTGTTGCCACAATCATAGTGAATACCAAACAACCCCCAAACCTCAATGGTATACAACAATTAACATTTATTTGTGCTCATAAGTCTATGGGTCAACTGGGTGATTCTGTGGATCTAGACTGTGCTTGGCTGATCTAATTTGGTCTCCCTCACATGTCTGAGGTCACTGGTAAATTCACTGGGTTTGACTGGTCTAGGATGGCCTCCTCTGGCCCAGCTGGTCTCGCCTCCATATGATCTCTTCTCCTTCAGCAGCCTAGCCTGAGCTGGTTCTCATGGCATGGTAGGAGGACAAGAGAGACAACAGAAACTTGGAAAGTGTCTTGAGAGGCCCAGACTCGGAAATAGCATACCATCAGTTCTGCCATATACATTGGCCAAAGCAAGCTAAAGGACTGCCAATACTCAAGGGAGTGGGTGTACCTGGCTTCATCTCTTGATAAGAGATGCTGCACAGTCACATCACAAGGCAGTAGACACAAGAAAGCCATTAATCAGGGTCAAAATGTAATCGACCTACTACAAATACATTTATTTTTCCTTCTTCATACATGTCCTTATGCAAAGCCTTTGCTACTCTGTCTTAATCTTGCTGATCTGATGCCACTTGCCTTTATTCCCCAACATGTGCCTTCTATCTTGGCTAGCTCAGGCTCCAGCCTTTGCCTCTGTGGCCTCAGCATCTTAGCTCTCAGGAACAGTGCAGTCTTTCTCTCTCTCACCATTCAAGCCCTACTGATCCTTCCAATCTTAGCTTAAGTCTTATCTCCTTCCTGTATCCATCCCAGACTTCTCCTGAGTCTTCTGAAACACTTATTAACACTGGCTAGTAAATGCAAGTAATTCAGGTTAAGTATGTTTCTAAATCTAGGGGTTACATAAAAGTTAGAAGGTATTAGGAATTGTTTTTAATTGACTGGCTACCCCTAGGAGAAGATTGCAGAGAGGAAAGACCACAGAGGGAGGTAGTATAGAATACTTAGGCAAAGTCCTGGCAGTCAGACCAACTCACCCATTCACAAGCTGTGTGACTGGATAAGTCACTCCAGCCCTCTGAATCTAAAATGTATAATCTGTTAAATAAAATACTATCTCATAGAGCTTTCTTGGGGATTAAATACAATAATGTACATAAGGCATGCAGTACAGTGCCTAGCACATAATATTCAGTAAATGTTAGCTACAGCTATAGCTGCCACTAGGAATCATATTCCATGATAATAGTAATTTATTCATTCTTCCCTCCTCTCCCCAATGTCTCTGGCTGAATGAGGTAAGTCAAATTCACCAACCCATTCTTTGGCTTTTTTACTTGGACTACACAGGTGAGTTACTCTAGAAAGAACCCTTTGCTTATATGATGAAAGTGTTATCCAAAATGTCAAGGTTTACTATTTAGAAATGGATAAATCAAATGTGTTTTTGTAATGAGTATTATATTTAGTCTTCTTGGCTTACTTAATCATATTTAACTTGGCTCTTATCTCCAGTCTAACCTTAGCTATTTGGAAATCTGAGCCATGATGGCTGCCCACTTCCTGGGAGTTGAATCTTCCATTTATCTCATAACCTGAGCAATACTTTCCTGATATAATTTGTTTCTTTCCAAAATATTGCCACCTTCAGATGCTTAGAAGCTCATTAGTGTTCTGAATCAAAAAAAGTTGTTAAAAACTGTACAATGTGCAACAGGTTTAGCTTAAACCCAGGAAATTACAAAATGGTACACAAAATTTCTCATCAAAAAGAACTGGATTGGATTGTATGCTCCGAAGGCACCAGGACCATGATCACATCATTAACAAATATATACACAACATCACAGTGCCTGGCACACAGTAGGCCATCAATAAATATGTGTGGGATGAATGAATGAATGCACTAGATTACAACGAATTTCAAATTTTCTAGTGAAAAAAATATTGCAGGTCTTAAGCCAGTTTGAATTTGTGAAGGATCAAAGCAGGATATTAATTCATTTACTAAAATCCCCAGTTTGCCAGTCTAGTGGCTCTCTCAAGAAAAGGAAATCAGATTAGATTACAAATAATTACCTTAACGATTTTCCTCTGGGGATATTTTTTCTCTCTAATCTATACTACAAATTGCCTCCAAATTAATCTTCTTGAAATTTAATCTTTTATTAATTTATTCCTAGCATCAACTATCATATCTTTTTCTCTCTCACTTCTTAGAGTCATTCATCAAGTATTTTAATTAAACAATAATAACATTCTTTTAAAGTCTAATATTTCCATTTCAATGGGTGTAGGTAACTGTTGTGATTTCTATGCCTAAGGTAGAAATGTCTTAGAAATATGCTATTTCACCAGAAAGAAAAATGTCCCTCTCAAGCCATATATATTTCACTCTTTTTTTATTACAAGTTATTTAAACAATCAGGAGGAGAATGGGGATCCCAGGGGCAAATAGCATCATTCAGCCTGTTGAGATCCTTCTCTGGCATGTGGCGGCAAAATGCATATATGCAGCTATTTTGAAAAAAGAACATTTAGACTAAGATAACTACCTTGGAGAGCTAAACTTTTACACAACCCTCTTAGAGAAGCTTGTTCTACTCTTAAGACCTTATGAAATTGGTAACCATTTTCCAGAATATAATATTTATAATAATGATAATATACCTACTATTTATACAGTACTTATTTGTATGTGCGCCACAATGCTAAAGGTTGTACATGATCTATTTATTTACTCTTCACCTCTCTATAAAGTACTTACTGTTGTAATCCCAATTTCATAGATGAGGAACCTGAAACTTAAAATGTTAATTAACTTGCCCAAGGTCACCCACGTAGCAAAAAGCAGACTGGGATTCAAGCAGCCAGCTGACATGACCACCTGCTCTTTTAATCCCTGGTTATACTGACCCTATATATTTTCTCTAAATGGCAGAAGGGTGGAAAGAAATGTTTGTTTGTTTTTTTACTGTTTGCTTAGCATGAGTCTTTCAATATTTCTTCTTTGATTCATTCTATAGGTATTGCAAGCCTCTGCACTGGACACTGTTAAGAACTCTGACTGATAGATTAATGAAAGTTGACAATGTTGGAGAAGGGGAGTGAATACAAAAAAAAATTAGCATCGAACATGTAACAAGTGCTGTAGTACATGTTTCCATAATTATTTCTTTGAATCAACACACCAGCACCACCCCCGACAGAGTGCCTACCACAGAGTAAGTACTGCCAATCTGAAATAATTGAAAGGATCAGAATCTAGTTTTAAAGGGTTTATTCAAGAGAAAAACTGTGCTTGGCCCTCTAGGAAACACAAACTTTAGAGAAATGGAGTCAGTGCTCCAAAGTTAAAAGTTAAGGTCTTGCTTATATAAGCAGAAAACAAAGAAATCTAGTAGGATTATCACATTTTCTATACAAGGTTGGTTTATGAGTTACACAAATTTAATTAGTTACAGTTTGTTTCCTTTTTCATACCTCTTGTTTTCTTTTCTTTACAGTTTGTTTTCATTTCCTTTCCAATTTAAAAGAGTGTACTTAATGTTCCATCTTAGACAACATGATAGTCATGAAGATTTTGCGTGAGAAAGGTAAGAAGGAACTTTATCTATAATGAAGATCAATAATGAAGAAGGAAGAGGTCTTCCTTGGCTCTCTTTAGTCACTTACAACATTTTACCAAATAATGTGTGTAAGCAAAAGGCTAATCTAATCAGAGAAAAAAACTTTACATCTGCCTAGGTTACAATTGCCTGTCATGTGACTGGGATCTCATAATCACATTCCCTTAAGACTCAAAACATTTTAAAGTTCCAACAGCTTGGATTTTTAATTTCTTATTTTCACAGTACCCCATAAATATATGTTGAATCAAACAGTCAAACTCCTTCTGCAAAGTAGGGAGCATAAGGTGACAGATCTGGGGATGTATTAGTCGGGGTTCTCTGGAGGGACAGAACTGGGAGTTTATTAAGAATTGACTCTAACAATCAAGGTGGAGTCGCACGATTGGCTGTCTGCAAGTTGAGAAACAAAGAAGCCAGTAGTGGCTCAGTCCAAGTCCCAAAACCTCAAAAGTAAGGAAGACGACAGTGCAGCCTTCAGTCTGTGGCCAAGGCCTGGAGAGCCCCTCACAAACCACTGGTGTTAAGTCCAAGAGTCTAAAAGCCAAAGAACATGGAGCCTGATGTTCCAGGCAGGAGGCATCCAGCACGGAAAAAGATGAAGGCCGGAAGACTCAGCAAGTCAGCTCCTTTCACCTTCTTCTGCCTGCCTTTTCTAGCTGCACTGGCAGCTGATTGGATGGTGCCCACTCAAATTGTGGGTGGGTCTTCCTGAGGATGGGTCATCCTCTCTTAGTCCACTGACTCAAATGTTCATCTCCTCTGGCAACACCAGATACACCCAGAAACAATACTTTGCATCCTTCGATCCAATCAAGTTGACACTTAATATTAACCATCATGGGGGCTACCCAAAGGACCCACTTTTTGCAAAATTTGTAATGACTCAACCTCCCAATCAGGAGAGCTGTGAAAATGGATTCATGAACATGAATTTTTCAATAGAAAGACAATAATGTAAAAATGTGAACATGTTTTTCAGACTAGATATAGCTGAAGTTTACTTCTATAAACCACCAGAAATAATGGCCAAGAATGTGTTAGTTAAAATATTACACATAAGCGGGATCTGAGACAGGGTCTTGAGTCAAATTTTATAGGTTATTTATCAAGATAAGGGTCCCAAAGTACAGAGAAGATGGTGGGAGTAGTCCCGTGGACACAAAGAGATAAAGGGAGAGAATCCAGAGACCAGACTTATCATAGATAAAAACTTAAAGCAGGATTCTGCCAGATGGAGCAGATCTGCTAACATTTCCCTTAAAATTTAATGTAGAATGCCCCTCACATCTGCCTACCAGCAGTCCCAATACCTTTCCAGATATCCTTTCAAAGCCATCCTTTGCAAACACTTGGCTAACAGTTTCACATCCCTCTTGCTTCTGGTGTTTTGGAGGGTTGTGGGAGGAGATAGAAAGCCAGAAACATCAATCTCTACTTTTAGATTGCTTCTTTTCTGCTAACCTTGGGGTAATAGCAAATGGCTAGAAAGGGAAAAACTCCAGAAAACATTAAGGGCTTTGAAAATCAGATCCAGGAGAGAAGCTGTCTCTTCCCTTTCGCTTAGGAGGAAAGGAGACTGGGAGAAGATAAGTAATTTGCCTGAGGTCCTATAGTGGGTGGTAGGTCTGGAATTTGAGCTCAGATCTCTCTGCCTCCAAAGCATGTACCCATACTCAAAATGAAGAGGATAAAACTGAAAGCTTTCCAAAATAAGTATTCAAATTAGAATTCAGGACAAATCTTATGGAGACATGGTAACAAAAATCAAGCAGCAAGATTGACTACGGACATTCTGCTTCAGCAAAGTCTTGGGCTCTTAAACAGCAGGGAACTAAAACAACAGATTGGGGTGTAGAGTTTGTGGTGGGGCACGGAACAGATTGTTTAAAGAACCTTGTTAAAAGAAACTACTATCTATTTTTAGAGTGCCAAAAGGTGGAGAGAAGGGAAAAACTATTTTACACAATATGTCATGGTGGTGCAAAACTGTTTGAATATTTTGGAATTGGAAATTTAAGTTATTCGTAAAATTTATTAAGTCAGAACTGAGATTATACATTTAGCAAAAGGAAAATGTTACCTGCTAGAAACATTCCCTTCTTAGTGGTCATGACCTCCTAGAGTTAAAGAATTAATATGAAGAGGACAAAAACCAAAATATTATTTGTGGAGTTATAAGAGTTCTGAGAGATATTTTGTCTTCATAAGAGCCTCTAAAAATACGAAGGAAGGTAGTCATGCAACAAATCCAAACCCAGTTCAAAGGAGTAGACTTTGATACATTTTTGTGTGGGTTAAAACCTTTCTAAAACAAAGGAAGAATCAGAAACTGTCACAGGATGCAGAAGATTTGAAAATATAGAGACTTAGGAAGCATAATAATTAAAACCAACATAGTTCCCTAAATTGGAGCCTGCAACGGAAAGAAGACATTAATGGAAAAACTGGTGAAATTCAAATAAAGCCAGAGCTTAGTCCTTAGTTGGTTCAGTAATGTACCAATGTCAGTTTCTTAGTTTTGACAAGGATACCATGGTAATGTACCATACAAGAAACTGGGTGAGGAATGTACAGGAACTCTCTGTACTATCTTTGCAACTTTTCTGTAAATGTTAAATGATTGTAAAAATAAAAAGTCACTGTAAAATACCCTTTATAGCCCACTACAATATTTTTGCAATGTTCATCTAATTCAGTGTTTTCTTCCCTTATCACCATAGTAACCTGCATCCTATAACATGTGGTGGGGTTCCAAGAGAGGAGGAAGAGGCAAATGTGACCTTGATTCACAATCAGGAGACATTGTCCATAAAGGGCTCCTCCAGCAACTTTGTCCTTGTATTGTCAGTACTTGTCACCTTGGGGGATATGTAACACCCACCCATGAACATGGGAAATATTCCAGTTAGTGTTCCTGATTTTCTTGGCATTTAAGGATATTTCTTAGTCCATAAGCATTGTGCCTGGTTTCAAGAATCTACAACCATAAAAATATTCAGAATACATAAATGTACATATCCTGTAGGGAGGAAGAAGGCCAAACTTTCTGAAAAATAAAAATAACATCCTAAGCACCCCAACTGATTGAATGGACTCCTCTTGGCCAAGGAGACGCCAGAAACACCTTAAAAACTGAATTCCCAGCCATGGTAGGACAGGAGTTCAGACATGCTTCAGTATGCCCCTTCTTTATTAACCTTTGTCCAGAATTCTTTCCTAAGGAGTAGGCAGAAACCAGTTCTAGAAAACAAGAAATGAACAACTCATTCCTTTAATAACATTTAGCCAGTCATCTGAGGC
This sequence comes from Homo sapiens, assembly GCF_000001405.40. NCBI lineage: Eukaryota > Metazoa > Chordata > Mammalia > Primates > Hominidae > Homo > Homo sapiens. The sequence goes on along the minus strand of NC_000003.12, from coordinate 62,899,373 downwards.
TGCAGTCAGACTCCCCACCTCTCTTTGCAATTTCCAGTGACAGCTCAGCAGTTTCACAATGCACCCTCTCCTGATAAGAGATTGACAACCCTGAAGCCCTTCTGGATAGTCTATGAGGATGTGAGGATGTACAGAGAGGGCTTTCATGTCCTCTGCTTTATCTTTTGATATCAGAGAGCAGAAAACTCCACCCTCAGATCATGCTCACACTGCTTTTTTTTTTCTCTCTCTCTCTTTCACTCTCTGTTTCCCAGGCTAGAGAGTATAGTGGGAAAATCTCAGCTCCCCTTTGAACTCCTGGGCTCAAGTGATCCTCCCACCATAATCTTCCAGGTAGCTGGGACCACAGGTAAGCACCACCACACTGGACTTTTTTTTTTTTTTTTTTTTTGGTAGGACTAGAGTATCACTATATTACCCAGGCTGGTCTCAAGCTCCTGGGCTTAAAGGATACTCCTGCCTCAGCCTTCCAAAGTACAAGGATTACAGGCATGAGCCACCACCCTTAGCATAATGCTGCCATTTTTTGAACAGGCAACCCATGAAGAGGCATGATACTCAATTGTACATATGCATGTTTCTCCTGTCATAATTATTCATGACTCCTTCTATAGCTTATTGAATATGTATACTTAGTTAACGTGTTCAGCATACATCCATATCTTATCTTTCCTACCCTCGAAGTGTCTGTCTCAGACTTCTGGCAGGAGGCTATGCTTCCCAGCCTACAGAATGGCTATTCTGAAGACTGCAATTCTTTATGAGAAATAAAGCTCTCCTTTCTAAACTTATGAACCTTGTGATTCCTCAGTTGAGATTTCTAAGAAAAAGCTACTATGGAAAGGCCCTAACCATAAACATGGAGATCTCAGAAGGTAGAAAACTGTTATGGCACTAACTTAGAGATCAAAGAGAAAAACAAATTACTGACCAAATTCTAACTCTCTTTGGGAGACAGGAAAAAAGACACAAAAAGATCCCACGATTGGGAAAAATCCAAAAAGCATTTAGAACATTGGATGTTGTTTTCTGAAATTTTTATTATTTAGCATCGATCAGTTACTTATTAAATCTCTACCATGTGCTAATCAGAGTTGTGTATATACAACATTCCTTCACCTAAAGAGCGATTAACACTTTTGTAAAAGTACCTATAATAAACTGCCCAACAGAGACACCAAAATTGCTGAAATATATGTAATTCCCCCAAACATGAGCTGAAGCAAAAAAATCATGATGCAAGCTGAATTCAGCATAAACTGAGGAAAGTAAGTTCTAGCATATGATAGAAATGTAAAACAACTTTTGATTTTAAAGGTATGATACAGAATATTCTGTGGCTCCCTTTGTAGTATGTCTGTGATAGACAGGGTAAATACTCTTCATCATTATGTGAATATATATACATTATAATTCTTACAACAAATCAATGAAGAAGATAATTTAAAAGACTAAACCACTTAATTCTTCACCTGCAAGCCAGAGAATTAAGTCCATTAGTTTAACATTGTCTCAGTTTGAAACATCAAGTAAAGAAAATAATTTTCTTTAAAAGAAAGAAGAAAAGAAAACAAAAAAGAGAGACAGAAACAGAGAAGGAGGAATAAGGCAAGGGAGAAAGGGAGGAGAGAAGGAAGGACGAAGAGAGGGAAGAACAGGTCTGCTAAAGACAGATAGTGCCAGGGGCTTGGTTTAATATGCCAGCATTTTTTCTCTCACTCAAAATGCTTAAGACTGTGTTCCTTTTCCAGAAATACTGAGTTTAGGAAACATTCCCATAGTTACATGATGCTTTCTAAGAGGAAAAAAAATAATAGATTTGTCTATTTGGTCTTTATTAAACAGTAACCATTCTACTGGCTCCTTAATGAAAATGCCATCATAAAGGAGAGCTTTGGAAGAAAACATCTAGTCTCTTCCCTTTTCTTGGGGTTTGTTATTATTTTTATTGATAAGATGTTGATTCTAAAGATCAGAAGAATCTCAGCAGTACCTGTGATAGCCTACCAGATAATTCTGTCTGGGAGCAACATACAAGCACAGTCTGCCTTAAAGCCCTCCCTTGCCACTGCCCTTATTATTGTGTTTATTTTGGGAGTGGGATTTTTCTTAGGTATAAATGTAAAATGTATTTATCACAATAAGCCAAACAAAAGTTAATAATATTCCCTTTCCTCCAAGCATCCTTCCCTACATCCTCCAGATCATCAATCCAATGTTAATAGTTTAATGGATACTGTTCCACATGGTTATCTATGCTCATTCAAGCATATAAAGACATAAATTCTCATAAATAGGTTTTGACACAATATTTTATAAGAATGGGATCATATCCATCACTCTACCCTGCAACTTGCTTTTTTATTTGACAATTATATCATAAATATCCCTCTAGGCCAATACATACACATCTAACTTATGTTTTTCATGTATGCACAGTGCTATAATACATCATGGTATAAATGTGTCATAATTTAATCAATCTTCCCTCTATTGGTGGGCTTTTTTCTAGTATTGCTTTTCACTACAACAATGTTACAAGAAATATCTGTATCCATCTATGTATATTTATATATGAAAAGCCTACATTTTTATATACACAGATGTGCATAGATGCATTATTTCTAGGAGAGATACCCCAAAGTGAGAGAACTAGCTCAAGGAGAAAACCCAATTTGCAATCCAGATGTAGAGGCAATTAGAAGTATTATAACTAAAAACTCTATTTTTTTCTTCTTTTCATATTTGAGAACCCCCAATAAGAGTCATACAGTCACATAAAGACTGATTAAATCCAAATTAATTTTATTGGCATAAAACACTAACCGTGTCACAGGATCAAAGTCTCCAACTAAACTTGATGAGCTTTTCACAGGATTTTATAACCAAAGTGTGATGGTAACTCCACTAGGTCCTTTCATGGCCCACTCTCATCACCATGACAACTTCTTAGTAAAAGGGGATAGGAAAAAAGGTTTCTAATTGTACTGAGGTAGGAGGCAGGCAGGACTCAACTCTGGAGGCAGGACTTGGACACTGGACCAAATTGAGGATAGCTAAAACAGGGATGAGGTGAAAGCACCGCCCTTTAAGACATACCTACCAGTGTGCCGTGTCAGTCTACCATTGCCATAGCAACAACCAGAAATTACCACCCCTCTCTCTGACAATGGTCCAATAACCTAGAATAGTTGGAAGCTACCACCCTATTTCTGGAAATGTCTGCATAATCCACACCTTAATTTGTGTATAATTAAAGGTCAGTATGAATATGACTGCAGGACTGCTTCTGAGCCACTACTCTGGGCACACTGCCTGTGAGGTAGCCCTACTCCACAAGATGCCATACCTCTGCTGCTGCTGTACACTGCTGCTTCAGTAAAATTTGCTGCCTAACACCACCAGCTTGCTCGTGAATTCTTTCCTGGTGAAGCCAAGTACCCTCCTGGGCTAAGCCCCAATTTGGGGGCTCAGCTGTCCTGTATCAGTATCTTAACCAGGGTGCATATCTCCTCCTTTGAAATGCTAAGATTTACCATCACTAATGATACTTATCTTGAAGAATCAAGGTACCTATATTAAAAAAAAAAAAAAAAAAGTAAGGCTAAACCTTTCTTTTTTTATGGGTAGGGATAGCTTTTAGAACTAGTAATTTCCTAAACAATTAGTTGGAGGCAATTCAAATAATAAAATTTATGATAATAAACTTTATCTGCACAGCTATGTAGTACTCTTTAACTTCCAGAAGCCTTGCTAGGGAAAGGGGAGATTATTCTCTTAAATTGGAGCTCAACAGAGATTTCTAATAATAAATGTCAATTTCTATATGATTATTAATGTTACACCTCAACAGAAGCCTTGGCACAGAGATGGCTATGAAAACAGATCAGCCCTCTAAGGGCTTTTCAAATGCCCAGTGGAGAGGAATTTGTATTATGAAAGCCCTAGTTGGAATCCTAGCTCAGCCGCTTGCTGCTCAATGGAAACCACTTTGGACTAGAAGTCAGGAGACCTAGGTAACATTGAGCCAGCTATGTAAACTCTCGGAGCTTCCATTTCCTTGTCTTCAAAATAGGACTAATACTTCCTCTGCTCTCTTTCTCTCACATTGACCAGTAAAATAACATGCCTGGAAGAACTGAAGCCAACACAAGGATACAGGTTGAGAACTCAGACTCTAAGTCAAACCAAACTCAGATCATGGCTTTACTGGTTACTACCTGGATAATCTTGATCATGTTACTCACCCTCTGAACTATAGCTTCCCAAAAGGGGATAATATACAGTAATAGCCACCCCCGAGCTCCCTTATCTGAGGTTTCACTTTCCAAAGTTTCAGTCACCCACTGTCAACTGAGATAGGAAAATGAAATCAACCCAACTGTCTCATGTAACCAATAGTTAGGGTTTTTTGAATAAACATAAAAATTGACCCTTTCCCTGGGCACGGTGGCCCATGCCTGTAATACCACTTTGGGAGGCGGAGGAGGTGAAACACTTCAGGTCAGGAGTTCGAGACTAGCCTGGCTAACATGGCAAAACCCCATCTCTACTAAAAATATAAAAAATTAGCTTGGCATAGTGGCAGGCGCCTGTAATCCCAGCTATTTGGAAGGCTGAGGAAGGAGAATTGCTTGAACCTGGGAGGCAGACGTTGCAGTGAGCTGAGATCACACCATTGCACTCCAGCCTGGGCGACAGAGCAAGACTCTGTCTCAAAAAAAGAAAAAAGAAAAAAAGAAATTGACCCTCTGTGGTCATAAAACTTGAGGCAAAAACATTTGCCTCATCTGAGTTCCTTCCTCAGGAAATCATCCCTCAGGCAAGGAACTGAAACTCATTAGATCACTGCATCCAGACAATGAGATGCCAGACCTCTCATCCATCATGATTCCTTCCATACTCTTCCCCAAATCCTATTTTCCTGCCTTCCCTGTTCTATAATCCCCCAATTTCAGCTGGTCAAGGAAATGGATTTGAGACTTTATCTTCCATTCTCCTTGGCTGCAGCACCCAATGAAAGCCTTCTTCCCTGTCAATATCCATTGTCTCAGTGATTGGCTTTCTGTGCAATGAGCAGCAGGACCTAGACTTAATCCCTGGCATGTCAGTAACAAAAATATGAAATAAAAAATTTCAGAAATAATCAATTCATAAGTTTTAAATTACATGCCATTTTGAGTAGCAGGATGAAGTCCCCTATAGTCCTACTTCTTCCCACCCAAGATGTGAATTACCCCTTTGTCCAGTGGATCCACACTGTCTACACTACCCTCCCATTAATCATTTAGTAATCAGCTCAGTTATCAGATCACTGTCGTGGGACTGCAGTGCTTGTGTTCAGGGAACCCTTATTTTACTTAATAACAGCCTCAAACCACAAGAGTCATGATGCTGATGTATTGTTATAATTTTATTTTATTATTAGTTATGGTTGCTCAGCACTTACTGTGCCTATTTTATTTTATTATTTAATTTTATTTTTTGAGAAAGGGTCTCACTCTGTCACCCATCCTCAACCATCCAGGCTCAAACAATCTTCCCACCTCAGCCTCCTGGGTAGCTAGGACTACCTATTCACTCCACCATACCTGGCTAAATTTTTTCTAGTTTTTATAGAGATGGGGCCTCACTTTGTTGCCCAGGCTGGTCTTGAACTCCTAGGCTCAAGTGATCCTACCAATGTACTGAAATTACAGGCATGAGCCACATGCCTGGCCTAATTTATAAGTTAATCTTTAATGTAGATATGTATGTATAGAAAAAAACATAGTATATACAGGGTTTGGTACTATTCAAAGTTTTGGGCACCCACTGAGGGTCTTGTAATGTATCCTCCATGGATAAGGGGGACCACTATATCTACTTTTGTGACTGATTTAAGAATGAGATGGGATCATGCCTTCAAATGTGCTAGCATGGTGCCTGGCACATAGTGAGACCTAATAAATGAGAACTATTGTTTGTAAAGTGCCACTCGAATGTGATAATTTCTTCAGGAAGCTCTAGCTTTTCTCACTAAAAGGTCACTTAAGCTTTTTCTTCCACTGGGTAGCTGTAGTTTTTCCCTCTCCAGTGCCCACTGTTCTTGCTAAGGCCCATTTGTCCTTTCTCTGAGAGATAAATAGGGGCCTCAGTGCTAGAATCAAGGATGCAGAAACGTGTTGATAATAGGAGATCCAGCTTGCGGTCTGAATGGAAGCCAAGTACTCAGGAGCCCCCAGGCACCTTCCACCTTTTCAGGTCACAGCATGAATGCATTAACTTCTAATTGCACTGCATCCCAGGACAGACCAAGAAGTCAAAGAGCAGCATATAGGACTGGATACAGGTAGAGAAATTTCTTCAGTTCACTTTGAGATAAAGTGTGTGAGTTTAGGGAGGTTAAGGAATCAGCAAAATATACTCCCTTGCCTTGGCCTTTCATCAGCTACATGCCATCTTGCTTTCTACCCATTGCCCTTAAGATTCAGAAGTAGAAGTTATTTGTCCAAATCAGTCATCCCAGTGCAAGAATGGGGGCCGGTTTGTATTTAGCTGGTTTGGGACAGGATCATTCTACACTGGCTCTGGAGTAAGAGACAGTTCTAGCTTTAGATCATGCATAAGAAGATCATGGTCAAAATAATTTTCATATGAGAGAGGTGGGATGGCCCATGTAACATGGTGATAGACCAGAAAGCTGGGAGACCTCTCTAGAGATGCTCATGTACGGGCTCTACATTTAGTAATAGTTACTATCCAATATTACATTTTCTTTTCTGCTTTGTAATCCCCTTAACTCCAAGCCTCCAGTTAAGTCTGTTAAATACCACAACCTGGCTGTCATTGTGCTTTGAAGCACTAAGGGAAGGGTTTGTGGTGGTGCTTGAAAGGAAGAAAACATTACTAATGAATAAATATTGCAAGATAACAAATTTGATCCATGTTGTTATGAAGTTGTAGTCCAGAGTAAAGTGAAATTTTGGGGGTGCCATGAAGACTCCAAAATAGATTTCAGTGTGTTCCAGAAATCATCTATAGGGAGAAGACAATGGTCTACTGAGAGTTGGCTCAGGATATTGTCATGACAGTTTTAAACAAAAGGGTGACCCCCAAAAGCTGGAGAACTACAAGCCATTTGACTTACGTCATCATCATAATAGTGACCTCAGCAGCTGCCAATTCTTAGCCAGCAGGCACTATGCCAAGGACATATGCTGATATGAGGTACGTGGAGTTGACCCCATTTTCAGGTAAGGCTCAGTCTTGAGCCTGTCCTGTCATTAGTATGTGGTGATCTGGGATTCAGACCTCAGGTCTATATATTTCCAAAGACTGGGCTGCTTACCACACAGATAGTATCTTTTAGGATATCAAACCCAGAGTTGTGTTTCCAACCCCTCTTTTGCCAGGGTTTCCCACCAATCATGCAACCAGATTTTCTGCCGTAAAACTTCTAGTAGGGGCGGGGCGTGGTGGCTCTCACTTGTAATCCCAGCACTTTGGGAGGCCAAAGGGGGCGGGATCACTTGAGACCAGGAGTTCAAGACCTGCCTGGCTAACATGGTGAAACCCCATCTCTACTAAAACCACAAAAAAAATTAGCGGGGTGTGGTGCTGCATGCCTGTAATCACAGCTACTCGGGAGGCTGAGGCAGGAGAATCACTTGAACCTGGGAGGCGGAGGTTGCAGTGAACAGATACTGCGCCATTGCACTTCAGCCTGGGAGACAAGAGCAAAATTCTGTCTCAAAAATAAATAAATAAATAAAAAATAAACTTCAAGCAGGACTTGAGGGGGTAACAGTTATGAGCTTTTAACTCCCACCTGGCATGACTAGAGAGGTGCCCCAAGCAGAAGTGTATAAAGCGGGGAGGCACAGAAGGGCACGGGTTGTGTGTTGTGATGATGGAATAGGGTGCACATAGGCAAGGGCAGCCAGCGTGCTGGGCAAGGTGGGCTTGACTGGGGATGCCCCCATAGAAAACGGTAATTCCTACTCCCCATATCAAGATTGAAAATGACATTTGGAATTCAGCTCCCACTGCTATCCAAAAGAATTTTCTGGGAGAAGAGACTTGTATATCCGCAAGCCACATGTGTTTACTGAGCACTTGAAATGTGGCTAGTGTAACTGAGGAATGAACTTTCAATTTTATTTATTTATTTTTTTATTATTTTTTTGAGACCAAGTCTTGCTCTGTTGCCCAGGCTGGAATGCAGTGGCACCATCTCGGCTCACTGCAACCTCTGCCTCCTGGGTTCAACCTCAGCCTCCTGAGTAGCTGGGATTACAGGTGCCTGCCACCAAACCCGGCTACTTTTGTTTTTCTAGTAGAGATGGGTGATATGATTTGGCTGTGTCCCCACCCAAATCTTATCTTGAATTGTACTCCCATAATTCCCACATGTTGTGGGAGGGACCTGGTAGGAGATAATTGAATCATGGAGGCAGTTTCCTCCATACCGTTCTCATGGTAGTGAATAAGTCCCACGAGATCTGATGGGTTTATCAGAGGTTTCCACTTTTGCATCTTCCTCATTATCTTTTTGCCTGCTGTCATCCATGTAAGACAGGACTTGCTCCTCCTTGCCTTCAGCCATGATTGCGAGGCTTCCCCAGCCACATGGAACTGTAAGTCCAATTAAACCTCTTTCTTTGTAAATCGCCTAGTCTTGGGTATGTCTTTATCAGCAGCGTGAAAATGGACTAATACAATGGGGTTTTGCCATGTTGGCCAGGCTGCTCTAGAACTCCTGATCTCAGGTGATCTGTCTGCCTTGGCCTCCCAAAGTGCTGGGATTAGAGGCATGAGCCACCACGCCTGGCTTCAGTTTTATTTCATTGTAATTAATTTTATTTTAAATAACCACATGTGGCCAGTGACATATTGGGCAGTGTAGGTATGGACCATCCTTCTGCCCCGTGCGGATTTGCCAAACCTTGAGTGACAGAGCTAGATCCCTACTTCCACATTTACATGGATGAGAATTAGTATATTCTCTAGGAGTATATCAGTATACTCACACTGCCTGGGCTTGAGTGCTGGCTTTTCTATTTCCTGCCTGTGTAACCTCTCTTTGCCTCAGTTTCCTTGTTTGTAAAACAGAGATTAAAAACTACAACCACTTCACTGGGTTGTGGTAAGGATGAAATGAATTAAGAGTTAAAAAGTACTTTACATAGTGTCCAGAATATAGTAAAAACCAAATGGATGTTAGTCAGGCATGCATTAATTCAGTCAACATTTGAGACTCTCTTACTGGCCAGACCCTGTGCTCAGTTAAATAATATGGATAACGGAAATGAACAAGATATATTTCCTTCTCTCAAAAGCTTTTTTAAAATCACTGCATCCCCTTTATCATTTTTACTTCTTCGACTTCCTCTAATCCCAATGAGTCTAAATGGTATGCCTAGACCAGCAATATCTGTCAGTGGGGAGGCAGCAGCACGAAGCATCGCACTTGTACATGGTAGGCATGCACTAAATAATTGCATTTTTTTCTCTTGAATGAAATTATATGATGTGCACAGCTAGAATGGACTGAACTTTTGCTGTATTCTCAGCCTCCTGCACACTGGACTCTTGGGCAGGACAAGCAGGTGGTATCATGATAGGGTTAGCTTTTCTACTTCTCTTCCTCTGGTCATATTTCAGAGGCTTCCTGAGATTTGAGGGTGTGAGGGTCCTGGGGATAGTGGCTGTCCCCCCAAATCCAGCAAGGCACTCATAATTATTATTTGTCCTATCTAATCAAGTAATACACAATAAGTTTTTTATTTTTTCCCCAACATCCACTGATATTTTTTGTGAGGATGAAACCCATATTTTCCTTGAAAAACAATTTATTCCCCATCTCAGTTCATGTCCTTCAGGGAGGTGACTGTGACTGTAAGATTGGCATGGGATTTTGGATTGACTAATCAGAGCACTGCATGCCATTAGTCAAGGTGATCGAGCAAAAGTGGCACTTGGCCCAAATAAGTCCAATGAGTTTCAAATCAAAATTTTGGGAGATCTAGAGAAGAGATAATATTTCTTTGCAAAGCACTTAAACGAAAGAACATTGTCTGGAGTTGCCAGGTTACATGAAGAAGGCCTGACCTGGAATAAGATCTACATGAAGTAAAGCAGAACTGAAGGGAAAGGGTGACTTGGGGACATGTCTTGAGCCCTGGACCAGACCGTGCCTGAAATGCTATTGCTGTACTTTGGTTATAGGAGCCAAAACATTGCCTTACTTGATTTGGCCAGTTTGAGTTGAAATTCTGTTTTTCATAACCAAAGCAGGATGCTCCCTCTGCCATTTCCTTGCTGCTACTAGGGCTGTGCCCAGCAACTCTCTAGGAATAGTAGAGAGGCCAGATGACCTGCACTCTCCTTCTCAAAATAGCAGCCTCTGGAGCCCTCATCACAAAAAACTAAATGGTAAAAGCTTCTCACATGCTCATGGTAGCAATTTTAAGGATGTCCTGTGTGGGACTGACCCTAAGAAGGGATTCTAAAAAGAGCCTCGCTTATGTAATTTAAATTCTTAAAATAACTACAGATTGAATCTGAGAATCCCACAGGGGCTCATGACTGCCTAACCTGGGATGGAGAGGTCAGAGCTTCTCAGTAAATGAAAAATAGGCTAAGAACAAAACCATCTCTTATCCTCAGCAGAGGGTAAGAGTGGGTCACGACTCCAAGCAGCAAATTAGTGACTGCATTTATTTAACGACTTCTCAAAAATACCTTCAGCTGTGCAGGAGGAAAGCTGACCCATTTTTAAGTATGGAATCAATAGACTAATAAAAGTAATTCTTAAAAATAGCTTTCTCTTCTTAAAATATATTTCCCATTGAGCAGCAACCAGAAGAAAATTTTTATGTGAGCGGATTAAAACAAGAGTGAGAATGAAGCCTTGGTGTAGTGGGTGATATTCACCTGAATGCTGTGGTGCCTAGGAGTTCCCACTCCTGAGCTATGCTCCAGTCCAGGTTTGCCAGCTGTCCTTGATGAACAGCTTTTCCTTCCTCAGGTGGGGATAGAGAGCAAGGCTATAGAGGCTCCCAGACATCACTTCTCTTCTGGTGTTCACGTTCCGTTTCCATCAAACTGAAACCCAGAACCTTAGAGTAAGAAGCAGGATCAGGAGTGCTGATAGTGAGAACTTGGAGCAGAGCAGGAATTCCTCTGGGAGGAGTAGTACTTAGGTTATTCCATAGCTGAGCAGAGAAAAGAGAGGGAGGAAACCAATTCTTCAGAAAAAGGGAAACCCTTCAGGATTGGATGTGATTTGACCTGTGTGGACAATGTCATTTTCTTGGGCTTGGATATTTCCTCATTTTAAGTTCCTCAGAATGCCACTGTCATTAAGATTCCATTTTTTTTTCCCATGGATTTTCTTTTCCTACTTATGTAGAGGAAAATATCTTTCTTCCAGGTTCTGTTCAGCACTTGCTGCACCAGGAATAATTTGAAGTCTATGTCCCTTCTCCTCCATCATGTCTCATGGGAATGAAAATTCCCTAAGGAACATTTCTTAAACTGGGGACATAGCCATAGGAACAAATTTCCCCTAAGGTAAAAATGCATATTCCAGAAACCTATCTCAGACCTACTGCATCAAAATCTTAGGGAATAGAGACCAGAAATTTCCATGTTTAAGACAGTTCTCAGGCATCCTTTATGCACACTAAAATTTGAAAACCATAGTCCAGTAGTTACAGCAGATAATGTCTTGAGTTGCCATGGGCAGATGGCAAAGTAAAACCTCCAGCCAACATATGCCCTGTGATCTCCAAGGGAAGGCTCCACATAAACAGCTGTGCTGTTCAAACTTGATTGAGGCGGGAAATAAGAAAGGACAGAAGTAGCTGGAATCCTATATTTTCTCTCCCACTTCTTTGTCCAAGCAATAGGTCCTGGTTCCCCTAGTTCATGGAGAGAGACTTACCTTGAAAATCTTAGAGACTCCAAGCTCCTTTCTAAACTCAACTCCATCAGTTTCATGGAATCTTTTGTTTATGTTGTTTTATGGGCTTGGGAGTTTCGGCTGTCCCTCAGGCCACCAGGGATGGTAGTGTGTTGTGAAAATTATTTTCCTATTGACCATCATCTGCATCTTAGGTGATGGGAACAATGGTTACTTTGAAGCTATGCCTTTTGAGCTCTGAAACTAAATAATGCCCATGGAATAATGCCTTTAATGATGACCTTTATAATGAAAGGAATTCAAATTTCAAGCTAGAAGTACTCTTAAAATCTCATTTGTCCTACAGTATGCTGAGGTGGCCAAGAGCACAGGTTCAAATCAAGACCATGAATTGAGCCAAGTGCAGTGGTGAGTATCAGTAGTCCCAGCTACTTGGAAGGCTGAGGTGGGAGGGTCCCTTGACCAGGAGTTTGAGGTCAGCCTGGGCAACATAGCAAGACTCCATCTTTAAAAAAAAAATCAAGACTATGGGAAATTTGTTAGAGAAAAATGAGAGAAAATATTTAAAGCACGGTATTAGTCAGGGTTCTCCAGAGGAAAAGAACCAATAGGAGATTATATATTTAACTATATATATCTATGTTTATATCCATACAAAAGAAAGACATTTATTATCAGGAGTTAGCTCAGGTGATTACGAAGGCTGAGAAGTCCCAAGATCTGCAATTGACAACCTGCAGTCCCAGAAGAGCCAAAGGTATAAGTTCTAGTTGGAGGGCGGGAAAAGACCAATGTCTCAGCTTAAGCCGTCAGGCAGGTGCCGTTCCCTCCAGCCAGCCCTTTTATTTTACTTAGGTCTTCAATAGATAGGATGAGGGCCACCCACATTAGGGAGGACAATCTGCTTTGCACATTCTATCAATTCTAATACTAATCTCATCCAAAAGCAGCCTCACAGATACACCCAGAATAATGTTTAACCAAATGTCTGGGCACCCCATGGCCTAGTCAAGATGATACATAAAATTAACCATCACAAGCTCTTAGTGTCTGCATAGACTAAGCAAATACTTTATACATGAACATTGTGTATATTGTTCTCTTTTTTATTATCATCAGTATTTTTCATTATTATGACTATAATTATTCTCCAAATAATGGCAAATCTTAAAGGTTACTTAATCTCAGAGTTTGCTAAAGCTAGTAATAAAAATCTAAATTAAAAGTAGCACGATAGCAAAGCAGATTGTTAAGTAGATTCACCTGCTGTAGAAAATTTCTACATGATTCGATGGTAGCTAAAGAGTGACAGTCAGGATTTGAACCCAAACCTATCTGGTTTCAGTATCTGAGCCTACCCTTTTATGTACATACTGTTCTTTGCCCCTGAGCCTCTGTTCCCAGGGTTCTCCCTGCCTAGAAAACTCCCCCCTACCCCCGTCCTTCTTCAGGAAATATATCACTTTAAAATGTTCCTGGCACTATCATAGAGACATGTTTCAACTGGACAGAGATTCTCCCCAGATCACGTTCTTTGATACAATTTCCATCGTTCATACATATTTCACAGATATTGGCCATTGTCAACACCTCTTCTCTATTTCCTCATGATGTTTCACATACCAACTCCAAGTACTCTTCCTCAGTGATCAGGTAACCCCCAAGACATAGCTTTATCCTTGGACATTCCAGAAAACATTATCATTTTTCCTTTTATTGTCTGTATTCGCAACTACACTGTGAGCTCCTTGGAAGCAGAAAACTTGGCCTGTTTCACTTTGTATTCCTGGGATCTAGCACAGAAGCTGGTATAGAATAGGGGCTCAATGTGTATTAAGTCAATGGAAAAATAATTGAACTCTAAAGGCAAGAGTCATTTAACAAGTCCCCATATACCTGCCATAAATAAGGATTATCAGAGCCTCTGCTCACAAAATCTAACTTAAATGACAGTGATGCTATTTCCAGTTGCTAAAAACATATCTACATTTTCAATTAGTAGAATCGAAATGCCTCTGAGGTCCTGGAATGCACTTTCAGGGTATATACACCAGAACTCTTGGCTCACTGTATGATTTCACATAGAATTCTTGTCACTTAGCATCCTCAGGCATGAAAATTGGCGCATGCTGAAAGGAATCTCTGGGGTAGGAGAAAATCCTGATTCCCCTATATGTTCCAACAGGGACAGAAGGATTGCAGCTTCATTTCCTGCCAATTTTAAAATTATGAATATTTTGGTATGATTATAAGTAAGCAAGACAAGCCTACCAGAAAATCAAATAATCCCAGAACATGAAAACATAGATTATTGTTTTCCTTCCCTCTTCCTTTCAAGTTTATTTGTTTTGCCTTTGCAAAAGAAAATAAGGTCAGGTGGCAGGAAAATTACACTGAGAAATTTAAACCTACAAAATCATAGCAAAAGAAAATCTGTTCTCTTTTACTGAAGCAAACCACTCAAATGCACAGCTCTCCTCTGGTCTTCTTGAAATTATAAAAAAAATTATTTGACTAATTCAGGCCTTCCTTTCTGTTAAAAATAATCACCCTGTTTGACCCTCCAAATACCTCTCCAGGTTAGGAAAACTCTTTAGTAACCATGTCTTTGAAATATTCATAGTAAAATATCAACCGTTCAAAAAGAATTTCTAATTCAGAACAATAATAGAGGTGAGAGCAGACTTTCTTTCAAGTTTCTGGAGTGAAATTTAAAAAGCTTAGGTTTTATGGCATATTTCTGAGGCAATCTGAAGCCCATTTTTTGTTATGTTAATGAAACACACACTACTATTTGAGGACTCACTATATTTTCCTTTTATAATAAAGCACTTTCGAAATCCAGACAGATTAGTTTAGACCAAGACTACCTTTCCCATCACCACTTTATAAACAAATCTTCCAACATCCAGCATATGTTAGTTGAATTAATGAGAGCAATAAACAAAGAAACCAAGATTAGCAATGAACACACTCATTGGAAAACTTCATCTTACTCCAAAATTGTCTCTCTTTTTTTGTCATTTGAATGTCATTGCTAAATATAAGATGAGAGTGCTTTCTTGTATACTTCCCTTTATCTTTCAGTCTCGTTCAAACTTTCTGACTCACCCCTATTCATGATCAAACACAAATTTCACAAAAGGTTTAATTGCATCTAGACTTTAGTAAATATTCTACTGGGGATCTGCAAATAAGACTATAGGAAGGTGGAGGAATCTTTTTGTTATGCAAATACAAGCTAGTGGAAGCTCTTTCTGAAAGCTATTTAGCTGAGCCCTCAAAAAGCAATGTTTGAATGGCCTTTTCTTTCTTTTTTCTTTCAGGAATGTCAACCTCATTACAAGTCTGTTTGTAACATCTTATTTCATGGCCATGTGGCAAATAAGTTCTTCCTGAGATGAATTTTGATAAAATACATAATGATAACTTCATGTATTTTTATAAGCTATCAAATGCAGCTCTTTGTTCAGGGATAGAAGGTTAAGTTCTTGATAACAAAGTAGAATTTTTGCAGAGGCCTTTCCAACAGGACTTGACTTCTCTGCAGAAGGCAAATGCTGGACATATCTCTTCTTGTAGTTATCCTAGTCAGTGGGACACAAGTTCAAGCATAATATTGATAATGGCCTCTATTTCCTGAATATGCACCAGACATTGTGTTTAGCATTTTATTTGTTTTTTTTTCTCTGTTCTAGTGTGCAAAGAGCTTCAATGTGCCAAGCATTTTAGATGCATTAACTTGATTCATCTTCACAAAACCCCTATGCATCGTTGATATTTTATTGCCAATTTCAAGATTGAAGAACTGAGAATCAAAGAATCAGCTCTCTTTTCCAAGGTCACACAGCTAATAAAGTCAGGATTTGAACTCAGGCCGGCCTGATTACAGTGGCACAATTTGTACTATTTTGCAATATTGAGTGTTTTAGAGTCTTGGGTCAAGTGACCTTTTCCTTTCTAGAGACAATTAAGTGAATAAAACAGGAGGTACCTGGACAGGTTTTATCCAGGGAGCTTTGTCTACAAGAATTAAAAATCAAGAAACAAAGCATGGTAATAACAAGGGTAATTATGGGGACAAAGAGACCAGATAGTCGATGTTGGGACTGTAGTGATCATTATGGAATATAAAGGTGATCATGGGGATGTCAAAAGTTTGTCTTTATTATCTAGATGACACCCAACCTGGAAAAATTTAGGGGGAAAAACCCTTATCAGGTTACAATACCTGTGTATTTTTGATCTAGTTACCCCTAAGGGAAATTACTTTTAAAGTCACATACTTTGTGTCATGAATTTGGGTACAGTTTGAACATTCATCAGTTTTTATCACCCAACCAGTAAAATGTCAGCAAGGAACTGAAGACAGTTACCTGCAATAGCCCTGAATACGTAATTGAACCGTAGGATGAAGTTACTCCATGATGAGGTCATTTCCACTGCCTATGAAGTCACCAGAGGTTATGCATATGCATGGGTGGGAAAGAAAGTGATTACTTCATTTTATGTGATTACTCAATCTACTGTCTGAAGGCATCAACACACACATAAAGTTTTCCCTTTCCACACATTTTCTGAAGTAATCAAATGGATTAAGGATACTGCGTGGTAAATGTGCTGCTTAAATACTTGGCAATACAAGTGACCTGGTGACTCAGAGGGCTCTCATTTTGTTGGGCAGTATAAATAATAAGGCAAGGAAAGATAAGGCCATATGGTTTAGAACTAACTTTCTGCAGCCTCTTCGCTGAGTTGACTTTGGGTACAGGATATTCTTTAAACATTTATTGCCTTTCCTATGATAAGTTGATTTAAATGGAGATTGATTTTCACCAGTCCAAGGAAAGTCTGCATACTGGTCTTTACATGGCATGAAATAATGCCCTGCAAGCAAAAGGCAGAAAAGTATCTCCATGGCAGTTGATGTACCTCCTCAGACACACTCCAATGGCTTCCCCTTAGAGTCCTGTTCAAGTCTTCCAGCCTAACTAGTTGTCACTTTCATTCACTTAAATCTCTTCCTTATGCTGGTCCCTTCTAAAAATGTAAAAGTAGTCTAGGATATCAGAATGGATAAAGAAGAAGATATTAAATCTGTCCTGAAAGAACACATCACCCACTCCCTCTAAGATCTGTGTTGCAGCCCTGGTGTTGACCCTCATAGCCTACTGCATGTTGTAAGTCCTAGGTGGCCTCCCTTTTACGGGGCAAAAGGTTTCTCACTGACCTTAGTAAATTCAGCCCCTCTCCTTTCCAAAAAATAAGAGTCAGCCTTGTTATCTGAAATAAAAGATAGTATTCAACAGTATCACCATCTCCACTGGCATTTATCAGAAATTTACTATGTGCTATACATTGTTCTAAGCAAATGCATGCATTAGCTTATTATCTCCTTCAAAGATATTGTCAAGCATAGGGCCAAAATTCCAAATAAATACAGCTAATGAGAAACCCATTCTTTCTTGTTTGCAGAATAATCAGAAGTCCAAGAGACTAACCCACTTAGTGAAAAGTAGCAGCTTTGGTTATGATTTTTTTTTTTTTGAGATTGAGTCTCACTCTGTCACCCAGGCTGGAGGTTCACTGCAGCCTCCACCTCCTGGGCTCAAGTGATCCTCCTACCTTAGCCTCCCAAGTAGCTAGGACTACAGGCGCATACCACCATTTCCCAAAATAGAGTTCAGAACACGTTACCCCAGAATATGGCACCTTGGCTTTTGAGAAACAGCAGAGGCAGAAGCAGGAAGGTCAATTTCACCTTCCCACACCCTTTTTCCCTAAAGCAAGCCATAAAACTTGGAAAGAATCCTTTGAACTTCCTTTAAAGCAGGTGATAAGATCCTCATGTGAAAGGACCCATCGTATATTCATAGGAAATGGATGTCCTTATCTTTGAAAATGCAGTGAAATAGAGAAGAATATGAACCAACAGGTTTTCTAAGTCCTTCTCGGTTTACTACCATTCAATAATACTCCCTTTGTCCAGTTATACTTCTCTATGACTATCCACTCTTAATCAAAACTAAGCATAAAAATGTACAGGTTTCCCTGTTTTTTGGGCCCTCATTTCTTTTCCTTATTTATTTATTTATTTATTTATTTATTTATTTATTTATTTGAGACAGTCTTGCTCTGTTGCCCAGGCTGGAGTGCAGTTGTGTGATCTCAGCTCACTGCAACCTCTACCTCCCAGGTTCAAGTGATTCTGCTGCCTCAGACTCTGAAGTAGCTGGGATTACAGGCATGTACCACCATGCCTGGCTAATTTTTGTATTTTTGGTAGAGACAGGGTTTTGCCATGTTGGCCAGGCTGGTCTCCAACTCCTGGCCTCAGGTGATCCACCTCCCTTGGCTTCCCAAAGTGCTGGAATTACAGTCATGAGCCACTGCACCCGGCCTGAGTCCTCATTTCTGAAGGCTCCTGTGTCATGTAAAATGTGTATTAAATAAACTTGTATGCTTTTCTCTTGTTAATCTGTCCTTTATTAGAGGGGCCTCAGCCATGAGCCTAGTAATAGGTGAGGAAAAAAGAAATATTTTCCTCCCGTTCAAAAGCAAACTCTTGATTCTCTGTCAGCCTGTTTTTCTATCCTCTTCTATCTCCTCCTCAAGAAGAGGGAATATAAATTAGATTTATTAGGTGACATGTGCCAGTTGAGGCATGTCTGCTAGTGGGTAGGACTCTGTTCATTAAGGAGGTATGTCATCCATGTTTGTCACCCCATGTGACTGGGGTGAGTGGATTCAAGACCTGCAATCTTGGGGCAGACCCTTCAATTTCTCTCTTTTTGCAGGCATTGCCTTACTGAACTGTTATTTCCACTTCCTGTACCTTGTCACTGAACAGAGGATAATAAAACATGAAGATATGAATTCTGGCCAATGAAGGTAGAGATTCTGCTTAGATATAAAGCCAAAAATACATGACTCACTTTCAAATTATCAGAGTTCTGTGTTGGGGGAGTTTTGAGCCCCATCCCAGTTATCATAATTCCATTATGATTTTTATATGCAATTGTTCTTTGTATATCTCTCTCAAGACCCACATGGGATAACAGACAATAAAAGAATAGGATTGGTACACTCATAAGTGCCTGGTTGGAATATATGAAACTTTATCATAATGCGACTCCAAGTTCTTTTAGAAGTCCCTTGATTCTCATGGTAAATCATTAGGTACAACTTCTGAGTGAAAAATAACAGCATGTCAGCATCTCCACAAATGTTATTTTGGAAAAGACTGGGACAGAAAGCTCTTACAGATGAAAGAAACAAGAGAAGACTGATGGAGTTCTTATGAAAATGGGCTGGAATAGTGGACTCTAAAATGGAAGGTCAGTGTCACTCTAAAAAGAAGAAGGAGAAGAAGAAGTACACTCCTATGAGCAGGGCTCAGGCCTTAATCAATGAAGTTCCCTTTTGTTAGTTTAGTTTGGCACCTAGGTGACCAGGGCTGGTTTAGAGAATTTCCCCCAGTATATTTGCCCTTAATGTCCCCTAACCCAGATGACAGTATCTACTCTTTGATCAGGACTCATCCTTACATTTTTCTTACTTTCCCTTTACTCATGAAGCCTCTCTCAATCTCCTTTTCTTATTTATTTTCTTTCTCCAAAAAATTGGGTAAGACCCCTGTGTTTTAGGGCAGCCTAAAAAAAGGAACTCTCCATTTCAGATATTTAAAACTGAAAACAAACTGATTATTATGAAAATACCCTAATTTCAGTTATTCCTATTTACAATCTGAAGAAAGCCTCCAGACTAAAGCCATTGTAGTCTGTGAAAATAACTATAACCCAGACAATCAGCTCAGAAAATTCTTTTCAGAAGGTGAAGATGTAATGTTAGCATTTATCAAGGCAAACCTAATTGGTGAGTTAGGCTACTTAGGCAGATTATCTACGTAATATTTTATGATGTGGAAACAGCCACTTGGGTACTTTTTTTCCCTTTTATTTGATGGTATGTCACTGTATTTCAGAGTCAATGCAAAATGACAAAACCCTCCATCTTGTCCATGTAAATACCAGTATAAACTGCATTTCAATCCATACCACATCTAGTTCTCACTTCTATTAAAAGAAATTGTGTACACAAGAAACATGATTACTCTTGTGAATAGTTGGCTTTCAGAATTTGACTTAAATATTTATTGTAAAATGTGTTGTCCCACTTTTCTTTTTCATCTTCTTAAGTAATGAGAGTGATTTTCCAAGACCAATTCTTGCAAGTAATATTATTTATCATTCCAAAACATGTTTTGTTGCCTAGAGTGAAAGATACTTTGGTGTGGCTCGATTTTTATTATTTTTAGCCTTATGATGATCCTTTAATTTCATCCTAACCTGCTTCATTTTACTTTAGTAAGAATCATCATATGATATAAAGAGTAATGATGAAAAGTAGGTTTCTCAAACAAAATAGACCATTTCTAATCCCTGACAATACTATCTAAAACCAGACAGGCATCAAGTAAACAAATAAGCAACTCTTCTATTTTTCAGGATCTAGTTCTGAATTATTTGATTTCTTTTATGTTCGTTTCCTTCTAATTATTTGTGTCCAATTTCTTGTCATCTCATTTATGGCACATCCCTCTCAGATCACTGGAAAAAAAATGTAAAGCTAAAATTGGTTGAAAATTGCTTTTTATATATCATCTATTTTTGTTGTCATTCCAGGGGAAGTGAGTACTATTATCCCCCATTTTACAGATGAGGATACTGAATGTGAATCATTAGTTCGTTCAGGATAGCTCTACTATTAAGTGGTAGAGGCAGAACTGTCTGGGTTGAGAGGCCAAGCATTTAACTTGACCTAAGGCACACTGTAAGATCAAATTAACCCATTTTTGGAGCTTGCAAGCTAGTCTTATAATTTAAACAAAATTAAATATTGATTAGATGAGATGATCACATCTAGATAATATGAAGTTTATTGAGATTTTTTAAATATTTAACTTAGCTAAATTATTTTTTAGTAACAAACCCACAAAAGCATCAAAGTGGGCATTAAACTTAGTTATATTTGATGGAAATGTGTTTTATGTGTGACATAAAGAAGAGGTTTGTTTTTACTAAACTATCAATTGCCAGCGAGTCAGATATTTCCTCATACTTGTGGCCTTTGACACATCGAGGCAAACACTTCATAGAAGGATGGAGATCATCTAGGTTTAGATTAGGAAATCCTGGCTTAGTGTCTCAGTCATTTCCATTTTCTGCAGACTTTGCTTTTGGGGGTAGGATTACAAAATTCAACGGTATAGCTTCTACTTTCATGATATGGTCTCCAGATAGTTGATTAAAATGTATTCCATCATCTTGAGGTTATCCAAGTTTTCTACAGAGCAGAACTGGATGTGGGGCAAACATGCAAGCACATAAAATAGCTTAAGGACATAAATTCTTAGGTGTATAAGAATCTATGGTGGAATTCTACTTTTAAAAATAAGAACACAAATATTTACAAGAGGTAGACAAAAGTTAAGAGACTTTGCATGTGTTCTGTGGTCATCTTTTCCCCTGTTTATCAAAATGTACATTTAGGGAAGTCACAATCCCTACTTCAGATGCCTCATAAGTTCTGGTTGGCATATCTTATCTTCAATACTAACAAATATTTAGAATATCTCCAAGTTGACTTTCGGCTAAGGTAAGAGATGTCTTCGAAAGGGTGTATATTTTGAAAGACAGCAATGTTCACCATTTGAAAAAAATATGGAAATATTTTTGGTAAAATCTATGTAAGCCTCTTTGATTGAATACTCTTGGGGGGGATTGAGAAGATTGTTAGATTTATGTAAGCAATGTTATGTTTAACACCCAAATCATAGGTTTATGTAATTTACAAAAGGTGGATATTAAGTTTCTATATTAATGACTATACCTGGAAAAAACCCACATAATCCCAAAGGAGTTTGTAAAAATATGAAACAAAACTTTATTACAGCAATTGTGAAATTCCAAGTGTTTTTGTAGATGGAATTCATGGCCACTTTGCCACCAATGTCTGATGTGACAGTATTTAAATGCCTAAAGAGACCTTAGAAGAAATATTTAATCTGTGAATGACCTGTTTCTGGCCTTCAACAGCATCTCCTCCCCAAATCATCACATACTCCTTAATTTGTGTCCTAAACATGGTCCCTTTATTTCGCCAAATGGATTATAATTTCAGCTCTTTCCTCCTCCTGTCACCTACCCATACCCTGTTTCCATAACACTCTTTAACCTTACTTGATCCCTTGCCCTATTACTCTGGCATTGCAAACCACTTATTCCACTTGCAATACCTTCTCTTTTCACCACCCATGTATATGGTATGTTCCCTTAAGATTTTATTCTCTTCTTTGAGAAATATATGATTCCCTTCACTTCAAGTTGCTTCATTCACGCAAGCTTTTTGCAGTTTACTGACCTGGATTTGTTGATATGTTGCCTCAGAATAAGTGCTGTCAATCTTTTTCACATGTTTATGTTGTAGCTCCCAAAGGAGATTATAGACTCTTTAAGAGAATGCCTTCTAAAAATTCTATCTATCCCAAGCACCTAGAACAATGTGTTACTTCATTAAAAGGTGCTGGATAAAGGTTGTTGATCAATTGATTGGCTTACTATATTTTCTGTTCCAGGAAAACCAATACCACATGATTTGAACATCCTTTACTTCTTGAGAAGAATTAAAAAGTGAGGCTGCAAAACTGTCACAATCCCCGCACTGCTCAATTTTTTTTAAATTTTGTGTTGTTACCAAATGTGTGATGGCCACAAAAGTTGTGTCCTTGAGGTATGGTGGTGAAGTCAAATATAAGCCATCCAAGTACTTAACTCAAAAGATCAAACAGAATTGTTGAGGTTAATGTGAAACCAGTTGTTCTGAGTTCATCTGCAGGTCTCAAACAGGTCACTTTACTATCAAAGCTAGTAAAACTCATGGTAAATTATAAAATACGTAAAGACAAAAGTGATTTAAACTTTAAACTCATGCTACACTATTAAAATCACTCCCACGAGTATCTACAGATAATTAGAGAACTAGAAAATACATAAATATAGGCGATGAAGTGGAGAGGTCTCTAGATAGCCTAAGTTCTGAAGGTGGCTGGCTGGTGGTTTGTTTTCATCCATCTGCGTGCGGGTCGCAGGTTACATTCAGCACGTTGGCCAGCTCCCTCGTTTACCAGGTTTACTGGCCTAAGTGAAAGGAGCACGGGGAAGGCAGGCACCATCTGCTGCTTTGTATTAATAGTTTACCCGAGAGGCAGGGGTGAACAGAGTGCGACAGTCGACGCATTAGATGTTGACGCCGCTGAGTTCTTAGGGTGTCTTTGTCTGATCGCGGGGTCCCCAAGCCTCCACCGAGCCAGAATGGAGGGAGGGTTAAGCAACCAGAAACCCTTCTATTTTTCTGGTAGGCTCACCTCAGCAGAAAGCATTCCCAGGTCTTGGGAACTGAAGAAGATTCATCATAGATTTTGGGGGTGGGGGTAGGCAAGGTCGGGGGCGCTACATAAATGGTTGAGTTGCCTGGTCGAAACACCAATCCATTCAAAATTTGATTCACTTTTATTTTAATTAGACTGGGCGCATGCGGAATAAGTTGCTGGAATCAGAGTTTACACAGGTGGGACAAACACGCTGCCCAGCCCCCACGCCCCCCACGCCCCAGGTGTAAAGAAGCCTGGGGAAAGGAGATGGACCCTTTCTTTCCCGTATAAGATCTCACGGACTTCCTCCTCCTAAGTAAGACCTCTCGATTTAGCGTCTCCAAACAGCCCGCTCGGCTGGTTTCTGGATTTCTCCCTCCCCCAAGAACTTTTTGTCCGCGGGAGGGGAAAAGGGGTTGAGGCAATGAGAGCCAGATATCAACAAAAAAATTATCCACGAAGCCGGCAGGGGAGGAGGGTGGCAAGGTATTGGGGTCAGAAGTACTGAGGCTCTGAGGACGCTCCGCGCTCTCCCCCCTCCAGCCCTCTGCAGCAGCCCTTTACGCCGCGGACACGGGAGAGTTAAGCCAATAAACACGTAAGCGCCGCTCCCTCCCCAATCGGCAAGATGCCTCTTCGGCTCTTGGCTGCATCGACAGCTTGCAACACTCGGCATCTTTTCTGGAGGCGCCTCCTTCAGCAGCCGCAGATGGCATCCGGCTGCGGGCTCGGGGCTCGCAATTGATTCTCCCCCTTGCCCACCTCGAGTCCACGGACGCACCTCTCCCTTCCCCTCCTCCCTTCGCGCTTCTGGGTCTGAGCCCAGCTCGCGACCGCCGGGCAGAGGATCAGTCGCGGCGGCCGAGGCTGAGCAGCAGCGCTCTCGCTCCCTGACCTGGGGAGAAGCGCCCACCCGGGAGAGCTGATCCCCGGCTGCCTCCAGCGCCCCCCACCTTTTGCACTCCAAGCCGGGGGCTCCAGAGACCCCGCTCCCCAGGCGCCACTATGCTGGACCCTTCGTCCAGCGAAGAAGAATCGGATGAGATCGTGGAGGAGGAGAGCGGCAAGGAGGTGCTCGGCTCGGCCCCGTCCGGCGCGCGCCTGTCTCCCAGCCGTACCAGCGAGGGCTCGGCCGGCAGCGCCGGGCTGGGGGGCGGCGGCGCCGGCGCCGGAGCCGGGGTGGGTGCAGGCGGCGGCGGGGGCAGCGGCGCGAGCAGCGGCGGCGGGGCCGGGGGGCTGCAACCCAGCAGCCGCGCTGGCGGCGGCCGGCCCTCCAGCCCCAGCCCGTCGGTGGTGAGCGAGAAGGAGAAGGAAGAGTTGGAGCGGCTGCAGAAAGAGGAGGAGGAGAGGAAGAAGAGGCTGCAGCTGTATGTGTTCGTGATGCGCTGCATCGCCTACCCCTTTAATGCCAAGCAGCCCACCGACATGGCTCGCCGGCAGCAGAAGGTAGGTGCGCCTGGGAGGCCCAGGGAGCAGCACCCGGACGTCGCCAGGCGGGCGGGGTGAACAATGGGAGCTGGCGGCGCAGCTGGCGAGGAGGAGCAGGAGAGGTGGAGACCGCGCCCTGGGGAAAGGGCTACGAGGCCCCCTCCCAGCGGCCGGGCTCGCCCAGGCCCAGCCCAACCCAGCCTGGAGCGCTCCTGGAGCTGACTGGGACCGGCGAGGGCCGCGGAGCGCAGCGCCGCTTGCTCGAGCCCCCCCAGCCCGGGAGCGTTGGTGAGCGAGGCAGGCAGGTCCCGCTTTGTGGACCGAGAGGCTCGGGGAGTGATTTGCTGCCCGCGGCGCCCAGAGAGGCCTTGCTCGCTTGCAGGGCTCCCAGCGCTCTCCAGCGGCGGGCGGCTGCG
This sequence comes from Homo sapiens, assembly GCF_000001405.40. Classification (NCBI taxonomy): domain Eukaryota; kingdom Metazoa; phylum Chordata; class Mammalia; order Primates; family Hominidae; genus Homo; species Homo sapiens. The sequence goes on along the minus strand of NC_000003.12, from coordinate 62,874,190 downwards.
CTCAACTCCGGGCCCGCCCTCCTGGGCGTGCGTTCGGCGGGCGGGGGCAACGGCAGGTGGGGGCGCCGAGGTGGAGGGAGAAGAGCGTCTTGGAGCAGCGCTCCGCTCGCTGGGGCAGAGAGCAACCGCAGGGGCAGGCGGGAGAAAGCAAGCCCAGAAGGCGAAGCTTCCCGTGACTCTGCGAAGGGCACCCTCCTCTCCCTGCCCGGGTCAGCTGATCACCGACTAGCGTCGCCAAAGTGTCCTCGGGCACTGCTTCCTTATGGCTGGAGTTCTCACCAGTCCCCCTGACCCTTCCTCACTGACCCCAGAGCAGGGGCACGCCCTCTGGTCCTTCCGTCCGGGTCAGCCCCTCCGCCGTCCTGTCTTTGACCCTATTCTCCTCTTCCCAAGGTGACTTCGCCGCCACCTTCTGGCTCGCCTGGGTCCTCCAAGCCCTGCCACTGCTGCCTTGATAAAGTACAGCTGCAAAAAGCTTCGCAATCTGAGGCATCAAAAGCTTTTTCTGTCTGAGGCTGGGGCAAGGCTGACATAGCTCTGGGCTGCCTTTGATGTTAAAAAAAAAAAAAAAAAGGCGCCTATTTCTATCAGCTGTTCTTTAGCTGGAGAAAGGGATGAGGGGTACTGCAAGATGAGGGGCAGTGGCGGGGGGTGGGGACAGAAGAAAAGCAGGCAGGAACCCAGCTGGAGTGAGTTAGTGAAGAAAGTCAGCGTTCTGTTCTCTTTTAAATAAATTTGCAGCACTTGAGCTATCAAAAAAGCCAGTCAAGCCCCACACAGAGGCAGTGTGAGGCCAGTCCTAACCCCATCAAGACTGTGAGACTAGTGTCTGAAAATAGTGAATCTTTCAGTTGCTGCCATTTAAGAACAAATTACATGTTGCTGTAGTAGCATTAGGTTTTCCGTATTTATCCACCCTTACCTTGAGTTAGCACAGATTTCTCTGTTTGTTTTGCTTACATGTGTACACACACCACCCAGCACTGATGATTTATTTCAGCCATCACGAGCTTGGATATCAGTTTCATTAAAAGATAAAACTGATTTCCAGGGTGAGAGACAGGAGGTGGGTTACACACAAGACTCTCCATCTTTATCTGTGGCCCCTTGTTTTTTCAATTCGTATTTTTGACTGCAGTAGAGCAAAAGTATCCTCAGAGAAGTAAAAGTTTTTGGGATATTATTTTAAGGCTGGATGTTGAGTCCACGGGGCCTAATAGTTCACATTTCAGTTTGGAATTCCTATTGTAATTGTGCCTTTACAGCATAGGAACTTCAACCTCCAAAATCTATCCCAGTAATAACAGCACCAGCCAAAAATATTCCATTCCTTTGACAATGAAAACTGTGACTTTAAGTGTTAGGTCGAAAGGGGTGGGGGAGATGTCTAGAGACATTTATCAAAGTCTCTAGAGGTCTGTCCTTTAAATAGTTGCTTAAGTCCAGAGCTAGCATGGAGAAAGAAATCCCACAGAGACACAGTTCTTCTAAACAGAAACTTCAGTTACTTTAGAGATTATTATAAGGCCAGATTTTTCTGATCTGATTGTATGCTTTACCTGAATCCACTCAAAGCTGTGGTTTTGAGGGGCATGCTGTTTGCATTTTTACACGGGAGCTTAACCTCAGAGAGACTCCAGGACAGATTGATAACACTGACATTTGGTCAAACTATTCTTAGTTATCACAGCAAACTGTTGCTAAATACATATCCCAGTGAAGCTATCCCAGAGCTTTTGGCTATACTGGGAAGCTAAATTTAAACAACAACAAAATATATATATATATCTCCTTATTACAAAAAGAAGCTTTTTCACTGCTATATCTGTAAGTTTTTAATGCCTTTCTAGAGGTGTGTTTTGCTCCTTCAAGTAGAAAGCTTAGAACTCTGATTTTTTAAAAATAAGCAATGATTGAGAGTAATTAAAAGGTTTGCATAATCACTGTGGTAAAGTTTAAAGCCAACAAATAGTTGATGAGCTAAAGTTAGTCTTGGAGAAAGATAAACTAGTTGTAAACTAAACATGAGTTTGCAGTAGAATAGAAAAGGATGAACTAGAAAAAGAGGAAAAATGTAGAGAAAGGGATAGGATGATATGGAGGTCAGAGAGAGAGAGAACGAGATCTATGAAAAGGAATTGCTGAATTGTGGAGAAAAGACCATATTGTACAGAGTATAATGCACCATATGAAACCAAATAATCTATATCACAATACTCACACCACTTTTTCAAGTATCTACTATGTGCACGGCACATAGATCATTTTTTGAAGAATAGATTTTATCTTTCTGAACAGCTTTCAATTCACTGAAAAATTGATATACGGTACAGAGAGTTCCTATATACTCCATATCTAATTTCCCTTCTTAATATCTTACAGTAGTATGGGACATGGGTTACAATGAACTAATATTGATACATTATTATTAACTAAAGTCTGTAGTTTATTCAGATTTCCTTAGTTTTTAGCCAAAGTTATTTTTTTCTGTTCTTAAATCATTTTTTAAATCTCCTAACTCTAACAATGTACAAATTGCCATCCTCGTTTTTAAAAAACTGAGACTTGGAAATTTTGTTATTTGCCTAAAGCACCACGTAGATGGGTAAAAGATGGCAATTGAAGTGTGAAACATTCTGATTCCAAATCCTATCTTTTTAATATGAGATACTGGCTAGAAATAGTCTAGGATAAAAAGAGCCCTAGAATCCTAACAACATGTCAGGTGTACTTCTTTACCCAGAGTTATTTCTCTCTGAATTGAGAGAGGTCCTCCTTTCTTCCCCTGTACACCCATCAAATATAGTCACTATGGGCAAAGTGGATGCTTAAGTATAACTTCTTAAAGAATATGAAGGAGAGGGATGGGCTTTTAGTGGGTAAATTTAACACTAGACTGTATCAACTTTACTATGTCGTTTAAACTGAAAGGAAAAAGATTTTAGCTCGGAAGAACACTTCCGAAGGAACAGAAGGAGACAGTACCATCATTTGGATAATTTTGGTAATTACTTTGGTTTCACTTTTACTGAGAAAAAGAGCATTCCAACAATCTTCCTAATTAAAGAGGGGACTTTAAACAGACTATCTGAAAAAACATTTTATTATTTACCGATATATTATGTTACATTACTGTGAATTGAAATATAACATGGCGAAATAATTTATGACCAAAACAAAAATCTCCCCACCAGAATGTAACAATGTATGTTTCAGTAGCTCAGAAATGACAGTTTGGAAAGCAGTTCTTTGCTTTTTCTTCTTCTTTTGTCAGAATGGTAAAGTGAATACCTAGAAGTTGGCATGGCAAAGCTATACCATATGTTTCTAAACTATGTAGTAACGGTGATGGGTGGCTACCTTGTGTGAACTAGCTACTTATAGTGAGGGAATGTAAAAGCAGGCACTGTTAGCAATTCATGTAATATTTAGATTGACATGACCATTTTTTAAATGATGTAGGAATTATTCTAATAGTTTAAAATGAGCATTGTGTCTACATACATAGGTATAGTGTACATGTGTGTCTGTGCATGATGGGGGAAAAGGGTAATCCTTAAAACTGTCTATTACACAGCAATTCCTATTTCATTCAAGAGGACAAATGTCTTGTAAGTTCAAGCTACTCATTTCTGTATGATTCAGCTTGTATCTGCCCATGAAATGATGGCTAATGTTGAGTCATAGCCATAGAAATTCTTTCCTTATTCATTTACTTGGGCTTATTTGGGCAAGACTAAAAAGCCATACCTTACATAAAAAGACCTAGTGCTAGCTAACTATATATGTGTGTGAGAGAGAGCGCAAGTATGTGTGTGTTTTGAATCAATAATAAAGTTGTCTACTCAGATATATTTTGAGGCACTTTGGTCTACTCAAAATTCTTAAGGTTTGCTTTGTTAGTGCAATATATGACTTGCAGTCTAAAAAAAAATTCTACCTTTTGAGAGAACAAAGTGACGATTAAACCAATTTTTCTTTAAACAGAATTGTTTCTCTTCATCAGGGGAAGAACTGAATTATTTAAATGGGCTTGTTGGCATTCTCCCCTCCCCATTTTCCTTGGTACATTGGGAAGCCGCTGTTATGCACTGATAGCAGAGACTTTCTGAAGATGCGGAATACCATGAAAGGTTCTTGCCTCATTACACCCCTAGCATAGGCTTATGATTCCCTAAAACTGGACCGAAGAACAAAGGAAATTAAATGTTTCATTCCTGAAGAATTGCACTGAGTAAAATGATAAAAGTCAAATGACTTAGGGATCTTCCCACTGCAAAAGCAAATTTAATAAACAATCGTAAGCTATCATGTTGAAATATAACCAGCATCTGTGATTTGGGGACAGGTGTCTATAAAACTTAAGCTGGAATGATGAGAGTTCTAACCTAGAAATAAGTTCTAAATAACTGACCAGTTACTCATTGCACCAAGCGCTCACCCAGGCTTGATGGCAGAAGAAATTGGTACTTGTGAGATGTGGTTCCTGAACTGGGGGAGCTTCTAGTTTGGAAGATAACATATATGTCAAATAAGCTGAATAAGAAAGTTTTAGTTGTAAGACGCTGATTAGAAGTACTAAAGTGGGGAAGGAAGAAAGAAGAGTGCATGCACACACAGGATTGGATACAGTAGTAGAAAAAAATCTTCATAGAGAAAGTAGACTAGGGTTAGGTCTTTAAAAGTTAATTTCATTTGAGTAAGCATAGGAAAAACAGGTATTGCAGTCTGGAGAAGAACACTAGGTAGCAGAAATGTGGAAAAGAGTCACTGTTAGGCAATGTCAGTCAGATTCTGTTGGTTCTAAGTGACAGAAACCCAGCACAAGTGGCTAAATCAAAAAAGAGGTTGAGTGACTTACTGGTTCATGTAAGTGAAGAGACTGGTACAGAAGTGACTGCAGGAATGGCTGGATCTAGGAGGCTAAATGACTTCCATATCAGAATGAAAAAAGCTAGATGATGAAGGGAAAGGATATACAGATTTAGCTTCCATAATCCAAAAACATAATATCTGAAATGCTCTAAAATCTTTTTGATCATGACATGATGCTCAATAGAAATGCTCATTGAAGCACTTTGGATTTCAGATTTTTGGATTAGGGATGCTCAACCAGTATGACATAAATATTCTAAAATCCTTTAAAAATTCAAAACACTTCTGCTCTCAAGCACTGAGGATAAGGAATACTCAACCTATATTTTGAAACCTGTGTTTTAGCTCAAACCCTGCCACTAATGAACAACTGATTGTAGGCAAGACTCTGGGATAATTTCTAAATCTCTCATGTGGAGATGGGGATGGACAAGCTTTGGATAATTTCTAATGTCCTCTCCAGATATAGGAGTTGATAGTTCTTTCTGGACAATGAGATTACTTTTTACCAAGACTTACAAATTCATTCAAAGTTGTATTTGGTATGTTTTTACATTACAAAATAAGACAGTGTCTTAAAGAATCCAAGATGGTTAGAGATGAAGTTAGATTTCATTAGTCCAGCTCTCTAAATCTTCACATAAGGTGAAATTTCAAAAGGTTATAAGACAGCAGACTACATGAGAGATTGCAAACTGTGGCCTGTGGGCTGAAACTGATCTACGAATGCATTTTGTCCACAAAGCGCTTTTCAAATTGTGAATTAGTTCTCAACATTTAAAACTATCAAAATATTTCACATAAAAAATCTGGATTTCTGGCTTCTCTTACAAGTGGAAGATATGACAACACTGGGCCTGAGTTTTTATGGATTTGCAAAAAGGGATGGAAATAAGACTACCCAACCATCATTTAAATAATAGAATGTTAATCACTTTTAACTAAATTGGTCCAAGATACCCATCCACCATATAAATCTGGATGGTAGGATATAAGCTGTCTGGTTCTTGCCAACACCATCTCCTTTTACAATTGCTTAACAAGTATCACTGATCTGACCCTGGCCCCTGTAAAGCATCCAAGAGAAGGACCTGAAATTTAGAACTGTGTGTTCCCTGTCTTTGGCAACTGCAGTACTTTTCTTGTTTTATAGTTTTTGCCAAATTGGAGGGCCGATGATCAAAATTATTACTTTTTCATTTGTCAGTCTAGGCATGTGATATGATTTCTGTTTTTAACAGATGAGGAAAGGGGGATGAATTCAGCCAATGCATTGAGTCTAGCCCTTGCTATTGATATATTGATGGACAGTGAAGGACAGTGGTTAAGGGTATACACTGTGAAATTAGAATGCCTGGGTTTGCTTTCTTGCTGTACCCTTATCTCGCTCTGTGATCTTAGACAATTAACCTCTCTGAGGCTCAGTTTACTCATGAATGAAATGGGAATTGTAGTGGTACCTTGATCATTGGGTTTTTGTGAAAATTAATTGAGATAATATAGTAAAGCTGTTAAAATAATATCTGGAATGTGTAAGTGCAATACAAGTGTCAGCTCTTGTTATTGCTAAGTTGATATGTGCAGTGTTTTTATCTGAAAGGACTGGGCAAGTTAATATATATGAAGTACTAGCCATCACAAGCCTTATATTCATTATTGCTATTATCATCATGAAACAGTATGGAGGAGTTTGGTGAACTAAAATGCAAGAATACCAGAAGGCAGGTAGTTATCATTAGAGTGTTACCTATAAACCAGATGGGGGTCCAGGCTACAATACATCTCTGTTCTTTCACTTTTGTTGAGACATTTCACTTGTATTTCTTTGAACAAAAAACAGGGACCCATTTGTCTGGCTTCAAAAGCTCACTTTGAACAAAAGTAACATGGATAGAATTCATAGGAGATATTTTAAATGGCTAATGCCAAGCACATGTACATGGGAAGATTTGCCACAAGCTTATCAGAAGACTCAGATAAAGGGGTCTTGGGTCACTCAATTGGTAAATGATGGGATCCTCAGAGTTCCTTATTTTCTTCATAGCCACTATGAGGAAAGGCACTATGCTCGTTATCATTGAATAGGTCACCTGCCTTTTTCAAGTCCTAATATTTTTGTCCTCAATCCAAATAGCTCTTTTAAAAATGTTGGTTTACACTAATGATACTGACTATGATATTGACTATTACCATATTGATTGTTACCATTAAAAATGAACTCATAAAATGCTTTTATGTTTGTGTAGAGAGTAAATTCTAAGCATATATATATATGTTCAAAACTTTATATATCTAGATAGAGTAAGACTCGCATAAGTAGGTAATATGCAATAGCGTACAGAGACTAAGACCTCTAACTCTGTGGACTATCAGTCCCTGGTTCAAATTCCTGGTCAGCTCTGTGACATGTTGACTTTGTGACCCTGGGGACATTATCCATGTCTTTACTTCTTAGTTTCCTGATCTGTAAAATGGGGAAAAATTATTAAGCATTGTAAGAGAAAAAACATGTTAGTTGCTTAAAATCTTTAATATGGGGTACATGGACAAATATTATCAGTAACAGTAAAAATAGTATTCTTGCATTTTAGTTCACCAAACTCCTCCACAGTATTTCAGACTACAATATCTTTGCTCATACTGTTTCTTATTGCAAAATGTCGTCCTCACCTTTCTTCATGCGATTCACTCTTGTTCATCCTTTAATTATTATAACTCAAGTGTTATCTCCTTTAGGAAACCTTACTCAAAGCTTTGTAGTGGGCTAAGTATTGCCATAAGTCCTTAGTCAATCTTTTCTTTTACCTCCTGTAGTTTATATTTAAATTACCCTTTTTACACATGCCTATCACTCACTAGACTGTAAGATTCCCATCTCCCAAAACAGTACCTGACATGTAGTAGGTGTTCAGTAAGTGTTCTACTGTTGAGACTTCACACTGATGCTTTATTTCCTAGAGAGCTTCTAAAGAGAGGAAATAGTCTAAAATACAGTCACCTTTATTACAGAGACGTTGTCTCTATAATTTTTACTTTTATAAAAGCTTCTCAGAGTGAACCAATTACCAAATGGCTTCAAAATAAGTTATGTTACAGAAACATGCTATCTATTACCTTTGACTTTGTTTGTTAATACCAAAAAGTGACAAATTTCTAGATCCATTGTAGAGAAAAGCCTTCTTTATGAATCCCTTGCAATGGGTGAATCCTAGTTGAACTTGAATCACCATAGTGTGTGTTTAAGTGATCAAACATTAAAATCAGCAGAAGCCAAAGAAATAAGTTTTCATATTGGGTGTGCATTTTTTAGTGCATTTCATTTGGGTTAGTGAAAATTAGGCTGTTTAATTTACCATCAGCCACAATGTTGCCAAAGTTGTATCACAGAACCTGTAAGTTCTACATATTTTAGGCATAAATAAATGTGCTCATTTTCTCTACTTTTATTCTCTTACAGGATTTTGGCATTATTTTCTGTTATTTTATTGTAAGCTGCCTAAAGTCCTTTCTGGGTGTAGTTAAGGTATAAATAAATAATAACTACAGAGCTACTGCATATTGGATATGGTAATAAGAATATGCTATGTAGAAAACATCAATAAAAAGTAAAACTGCTTCTTAGATATGGACTTTTCTGATACATTTCACTAGTCAAAGAAAATTATTTTTGCTGTGTTATTCCTTTTATTTTAACAAGTGGGAAAAAGGTTTGAAAATAAATTGAATTATCAAGCCCTCAAGTGTTCCCATCTGCTGTCTGCCATTCTAAAATTGAGAGATATGAAATAAATTGATAATATATTGATGTCTTTTCAACAGCCCATGGGAGGAAAATATTAATTCATCACGTGCTTCTCAGAATTACTTCTGTGCAGTAAAAAAGTTCTGGGATAATTAGAAGTTAACTTTTTTTTTTTTTTTTTTTTTTTTAATCCTTAAGTGTTCCAGGAGCACATGCTAAGTTACAAACCCTAAGGAAGTGGTGATGCTTTTAAAAAGACAATGGGATTTTGGCAAACATGCCAAGTGGTCCAGAGAATCTACTATGCCTCTTAAGAAAGCAAAGGGAAAATACTGAAAATTCCTGCAAATAATTATGCCTTCTGTTGCCCATGTAGAAAAACAGCTTTTTGGTGAGGATGGTAGGCATAGAGTTGTTTAAGCAAATGAGTTGAAGTATATCCTGAACATCTACATTGGCGATTTTTCTGACAAGTATAGCAACTGTTGTCTATAAGGCAGTGTGTCATAACATACTGTGTTCAAAACATTTCTTGGGGGTTCTTCCATATTCAAGTTTTGTTTGTTATACATCATCAGACAATGTTGTTTGAGCCACTTCTATGTATGAGAAACTCACTAGATCCTGTAGAAAAAGTATGTAAAGTCATTTTAGATGGCCTTCCTGATCTCTAGGAACCTAGCAATCTGGTTGAGAAGTTGAGATACACTGACGTAGACTAAGTCAGGATAGTGTGAGTGTCTGAATTGTAAATATTGGTGTTTTCTAGATTTCCATTCTTGGCTCTTGTTATGGGTTTATTATGTTCCCCCCAAATTTATATGTCAAATTCCTAACCCCCACTGCCTCAGAATATGACTTTATTTGGAAGATTAAGATGAGGTCATTAGGGTGGGCTATAATCCATTATGACTGATGTCCTTATAAAATGGGGAAATCTGGACCCAGAGATATGCACACACGGAGAAGGCCACGTGAAAAGGAAGACAGATTGGGGTGATGCTTCTACAAGCAAGGAACACCAAAGATTGTCAGCAAATTACCAGAAACTAGGGGAGAGGCATGGAACAGATTCTTACGCCTCAGAAGGAGCCTACTCTGATGACACCTTGATCATCACCTAGCCTCTGACAATATCTGTTGCTCAAGCTACCCAGTTGGTGATTCTTGGTTATTGCAGTCCTAACAAAGACAGCCCTCTTCTTCTGTCCATACCATCTGTCTCAGCAACTTCATCCCTAATCATGACTTTAGCTACTAACATCTCTACACTTAAAATTTGCAAATCTTTTGTCTCCAGCATAGGCCTCTTGCCAGACTGCCAGACCCATACATTTAGCCATTTGCATCAGTGCTGCTAAAGGTGTGGCCACAGACAGGTGCAGGTCAGTGAATGCTTTGTAAAGAGCTTGGACTAGAATGTAAATCAACTCATTACCTTCTTCTGCTAGGAAAGTCTTCCTATAAAAGTTGTCAGCTGTATTGAGTAGTATGCATAGTGACTAAATTGATGTAATTTCTGGTATAAGCACTTTATCTCAGTGAGGGCCAATAAGAAGTAGTTCACAGATGACACAGGTCTACAGAGCACACTTGGAGGAGCATTGACCTCCATGGCATCTCCTTTCAATGTCCTCACACCATTCAATGATACAATTTTTCTTCTCATCCAGATTCTTTCCCCTTATTTTCTAACTCTGTGAATGGCCACCCAGTGGCGCTACCATATAACTGAGCTGGCCAAGGCACAAATGTGCAACTCATCTTAAAATCTTTTATTGTTCATCCTCACCACCAAAGAATGCATGTGTTTGCAAGTTGTTTGATACCATTGTTTCAAACAATGGCTGAGAATTCTTCTGTAGCTTTCTGTTGCCTGCACAGGATAAAATCGAAACTTACTTCCATGGCGTAAGTAGATCTTTGCTCCCCATCCATGCTTAACTACTTCAGTTTTCCTGCACACACCCTTCACTTCAGCCCATTAAGCCACTTAACATCCCTGTGCTGTCCATTGCTCTTTGTGAGCCTCAGTGTCATTGCACTCCTGCTTGAAAAGCCCTCCCTTGCCTTTCATTACTTTCCTAGGTAGAAGGTAACACTCAGTTATAAAGTATAGGAATAAATAGTTAGCATTCATTGGCCCTTTACCCTGTGTAGTCACTGTTCTATATATTTACAAGCCTTATCTCATTTAATCTTTATAACAACCTTATAAGATAGGTGCTAATCATCCCAATCCTACAGAAGAGGAAACCAAGAGGAAAAGCAGATAAGAAATTTGTCTTAGGTCACAGATATAGCACATGGGTTGGGGCCAAGGCAGTCTGACTCCAGCCTTCACACTTAACCATGTGCTATGTTAACTACATTGAGGCATTCATCACACCTTACTTCAATGTATAACTGTTCTTTTTCTTTCTCCTGACTGCAGAGATCATTTAGTCTCCCCAGGTGTCTGACAGATTGTATGTATATATAATAGGTGTTCAATAAATAGGTGATACATGAGTTCATGATTGTTGGTTCATAACTATTCAGAATAGTAATATATATTCTCTACAATTTGTAGCCTATCCACTGAGATTATCTCATTGCTTCATTAAAACAGCCCTTTGAGTATATGTGAGACGAGTTATAAATTCCTGTTTTGTAACAAGTAAAAGTTAGGTCCAGAGAAGTCCCACTGGTTGGAATGGGCTACAGAGCACCAACCTGGGCCACTTAACTGCAACTAGGGCTTCCTCCCATTGCACTGTCAGACTTGAATTTACAGTAAGAATGGCCTGGGCCATTTTAGACTTTTTAAAAAATTGCTTCATTTTATGTAATCTTTATTTTATTGCAGAATTGTGAAAGTCATAGTGATTCACGCTTTTAGAGGGTCCACCCCACCTCATAAAACATTTAAATGTATGTCACATTTCACATCTACTTGGTTATTGAAAAAACTGGAATGTATGTTTTTCAATCTTGCTTTTGAAGCTATTTGTCTATATAATAAATGACTATGATTTCTCAGGAATCATGGTGCATTCAGAGGAATCCCTGAAAACTTAAACCTTGGCAGGGCACAGTGGCTCACACCTGTAATCCCAGGTCTTTGGGAGGCCGAGGTGAGTAGATCACAAGAGATTGAGACCATCCTGGCCAACGTGGTGAAACCCTGTCTCTACTAAAAATATAAAAATTAGCTGGACATGGTGGTGCGTGCCTGTAACCCCAGCTACTCGGGAAGTTGAGGCAGAAGAATCACTTGAACCCGGGAGGCGGAGGTTGCAGTGAGCCGAGATAGCATCACAGCACCCCAGACTGGCGACAGAGCAAGACTCTGTCTAAAAAAAAAAAAAAAAAAACCACTGTTTTCAATGCTATCAATATTTTTATGAGGACTAAATTTAACAATTAATGGAGTCAATATGTGTTTGGAAGTCACTTAATTGAATATTTAGATTTTTCATGTTTATTCCTACATTTTGAAGACTATATTTAGGATCTTGGATTTTTTTTTTTAGCGCCTTGGAGAGTTCCAAGGCTCCAGTCCCTATGTCTCTCCTGCCTAATGAATGAAATAGCCTTTGGCCAGGCTGGGTGGAAGAAGTGGTATTTGAACTAAGCCTCAAGCTGACTGAGATCAAGTGATAGCAGTGTGATACATTTTGAGAGGAGGGAAGGATACTTTCAACTCTCTTTAGAGATGAGATAATGCAAAGCAAGTTTGAGGACATATGAACAGACAAATATAATTGTATAAGATTCCAGTATTGGATAGAAAATAAGAACAAAGGTTGGTTCATGATGGTAGATGCCCTTCACCAAGGTAAGGGGATTAAGGAGTGGGAGACTTCACACTGTAGGCAATGGAGAACTGCTGAAGAATTCTGAGCAGGACAACGACATGACCATTGTAGCATTTTAAGAAGATTAAGTGAAATGTGTGGAAGCTATGGGGAAAGGAGAGAAAAGAAGAATATAAATGTCTTCACACTGTGAGAAAAGGTCATGAATTAGGCTTGAATGTTTTATCCAGCACAGATCAGTTTTATAATTTTGTGGGGAGATTTGTACAAAAATCTTAGAAAATCAATGCCTATATGTAGAAGTATCTTGAATCAATAGTTCAAAGGCATTTCCCTACAGCAATTGTTGATCTTTGTCTTCATTTTATTAGAGTAACTTTATGTACTTGTCACAATGTGTGGGCTATGAATGTTCATTTTTTTTTACAAATTCTAAAAATGTAAAGCAAGGTGCCTGCCCTTTAAGTTATATTTAATTTCAGTGACCGATATTCTGATATGCCCCTGCAGGTGCAAAAACTCTTCTGCATAACATTGTGAACCACATAATGACACTTGGACAAAGCTCATATGGTTGAACCTAGCATAATTTCAGAAAATGTACATGTGATTCCATCTGGCTTCCAGCTGACCTAAAGGATGCAGATGGAGTTTAATTTAGCCCCAAGAAAGCATAAACCCCACAATAAACCCAGGTTTATGTCAAGCCCATAGAAGGAGAGAGGAGGAGGCATGACTTCTGGTGTTGGTTTGGAATCTGGGGAGAAAACTTTCAGTGTGCCCAAGCACACTAAAATAGAATCTTGGATTTGTCCTTTCTCCAACATGATTTCATCCCCCAAACCAACCTAAATTTGCATAGGCACCCAGAGAATAAGGAACGTTCAAGCTCCCTGCCCTTTCTCACTCCTCCCCAAGTGGAAAGAGTCTTATCTTAGTGGTAAGATTACAGAAAAGTTATTGTATGGACCACATGTAGTGGTTAGAGTTATTTGCATAAATAGGAAGCATAAGATTCCTGATCCTCTGTCTCTTCTTGCACATTCTTTGGTACCATCTTTTCTATCTTTTATGTGTTAATAGAGGTGGTAAGATTTGGATCTGGGCATAGGAGTAGAGAAAGGCTCCAGCCCAGTCTTTGAAAGTTTTAATATAGTGATTTTACAGCTGGCCCTTGACCAACGTGGGTTTGAACTGTGCAAGTCCAAGGATTGAAAATATAATATTAGCAGGATGTGAAACCCACACATAGGGAGGGCTGACTTCCTATGCAGGTTCCACAGGGCCAACGGTGAGACTTGAGCATATGCAGATTTGGAGATTTTAGTGTATGCCAGAACGGGATGGTCCTAGAACCAATCTCCTGCAGATACTGAGGGATGATGGTATTTTCCATTTGTCATCATCATCTGTCATTATAGCTCTCTTAAGAGAATAGGAGATTTTGGTTTACGGTAAGATTCAGATATTCCTGGGTCACCAGGTCATTACATCATCTGAAAGGCTTCAGAACACTACACTGTTTACCAAAGGCTTACAGCCTGCTTCCTGGAGGAGGCTGCATTTGCAGCTGAGGAACAAATAGGATTTGAACCTGGGTAGGAAGGAAAACAGATATGCTAGGGACAGCATGAGCAAAGACAGAAGCCAAGCAAAACTACAGTAAAAAGCATATAAAAGCCACATGATCGGAAAGGTAGCTTAGGATCAGGTAGCGGTAAACACTGAATGTTACTAGACTGTCAGTTGTCCTTTATTTGGTAGGCAGTGGGGAGCCTTTGAAAATGATCTGTACCTCTGAGTAGCTCCAGTGGAAATAACACTAAACCAAGGCAGAGGGCCCATCAAAGATAATGTAGACTTCTGGGTGATTGGCAAATAGAGAGTGATTGGCCTTGACCTTGTCTTGAAGTGATGTGTTTTCCTATAAGGCACTTTGAGGCTTTATTTTCTGAAGAATATTGTCAACACAAACCAATATCTCATTTGCAAAGGACATGATTTGCTCCAGCATTTTTCCATGGCCAGATTAGAAACAACTCCCTATGAGTTTTGACAAAAGCCCCACATAATTTGTCAGCCTTCCTGTTTGCCTGGCAGTGGAGAAAAGAAAAGGATTTCTTTCTACTGTCTTCTTTCCACAGGCAGCCTATGTACTGCTGTTATTATGATTCAGCAGTATAGACCTTCAAAGTAAACAGACACTGGTTAAGATGTGCACTTGTTTCAATTAATCAGAAGCACGTCTCCCCCCGAAGCAGCAGTTCTAGACAATTGTAGATTTGCCATTTAGTCCAAAGAGCTTTTCAGTTTTCTTTCTATGTGGAGAGCCCAAAGCTATCTTTCAGTCAATATTCAATTAGTATTTGAGTCGGAAGGCCATGCTGAGCTCTTAAAGAGGGGCGTAATGTGTCACTTGTTCCCGCCTCCATTTGCTTGTGTGTGGAAAACAATCCATTACTTATCACTAAAGAAATACAAGTCTGCTGCAGCATAAGTTAAATATTAGACCAAATTAATAATATGTGTTTACTTCCTTATGACCTGGCAATAAATAAATTATAGTGTAAGAATCACTGGAAAGGACAAACCAAATTCAACATTATATATATTGTATATGCCCAAATTTAGGGAGATTTGTGATGCAGAACATTTACCCTTTCCCTAATCGCAGCAAGAACTCTGTGCATTTCTGTCTTGTGTACTCATCCAAATGCTTTTATATAAAGCTTTCTCTAATTACTATCCTTTGGCATAGTCTTTTGTTTCCAGCACAATCTACTACTCAATACTATCTTTGTCATTGAGCTATGGTTTCAGAACAATAAAAATTCACTCCTAAGTTTTTTTAAAAATCCAAACATTTTCTATAAATATGATAGCAACAAAGGTATCTAGAATACAGTAATTTTTTTATTTGCAAATTAACCTGCCTATCATAAAGCAGATTTTTAAGGAAAATAGTGATATGAGACATTTACGTTGGATGAGAATTTACACTTGTTTCATAACCTTGAACTCAAGCAACACATATCATTAAAGTAATGTGGATAAACTACAAATTTACGCAGTGTGTTTAATCAGCATGAACAGCCAATTGAAGTTCAAATGAAGCTTTTGATTGTACATTTTAAATATAATATCTACATATCCCATTTTTAGTAGACACAATTGGTTACCTAATTGTTATTCATTCCCCAATTCCAAACAGACTTGTAATTTTTTCAGGTATGAAAAATTATACCCCATTCCCAGCTTTAGAAGTAGATACAGCTGAGTTCAGACCCATCAACACACAGCACTATACTGGAATACAGCTGGCTCACAGGTGCCCAGGTGATCCAAGTTGATCCAATCAGACCAAAGTGGAGGACTTGTATTCCATGCTTAGGGGAGAAGTTTTGGGGCTCCTCTCCTGATGGACTATGGAAGGAAGCATGTATCATAATTGGTACTGGCAGCCATCTTAGAACCATGAGGAGACTCAATTTAGGCTGAAGCCAAGGCTGAATATAGTGAAGTTGCTGAACTATGGAAATAATTTGAGTTCCTGATGACAATAATGGGCCACATACACCATTAAGCCAGATCTGGAGCCCACCTTTCATCTGGACTTCCAATAAAATAGTAAATTTTCTTGTTGTGTAAGTCAATTTGAGCTGTAGTTTTTCTTATTTACAGTAAAAATTTGTTGACCTCCTGCTGTATTTCTCTTTAGAACAGGAATTCTGGGATTTATTAATCTTAACTCTTTATTTTGAATATGTTTAGACAAAAGTGGAAATCATATTTGTAGGAAGCAGCTTCTTATTTCTTCCTAACTCCCTAGATATAATTTAGTTAAAACCAAAAAGCAAAAACTTCATTGTAGATGTAAATCATGTTTTAGCATAAAGTAACTTTTATTATAACTGAAGAGATAAGCAAAATGAATTCATTAAAATATTAAATTTTACAGTTTCTATAAACAAAAATAAACATTTTTATAGAAAAGTATATGGAAATACATAAAATAAAAATTTTAAAAAGTCACCTAATTTTACCACCCAAAGACATCCATTATGCACATAATATATATTTATACATCTGCATGGATATATAGAGGTTAATATTATATATGCTTTTATATAAAAGTAATATTTCTACATATATTGCTTTGCAACCTACTTTTTTGCACAACATTATATATAGGAAATGTTTCCATGTCAGTAAATATGAAAAACCATGTCATTCTTCTAAATGACTTTGTAGCAATCCATTTTATGGATGTAACATTATTTAACTGGTTGTATTGATTTCTCTTTCTTTTTTTACTACTCTATACATTCTGCAGTAAGCATCTTTGTGTACTTACCTTTCTACACTTCTTCAAATATATGTGTCTTTAATATTAAGAATATATAAATTTAAAATGCTGTTACCAATTTCCAAAGCATCTGTAGAAATTTACACTCCCACTAGTGGAGCATGAGTGAGTCTCATTTCCCATGTTAAAACTAGACATTATTTTCTGCTTTGCCAACTCGATGCGTTATTTTTAAAATTCTGTATTTGCATTTCTTTTTTACATATTTATTGTCTCTTTATATTCTTTGTTTCACAAATTCTGTTACCTTCCATCCATTGTTATGCTTATTTGTTTTTAAGAGCTATTTCTATTTTAGTGGTATTAACATTGTCATATTTGTGAAATTTAAGTTTTGTCATTTGTGATGGACCGTTTTTATGTTTGTTATGTTGTTCGACATATTTATGTCTAGCTGAACAGAATTTTTGAATGCAGTAAAATCTATCTACTTTTCCTCTTTATAATTCCTGGGTTTCATGCAATGAAAGACCTTCTCTATCCAAAGATTATAAAACTGCTCATACCTATCTTCTTCTACTACTTATAGTGTTTTTTTTTTTTACCTTTATATTTTTTACTCATTTGAAATTTGTATTGGTGTAATGAATGACGTATGAATGACCTTTCAGTTGACTAGCCAGTTCAATATCATAGATTAAATCTATTTGCTCTCTAGTTGTGTTAAATGCATAATGCAAATGTCAAATGCACTAAATTTTTATTGTATTAATATTATTAATATTTGAATTTATTTTTGAGCTCCTGGTAGAAAGCCATTGATCTAATTTTCTCTTCCTGTACCATAACTATGGTGATTCAATCATTGTAGGTTTATGACAGTTTGGCTACATTGATAAAGTTCCTTTTATTATACTTTTCAGAATATCCATGACTCTTCTTGCATTTTTTTATTCTTTGGAAAAATAATTTTTAATGATTTTATCAGTTTTAAAATAAAAGATTGCTTGGATTTTCACCTAAATTCCATGGTCTCTGTAGATTAACATAAAGAAAGCTGATATCTTTATGACATTGAAACCCCATCCAGGAACTAGGAATATCTCTGCATTGATTCAAAAGGTTTTGATGTGCCTCAATTTATTTTTGTAGTTTTCAACATACATGGCCTATACATTTATTGTTAAATTTATTCCTAAGTAAATTGTAACATTTACTAGTTGATCTTCCTTCACTGACTTCTTGCATTAACCAAAGCTCTCTATTCCCTCTGCAAAACATGGGAGCTCAGGGCTAATGGACTACTCTCTAATACACCTGAGCACTTCTGTCCCTATCAGCTGAGGTATATGCTCACCAAGAATAATTATACTTTCCAAGTGTGTTCCAGCTAGTTTCTGTTTCTGTTGTTACTGAAATTCCATAATTAAATATTATATAACTTAATGACATATTATTGTGAAAACAAAGAATAGTCTTTGTTTATATTAAATAAGTTGATTACTTTGGGAAGATTCAATTCTGTCTAAAAATATATTAAATTGCAGTTGGGCAAAACTACAATAAAATTTTTAGGGAAAAAGTATAAAAATCTAAAGGAGTTTTTTATCATATTGCCCCTTAAGCACCTTAATTTTTTTCTCTTCTTTTAAGAAACAAAAACTGGAAATCATAGCCAGATATGCTGTGTGTTAAGGAGGATATGAAACTTCAATCAGCGAACCCATGCATAAAGGCAAAGTTGAAATCCTATACCCCCAAAATCGGCAAATAATTATAAATTATAAGCAAAACTAGACATTTGACAACTTACGTTTTGTGACTTGCTACTTCAGCTAAATATTTTTAAGTTAACCATAATTTTAAAAAATATTTATTGCTTGGCATTCTAAATAGTTTTAAGCTACTCTTGGTGCTTCCTGATAATCATTTATGGTAAATGAAATTAATAACTTTGCTTGGTTTCTAATATGTTTTTACCTTTTCTTCTAATTCCTTTGGCTAATATTTACTTGTCTATTACTACTAATCATGGCATGATAACATAGTACGTAAACTTTAAAAAATTTAAAATCAGGATAATTTTATTATGGGGTGTTTTAAAAAATAATCAGAACTTACATTTAGTGAAAATCAAGGATGTCTTAAGAGAGAGGAATCCAACTTCCATGCTGAGATATATATTTTGTTTTGAATAGAGCTCATTCTAAATAATCCATTTTAGGCCAAGCACAGTGCCTCATGCCTGTAATCCCAGCACTTTGGGAGGCCGAAGTGGGCAGATTGCCTGAGGTCAGGAGTTCCAGATCAGCCTGGGCAACATGGTGAAATGGTGAAACCCCATCTCTACTAAAAGACAAAAAAAAAAAAAAAAAATTAGCCGGGCATGATGGCACGTGCCTGTAGTCCCAGCTACTGGGGAGGCTGAGGCATGGGAATTGCTTGAACCCAGGAGGTGGAGGTTGTAGTGAGCCAAGATCATGCCACTGTACTCCAGCCTGGGTGACAGTGAGACTCTGTTTCCAAAAATAAATAACACATCTCAGACTAAAATATTTTGTATTGAATACATATTTCCATGTTTGAGTCTTTGAAATAAAAATATATGAAATATAAAGGACAGTCAACTTTTTAAAAAAGTTTAGAAAACTAGCACTCCATCTCTATTTTAATTTTACTCTTTGCCTTTTTAAATAAAGAATTTATCAAGTACAAACAGGAAATATTTTTCAGGCTCAATGTAGATGTTTTACATTGGGAAGAAGATCAGAAAAATAGAACTTCTTGTTACTTACGACTACACAATCCCAGCCAACCAGAAGATAACATGCAATCTTTTGCAACCTAGATTTTTCTCCACCCAGTGATAGTTCTCACCCACATCACATAGGAAAGCAACTATAAAGCCCTTAAGATAGGCATTAGTACTTTCCTCATTGTAATATGGAGATATTCCTTGACAGCAGAGAATACCCAATCCTATAGTCATTTCCCAACATTGTTTTGTCTTTAATAGGAGTGTCTTTCTTCAGAGAAGTGATTTGAAGCTTAAAATTACACTCTTTATATTTGAAACGATAGAGCAAAATTGACTGCACCAAAAAAGATGAATGTTCCTGCCACCAGATACATTGATTGCTTGCCATGACCTTCACAAAGCAAAACTACGAAAGGAATGCATAGAGAGAAAGTTACTTTTTTAACGGGGAGGTTCATAATTTTAGTCTATCAATTCCAACCACACAAATTCTCTCTTAATTTATATAACTTAGCAAGTGTTAAGCTTGTGAGTTGGAGTTGATGGCAAGCAAATAACTTTAAAAACCTTCTGAGGTGACATTTCTGCATTTTAGTTCATTCCAAATATATATTTTTTAATGGCCTTGAAAATGCTCAGATGTAGGGAATGGAGCGGCAGTAGGTTCAGCATGAAATGACACCAACATGAGAGAATTCAATCTTTCTTTTTACTTACTTTGTCATGTATTATTTATTTATTTATTTATTTTAATGTGACAGGCTTACTGTCTGTCGCCCAGGCTGGAGTGCTGTGGAAAGATCACAGGTCACTGGAGCCTCAACCTCCCAGGCTGAAGCGATCCTCCCACCTCAGCCCCCCAAGTAACTGGGAATACAGGCACGCACCACCACACCTGGCTAAGTACTTTTTGTAGAGACAGGGTTTTGCCATGTTGCCCAGGCTGGTCTCAAACTCCTGGGTTCAAGTGATCTGCCTGCCTCAGGCTCCCAAAGGGCTGGGATTATAGGCGTGAGCCACTGGGCCTGGCTGTCATGTATGTTTTAGATGCTTTCTTTTCTTTTCTTTTCTTTTTTTTTTTTTTTTAGTGGAGTTTTGCTCTGGTTGCTCAGGCTGGAGTGCAATGACACGATGCGGGCTCACTGCAACCTCCGCCTCAAAGGTTCAAGTGATTCCCCTGCCTCAGCCTCCCGAGTAGCTGGGATTACAGGCACCTGCCACCATGCCCACCTAATTCTTTGTATTTTTAGTAGAGAGGGGTTTCACCATGTTGGCCAGGCTTGTCTTGAACTCTTGACCTCAGGTGACCCATCCACCTCAGCCTCCCAAAGTGCTGGGATTACAGGTGTGAGCCACCACACCTGGCCCTAGATGGTTTCTCACAAGAATATCACTATATTCTTGACCATAGGCCATAAAGACTGAAAACAATGTGATTAAATATGATAGAACTCATTCTGACTTGACCTGGTAGAATTATATTTTATTTTCTGGAAGTTCTTTCTTTTTCTTTTCTTCTGCTTCCAGAAAGACATGATAAAAGTGGTATTGATCACAGTGACATTTCCTGTTTGTCCTACTGTTCACTTAGGAATTCAGCTCATTTTCTTTGTGCAATATTAATATGTCAAGTGCAAGATAAAGCATTTGAGCCACTGCTTAGATGGGCTTTCTAGGGGCTGTAGCTCATTTACATCTCACTGGAGAATTGGGAAACAGTGCCAGAAAATGTTATTAGTCAAGTATCTTTTAAACATTTTTTAAAATAAAGGAGTAATTGAATATTGGAAATAACAGTAACATATCTCTGATCTGAGTTATTTTATGTTTCTAGTTATTCATTCAATGCTACATAGACATGTAAATAGATAACTCAGATATGAAGTGTTGAGGGAAAAATGTCAGAAGAAAAAAGCAAACAAGGATGGTTCATGGCCTGTAAAACTCCTGGAGGGAGGTGGCTTTTGAACTGAGGCCTGATAATGTTCCTGGAATTTTCAGAAGTGGAAATTATGGATCATCTTCAACAAAGTCATGAAGGTAGAGACAGGTGTCAGGAAATTCAGAGTAAACTGGGGACCACCTGGGCCAGCTTTTTTTTTTTTCTTTTTTTGATAAGTCTCTCTGGTGTGGGTAAGGAGAAAAGATTTTAAAAGGGGACCAAGTAAAGGAGGAACTGTTAACAGTCTCATGATGGGGCCATTATGAATTGAACTTGACACCGGGCAAAGGAAAATGAAAGAAGAGACGGATGCAAAAGTAATCTCAAAGAAAATGCTGATGGGGGAGGAGCCAAGATGGCCGAATAGGAACAGCTCCGGTCTACAGCTCCCAGTGTGAGCGACACAGAAGACGGGTGATTTCTGCATTTCCATCTGAGGAACGCAGTTCCTCACCAGCAACGGAACAAAGCTGGATGGAGAATGATTTTGACGAGCTGAGAGAAGAAGGCTTCAGACGATCAAATTACTCTGAGCTACGGGAGGACATTCAAATCAAAGGCAAAGAAGTTGAAAACTTTGAAAAAAATTTAGAAGAATGTATAACTAGAATAACCAATACAGAGAAGTGCTTAAAGGAGCTGATGGAGCTGAAAACCAAGGCTCGAGAACTACGTGAAGAATGCAGAAGCCTCAGGAGCCGATGCGATCAACTGGAAGAAAGGGTATCAGCAATGGAAGATGAAATGAATGAAATGAAGCGAGAAGGGAAGTTTAGAGAAAAAAGAATAAAAAGAAATGAGCAAAGCCTCCAAGAAATATGGAACTATGTGAAAAGACCAAATCTACGTCTGATTTGTGTACCTGAAAGTGATGCGGAGAATGGAACCAAGTTGGAAAACACTCTGCAGGATGTTATCCAGGAGAACTTCCCCAATCTAGCAAGGCAGGCCAACGTTCAGATTCAGGAAATACAGAGAATGCCACAAAGATACTCCTCGAGAAGAACAACTCCAAGACACATAATTGTCAGATTCACCAAAGTTGAAATGAAGGAAAAAATGTTAAGGGCAGCCAGAGAGAAAGGTCGGGTTACCCTCAAAGGGAAGCCCATCAGACTAACAGCGGATCTCTCGGCAGAAACCCTACAAGCCAGAAGAGAGTGGGGGCCAATATTCAACATTCTTAAAGAAAAGAATTTTCAACCCAGAATTTCATATCCAGCCAAACTAAGCTTCATAAGTGAAGGAGAAATAAAATACTTTACAGACAAGCAAAGGCTGAGAGATTTTGTCACCACAAGGCCTGCCCTAAAAGAGCTCCTGAAGGAAGCGCTAAACATGGAAAGGAACAACCAGTACCAGCCGCTGCAAAATCATGCCAAAATGTAACGACCATCGAGACTAGGAAGAAACTGCATCAACTAACGAGCAAAATCACCAGCTAACATCATAATGACAGGATCAAATTCACACATAACAATATTAACTTTAAATGTAAATGGACTAAATTCTCCAATTAAAAGACACAGACTGGCAAGTTGGATAAAGAGTCAAGACCCATCAATGTGCTGTATTCAGGAAACCCATCTCACGTGCAGAGACACACATAGGCTCAAAATAAAAGGATGGAGGAAGATCTACCAAGCAAATGGAAAACAAAAAAAGGCAGGGGTTGCAATCCTAGTCTCTGATAAAACAGACTTTAAACCAACAAAGATCAAAAGAGACAAAGAAGGCCATTACATAATGGTAAAGGGATCAATTCAACAAGAGGAGCTAACTATCCTAAATATATATGCACCCAATACAGGAGCACCCAGATTCATAAAGCAAGTCCTGAGTGACCTCCAAAGAGACTTAGACTCCCACACATTAATAATGGGAGACTGTAACACCCCACTGTCAACATTAGACAGATCAACGAGACAGAAAGTCAACAAGGATACCCAGGAATTGAACTCAGCTCTGCACCAAGAGGACCTAATAGACATCTACAGAACTCTCCACCCCAAATCAACAGAATATACATTTTTTTCAGCACCACACCACACCTATTCCAAAATTGACCACATAGTTGGAAGTTAAACTCTCCTCAGCAAATGTAAAAGAACAGAAATTATAACAAACTATCTCTCAGACCACAGTGCAATCAAACTAGAACTCAGGATTAAGAATCTCACTCAAAGCCGCTCAACTACATAGAAACTGAACAACCTGCTCCTGAATGACTACTGGGTACATAACGAAATGAAGGCAGAAATAAAGATGTTCTTTGAAACCAACGAGAACAAAGACACAACATACCAGAATCTCTGGGACGCATTCAAAGCAGTGTGTAGAGGGAAATTTATAGCACTAAATGCCCACAAGAGAAAGCAGGAAAGATCCAAAATTGACACCCTAACATCACAATTAAAAGAACTAGAAAAGCAAGAGCAAACACATTCAAAAGCTAGCAGAAGGCAAGAAATAACTAAAATCAGAGCAGAACTGAAGGAAATAGAGACACAAAAAACCCTTCAAAAAATGAATGAATCCAGGAGCTGGTTTTTTGAAAGGATCAACAAAATTGATAGACCGCTAGCAAGACTAATAAAAAAAGAGAGAAGAATCAAATAGACACGATAAAAAATGATAAAGGGGATACCACCACCGATCCCACAGAAATACAAACTACCATCAGAGAATACTACAAACACCTCTACACAAATAAACTAGAAAATCTAGAAGAAATGGATACATTCCTCGACACATACACTCTCCCAAGACTAAACCAGGAAGAAGTTGAATCTCTGAATAGACCAATAACAGGAGCTGAAATTGTGGCAATAATCAATAGTTTACCAACCAAAAAGAGTCCAGGACCAGATGGATTCACAGCCGAATTCTACCAGAGGTACAAGGAGGAACTGGTACCATTCCTTCTGAAACTATTCCAATCAATAGAAAAAGAGGGAATCCTCCCTAACTCATTTTATGAGGCCAGCATCATTCTGATACCAAAGCCGGGCAGAGACACAGCCAAAAAAGAGAATTGTAGACCAATATCCTTGATGAACATTGATGCAAAAATCCTCAATAAAATACTGGCAAACCGAATCCAGCAGCACATCAAAAAGCTTATCCACCATGATCAAGTGGCCTTCATCCCTGGGATGCAAGGCTGGTTCAATATACGCAAATCAATAAATGTAATCCAGCATATAAACACAGCCAAAGACAAAAACCACATGATTATCTCAATAGATGCAGAAAAAGCCTTTGATAAAATTCAACAACCCTTCATGCTAAAAACTCTCAATAAATTAGGTATTGATGGGACGTATTTCAAAATAATAAGAGCTATCTATGACAAACCCACAGCCAATATCATACTGAATGGGCAAAAACTGGAAGCATTCCCTTTGAAAACTGGCACAAGACAGGGATGCCCTCTCTCACCACTCCTATTCAACATAGTGTTGGAAGTTCTGGCCAGGGCAATCAGGCAGGAGAAGGAAATAAAGGGCATTCAATTAGGAAAAGAGGAAGTCAAATTGTCTCTGTTTGCAGACGACATGATTGTTTATCTAGAAAACCCCATTGTCTCAGCCCAAAATCTCCTTAAGCTGATAAGCAACTTCAGCAAAGTCTCAGGATACAAAATCAATGTACAGAAATCACAAGCATTCTTATACACCAACAACAGACAAACAGCCAAATCATGAGTGAACTCCCATTCACAATTGCTTCAAAGAGAATAAAATACCTAGGAATCCAACTTACAAGGGATGTGAAGGACCTCTTCAAGGAGAACTACAAACCACTGCTCAAGGAAATAAAAGAGGATACAAAGAAATGGAAGAACATTCCATGCTCATGGGTAGGAAGAATCAATATCGTGAAAATGGCCATACTGCCCAAGGTAATTTACAGATTCAATGCCATCCCCATCAAGCTACCAATGACTTTCTTCACAGAATTGGAAAAAACTACTTTAAAGTTCATATGGAACCAAAAAAGAGCCCGCATTGCCAAGTCAATCCTAAGCCAAAAGAACAAAGCTGGAGGCATCACACTACCTGACTTCAAACTATACTACAAGGCTACAGTAACCAAAACAGCATGGTACTGGTACCAAAACAGAGATATAGATCAATGGAACAGAACAGAGCCCTCAGAAATAACGCTGCATACCTACAACTATCTGATCTTTGACAAACCTGAGAAAAACAAGCAATGGGGAAAGGATTCCCTATTTAATAAATGGTGCTTGGAAAACTGGCTAGCCATATGTAGAAAGCTGAAACTGGATCCCTTCCTTACACCTTATACAAAAATCAATTCAAGATGGATTAAAGATTTAAACGTTAGACCTAAAACCATAAAAACCCTAGAAGAAAACCTAGGCATTACCATTCAGGACATAGGCGTGGGCAAGGACTTCATGTCCAAAACACCAAAAGCAATGGCAACAAAAGCCAAAATTGACAAATGGGATCTAATTAAACTAAAGAGCTTCTGCACAGCAAAAGAAACTACCATCAGAGTGAACAGGCAACCTACAACATGGGAGAAAATTTTCGCAACTTACTCATCTGACAAAGGGCTAATATCCAGAATCTACAATGAACTCAAACAAATTTACAAGAAAAAAACGAACAACCCCATCAAAAAGTGGGCGAAGGACATGAACAGACACTTCTCTAAAGAAGACATTTATGCAGCCAAAAAACACATGAAAAAATGCTCATCATCACTGGCCATCAGAGAAATGCAAATCAAAACCACTATGAGATATCATCTCACACCAGTTAGAATGGCGATCATTAAAAAGTCAGGAAACAACAGGTGCTGGAGAGGATGTGGAGAAATAGGAACACTTTTACACTGTTGGTGGGACTGTAAACTAGTTCAACCATTGTGGAAGTCAGTGTGGCGATTCCTCAGGGATCTAGAACTAGAAATACCATTTGACCCAGCCATCCCATTACTGGGTATATACCCAAAGGACTATAAATCATGCTGCTATAAAGACACATGCACACGTATGTTTATTGCGGCATTATTCACAATAGCAAAGACTTGGAACCAACCCAAATGTCCAACAATGATAGACTGGATTAAGAAAATGTGGCACATATACACCATGGAATACTATGCAGCCATAAAAAATGATGAGTTCATGTCCTTTGTAGGGACATGGATGAAATTGGAAACCATCATTCTCAGTAAACTATCGCAAGAACAAAAAACCAAACACCGCATATTCTCACTCATAGGTGGGAATTGAACAATGAGATCACATGGACACAGGAAGGGGAATATCACACTCTGGGGACTGTGGTGGGGTGGGGGGAGGGGGGAGGGATAGCATTGGGAGATATACCTAATGCTAGATGACGAGTTAGTGGGTGCAGCGCACCAGCATGGCACATGTATACATATGTAACTAACCTGCACAATGTGCACATGTACCCTAAAACTTAAAGTATAAAAAAAAAAAAGTTAAAAAAAAAAAAAAAAAGAAAATGCTGCTGGGATTTGGTAACTGGAGGTGGCGGGTAAGAACATTTTGGCATGTCAAAAAGCAAAGTTTATTCTCTCAGGTTGATAAGAAAAAAGTCAAAAAATTAACAAAGTCATCAAAACTACTAACGTCCTGTCAAAAGGACTTAGGAGGCTACTAGAAAAGGCTCTCACTGCCCAAAGAAGGCACAGACAGTTTGAGCATTAGTCAGGATAATGACTAAAGTGGTTTAAAACACATCAAATATATTCAAATTCAAATGTTTTTAATACTAACTAAAAGACCCACCTCCAGCCGGGCGAGTGGCTCATGCCTGTAATCCCAGCACTTTGGGAGGCCGAGGCAGGTGGATCACTTGAGGTCAGGAGTTTGAGAATAGCCTGACCAACATGGCGAAACCCTGTCTCTACTAAAAATACAAAAATTTTTAGTAGAGGCGTGGTGGCAGTCACCTGTAATACCAGCTACTCTGGAGGCTGAATCAAAAGAATTGCTCGAACTCTGGAGGTGGAAGTTGTAATGAACCAAGATCGTGCCACTGCACTCCTAGGTGACACAGCAAGACTCCGTCTCAAAAAACAAAAAGCAAAACAAAAAAATACCAAAAAACAAACAAAAAAAGACCCAATCTTTGGTCACTTTTGGAGAATGACAGAAAACCAACATATTTTGCAAATTGATTAATCACGGGAAAGAATCAAGCGTTTATCATGTATTTCCTCATGACTGTACTTCAGACCAACCAGATAAGGAGAAGTTTCTTCTTGTAAGAGCACTTCAAGTAACACATGAAGAAGGAATGATAGAATTGGAATATTACCATTTGCAAGCCCTAAAGAACGAATAGGTCTAGGCAACGATTATAATCAGTGACATCATAAAAAGAGAAATAACTAAACATTATACATTTATACATTACACATGGAAGCACAACACGTTGCTTATGGAGTAGTCTTCCCAGAAAATTGAACCTGAATCTGATCACTTACTGTATTAGTCCGTTCTCACACTGCTATAAATAACTACCTGAGACTGGGTAATTTATTTTTAAAAGAGGCTGAAGTGACTCACAGTTCCACGGGTTGTACAGGAGGCAAGGCTGGGGAGGCTGCAGGAAACTTACAATCATGGTAGAAGGGAGAATGGGAAGCAAAAATGTCTTCACATGGTGGCAGGAGAGAGAGAGAGAGAGAGAGAGAGAGAGCAAAGGGGGAAATGATATACACTTTCAAACGGCCAGATCTTGTGAGAACTCACTATCATGAGAACAGGAAGGGGGAAATCTACCCCCCTAAACCAATCACCTCCCACTAGGTCCCTCCTTCAACATTAGGGATTACAATTCAACATCAGATTTAGGTGGGGACACAGAGTGAAACCATATCACTCATCTAGATATAACTATCAAAGCACAGGAAATACAGGGAGAGAAGCATGCCACATGTCAAATGGGGAAGAAATCAATAAAATCTTGGCTATCGGAAATTGTTCAAAATAAAATACCAGGTTTCTTCAACAATAACAATATCACAGGAAGAGATAGATGATAGTGGGAGGTGGGAGGGGAACAGAAAGATAAATTGATAGATTAAAAGAAATTTAAGGGACATATCAACAAATCACATGCCAAAACCTTCAGGGCAACAGAGAATAAATGGAATTTGGAATTTAATCCAAATCCTCCAAATCCCCTCTATAATTATGATAAAGGCTCTTTCTTCACAACTGCACTTTAGGCCAATATATTGAATACTTGCTGTGGGCCTCATAACTTTATTTATATAATCTTATTTCATCTTCAAAATGACCTAATGAGAGATGTATTATCCCCTTTTTAGAGGTAGTGGAACTGAGACACAGAGTTAAAGTAACTTGTTCAAATCACACATCTGGTAAGTGGTAGATTCTATGTGAAGGGCTCCATTTTTGGCTGTTCAACACCTTAACACTTCTATCTGGGGAAAATCGTGATGATGTGAGCCTTGGGATATGCAGCTCGGTCTTCCAATACAGAAGCTCAAGAAGCCAAGTTCTTGTTCTCTCAGACTCTGACAGAGCCTGAAAATCTGACCTAAAATTGGCCAACCTGACAGATATGTCCTTCTGAGATGAAAAGTGTGGAATAGTTGAAACAAAGGAGCAGGAACCACTTAGAACTTATTCTACCCACAGTGATAGCATCCTGTGTCCAGTGGAGCTAAAGGTAGAGCTAAAAGTACCACCCTGTGATGACGAGTTTCCGTGACAGTTTCTAGTTATAATATGGCTCTTAGCAGCCTAGCTTTGGTTCCTGGCTGCTTTCCAAACCTTTCTGCCTTCTTGAAGACCCTGTGGTCTAGCCAATATTTTTTCAACAAGCTCCTTTTCCTGTTTAATTAACCAGAATTAGTTTCTCTTGTTTGGAACCAAGAACCCTAATTAGCTTAGCCAGAGTTTGACCACAACTTTCTCTGAAAATGGGCCTGTCACTTTGTCTCACCATTAAAAAAGTAGTGACTGCTTTCTCTAGTTTACACATTATACTAAGAATCGATTTTCCCAATCGCATTAGTGTGTTGAATAACCTACTGCACTGAGATCTTTAAGTCTCTAGTTTTGGTCTTCAAATAGTTCACAGGTCATGATAACTATAGACCCCGATACCTACGCTTAAATTTGCATTCAAGCTTAGATTATTTGTTTTTCCTCACCAAGCTTGGATGTTGTGTGTCCTTGGCTTTCACAGGCATTCATGAGGGTTGGGGAGTGGTGGTTTGCTCCTCAGTAAAGTGTAAAAGGAAAGGAAGAAAGAACAGCAGAATGTACATGTGAGTTGATCATGAAAAAATGTGAACTAAGCCATGGGAACAGGCAATTATGTCAAAAAGTAGGTGTGTCAACCTCAGATTTTCCTTTGGTTGTTTATTCCAGCCTGAATTCTTGTTCTCAACCAGATGGTTTTACTGTTTCCCATTTCCCCTTCCCTTAGAGTTTAGTCAAGTCTAAGATTTCTGCTGTTTGTCAGCTCGATGTTGTAAACTAAATGAACTAGTTTGTGCTGATGGGAGATGTTGATGCCGGTAAACTTCACCAGAAGAGCTCTTACCTTACAACTGTGATTTGTCTCTGCTTTTTCCCCCATCCTTTCCTAGACATTGGTGGTAGAGGCTCAACAAAAGACCATTTTTAAACAGCATAACAATAATAATCACTCCTCTAGAGAAAAGCCTATCTTTAGTTCTGGATTATGCAATTTGGATTAAGGTTTCAAATTTTATATACTTGCCAAGGGACTAGATTTTGGGGTAAGGATACCTACAGAGCCTTAGGGTAATGTCTCACTTTAAAGTATTGATCTTTTTACATTTTTAAGCCCTGGTAGTCTTTTAATTGCTTTCTAATGATTCATTTTCCTCTTCTTTTTACTGATTTTTTTTTTTAAGCTGGCAAAACTTCAGTCCTACTCTTGTAGTTGGATATTGCATTGGGACTAGGTTCTGGTCAATGGGATAAAGCAGAAGTATCTGAGTGACTTCCAGGAAATGTCATTTAAGGAAGTGGCCTCTGCCTCCTTCCTCCTTCTAGCTGGCTAGAAAGCAGGACTGACTGGCTGGAGCTTCAGTGGCTGTCTTGTACTATAAGGCAGGAGTTTTGTTTTGAAAATGGAGCAACATAATGGAAGTAACTTGGCACCCAGATGAGGTTGAGTCCAACGTTATGCTGCTTTCCTCCAGCTTTAGTTTTCATGTGTACACACATAGACACACACACACACACACACACACACCCCAACTGCCATCTTGTATATATCACTATTATTTGGGGGTATTTTGTAATTCAGTTATATTTCTATTACAAAAACACACAAGATAATTGTCTTTAACATAGAAATCTCAGATATTTCTGTTTCATAGCCTCGAATCTTCAATATTTAGTAACTTCACTAATAATGCAGAAATACTTGTGGCTTTAGTTATAAACAAAGAATAAGAAAATATCATTAAATCTTGTTTCTGTTTAATATTATTAACCTTCACTGAAATGTTTGAATATTTGCCTACAGTATTTGGAAGATTATTTCATTTTGACTTTAAACTGCATCATTTCTGTCATAGGGAAGATCATTCTTCATAAAATCACCTGTTAATGTTTTCACAGGTCAGGAAAAAAATTGGAAGTTAATTATCCAGTGAAACATACATGAAAAAAAATTATACCAGAGCTTGATAGTGCCACTAAATTTGATAATGAATCATCATTTTTATTTTAAACACATTTGTTATGTGCTTTACAAAATACCATGCTTTCCAGAGACTAGAAAGAAAATGAACTCTCAATTATGTTCAGGGTTAGGTCTGTGAACCTTCAGGGAAAACCTTGGTTACGCAGTACAGATATGTTTGCATAAGTACCATTAATCATATATATCATGAAAATGATTATAAAACTTTTATCATAATTTGAAGCATCATTCAGCATGTCTAGAGAGTGAGATAGGGGCAGTGCATTCTAATCAGAGGGCATGGGTCATAAAGCCCGGATTCTGGCTCTCTATCACCTTGTATTTGACTTTAGGAAAGACAATAAAACTTCCTCTCTGCCTCAATTCTTCTCTCTGCAAATTTCTGCCTTCATGGAATTTTTAAGGGATTCAGCTAAATGAGATGATCAAGGCAATGTGCCTATTATAGTGCAAGGCACATCACTGACATGCAATAAAAACACTTTGATTATCGTTATTGTTAATATGGTGATTAAATGGATAATTGAGGCAATCATGAAGAAAATTAAACACATAGTCTTGCTGTGAAATTGAAAACAAGATTATCTTGATTGGCTGCATATTGGACAGATTACTGAAGAAAATCCTCACTCCATAATGGTTAGGGGTACAGATTCTGGAACTTGACAACCTGAATTCCAATCCTATCCCTACCATTTATCATCTATGTGACTTTGGATGAGTTACTTAACTTCCCTTTACCTCAGTTTCCTCATCTGAAAAACAGGGATGATAGCGCCTACCTCACTGGGTTCTTCTGAAAATTAGATGAGATAATATACGTAAAGCGTTGGCACTGGTAACTGTTGTTAGAGTTCTTGTTCTTGCCAAATGGATACATGAGCACTCTACCCTCTTGACCCATAATGAATGAGGTCCATGTAGATTTGTCTTCTGTATAAAACTTCCCAAATATCTTGGTTTATTTCAAATAGAATTATTTGCTGCTTAGATGTGGTTTCAATAATTTTTAATGTTTAGTTTTAGTTTGAGGATGTATGTGGCTAAATCTACATTCGTGTCTAAGATCCACAAATAGAACTGTCATGGAAACATTTTCAGTATGTGAACAATAGCTTTCACTTGAAGAAAATCTTCTTTTTAACCCTCATTTTTTAGCGAGAGAGAACCATAAGCCAGAGGGAAATAATATATTGACAAATTTGGCAAACAGAATTGTAGTTGGCAGACATAGTTCCAAGGTGCCTTCTTAGGGAGGTACCAGTATTACAAGGGGATGTCATGTGGCCATAGGATTTTCCATCTTATTCCCTCTTGATATGAAATACATATTTTTGAGACAGGTTCTCACTTTGTCACCCAGGCTGAAGTGCAGTGGTGCCATCAGGGCTCGCTGCAGCCTCGACCTCTTCCTGCCTCACCCTCCTGAGCGGCTGGGACTACAGGCACATGCCACCACGCCCAGCTAATTTTTGTATTTTTTTGTAGAGACAAGGTTTTGCCATGTTGCCTAGACTGGTCTTGAACTCCTGGCCTCAAATGATCCACCCACCTTAGCCTCCCAAAGTGCTGGGATTACAGGCATGAGCCATCATGCCCAGCTTTAATATGAAATACTTTGTATTTTGCAGACTCAAGTGCCAAAATAAGTACCTGATAGTAAAGAATTTTTCCCTCTCTAAGGGGAAAATACCCATGCACTGTGTGAATGTGCACATGTCCTCTGCACATATCACTGTGAGGAATATACAGTGAGAATCTGACCTAGTGGACTTCTGTTGTTTGTTTTAGACTAAAGAGTTTTCTTCTCTTACTTACTAGTCAGTAATTTTTCTCTCAACATTTCTAGCTCTGGTTGGTGTCTAACAATGGATTTAGATGAGACTCAGAGGACATATTTGCCAATGATGAGGACTGTTAAAGAATAAAACGTGTTACAGGGAGAAATTTAGGAATCTCTGCCTGGAAATGGGGAATGGAGTAAATGAGGTCCCATTTGCTCTAACAAAAATGGACTTTTAGATGAATGAATACAAGAACTGTCTGATTTTTGGAGGCACCAAGATTATTAGTACGACAAGACAGGATTCCAACTAACTGTTTCTATTGTGATTTCCTAATCGGTATATCACAAGAGATTAGCAGTAATTCAAAAAATTAGATATGCAAACAAGAATCTGTATCATTTGGGACCCAAATGGATTTCTCCAAATAATTTGAATAATTGTCAGTGCTTAATTATGATTTTTGATTATTTCCTATGACACAGTTCTGCTGCTCCAGGATATCAATGGTTTATATTAAAGTCTGAAAACATTTTATAAAAAGTATTACTGCCTCAGCTTTATTATAGCAACCAACTCCAGGGACTCAGGCTTTTGACTAAATTGTTTATTTCCCATCTGTACATATGAAAGTTTGCACAATTTTAAGCCCAAACACACACACTTTTTTATATATACATATATAAAAAAGTATACACATACAAAAATATACACAACATTTTGTCTTCTGGAAAAGAGTCCTCAAAAATAGACATATGTCAGTTCAAAAAACTAAGTTTTCATTTATATGATTGAAAGTATCATGGTGATCTGGTTCTTGTGTTAAACCATGTATTTCAGAGCTATAACTGTCTTCTCATTATTAAACATTGTGTAAATCATTGTTGTAAACTGTCTCATCTCTTTGAATTTAATGCCGTTTAATAGTATGATGTCGGATTTGTATATCTTTCCCAGAAAGAATGTGATGTTTCATAGACAATTTCATTTTATATCCATGCATACTTATGAATTAGAATTGGAAAGTGATTATTATCCCCATTGAAGTAGATGGAAAATTTAAGGGTGAGAGAGGTTAAATAAGAACTTGCGAGGCCCATACTGTAAGCTAATGGCAATAATAATGAAGATAATTAGCTTTTTTGTAGTTTATGAAGCAGTCCATGAACATGATCAAATTTAATCTTTGTTAGAGACATATTCTGGATTCATTCAATATGTCTTACTCAGTTTAATTCAACTCAGTATGTCCCCGACTGAGCTCATCATTCCCTGCCCATCCCCTAAACACACACTTCAGCTCTCCCTCCCAGATGGTGAAATCACCATGCATCTGGTCATCCAAGCTAGAGATCTCAGCAATTCTATTTGAATGTGTCTCCCTCTCATCTCATGTTTAATCAATCACCAAGTCATTCCATGTTTATCTCTTAACTGTTTGATGCATCTGCCTTCCTTCTTGGAATGAACCCTGAGCCATGAATCCAGTTGATGCTTTGGCCCTGGTTCTTGCCGTTTTCCATCCTCTATTTGTCGACTTCACAGATCTCACTCAATTAGTTTCCTTCCCTCCCATCCTGGCCTTCGCCAACCCATTCTTCACACTCTCTGCCAGAGTCATTCCTCTACGTAAACCCTACAGGTGAGTCTTAGCTCCTCACCAAGGCATTCAGGCCCTTCGTGGTCTAGCCTCACCCTACTGCTCACTTCTCACCACTCCTGATCCCATATTCTGAACTCCAGTGACAGGGATCCACTATGGCCCTTCACACTTACAGGGGTGTTTCACGTCTCTTGACCTTTGCATATACTTTCTGCTTGAAAGTCCCTGACCATGGAGTTCAAGACCAGCCTGGCCAAATGGTGAAACCCCGTTTCTACTAAAAATACAAAAAATAGCCAGGCGTGGTGGCTTGCATCTGTAGTCCCAGCTACTCTCCTGAGGCAGGATAATCGCTTAAACCCGGGAGGCAGAGGTTGCAGTGAGCTAAGATGGTGCCACTGCACTCCAACCTGGGTGACCGAGCAAGACTCTGTCTCAAAAAAACAACAACAAAATAGTCCCTGACCATTTCCTCCCCTAGAAATACAACTTAAAGCAAAGCTTTTCTGGACAAATGTTGAAGGTCATCATCCCCACAACTGAATAAGCATCTTCATGTGTATCCCCATAATCCTCTGAATAAATCTGTCATTGGACTTACCAGTTAATTATAATTATCTGTGTTTATTTTACACTTATCTGCCTGACCCAGGCCATGAGTTCCTTCAGGGAAAGAACATTCTCTTATTCACCTTTATCTTTAGAAGGACTGCCCAGAGCCTGGAGCAAAGCAGTGTTCAAATGTATTTGAGCTGGGAGGCATTTCATTTTATATATTGGACATCTGATGCTCAGATTCCTCAAATGATTTGCTCATTAATTTTAGGGCAAGATTTGTCCAGCATCCAGTAATCTGGGACCTAAGCAATTCCTTCTATATTCAAGATTATAATGATTATTAATAAACACTGACTATATCTCAGGTACTTTTCTAAGTGCCTTAGAAATATTAACTCATTTATCATTACAGTCGTATGGAATACGTTTTACTATTTTTTCCAGAGAGGTTACAAACTAACAATTACACAGTTAGAAATTAGCAAAGTCAGGATTTGAATTTGGAATCTGTGTTCTTAACCCTTTTGAAAATCTAGAGAAGTAGAGTTTCTGCCCCAAAACCACACATACCCACATACTGTTTCACACAGTTTTAGGGATTTCACAGATTCCCTAAAAACTGTGTAAGAATCCTTTGAGAACTCCAGCTAAATGACCTCAACGCTAGATTTTCCTACCTCTGTCTTAGAGTTCTTTGACCTTGAGAATATCATATGGCTTATACTCATTCCCTCCTGCCTCCTGACTTTGACTGCTAAAGTTACCTTCTATAAATCAAGTGTTGTCTCTCCATAACACTTTCAATTGTGTAGCCCACCTGTCAAATCAGGAGACATGCATTTCTGACCTATCTCCAAGCCTCATCATGTCATTACCCATTCATTAGTGAGGTCAGTAATATATGCGCCGAATGAAATCAGCCCCTGGGCTGATCTTGGGGGTGCCCCACAAGTAGCCACATCTTTTCCAGTGTGGACACATGTAGAGATCTCAGAATTCACTCCTGATGGCATACTTGAAGAGCGTATGGATGGATTTCTTGCCTGTATCAGAGAATGACATTTGTTTTCCTAAAAGCTAACCCATTCATGTAAAGCCAGTTCCCTCTGTCAGCATGTGCATTTTGAGGGCTGTTTCACTAATGCTTAATTAATCCATCTTTAATCACATTAGAGAAGGAAATTCTATATTTGTTGAGGGCTCATTGTGTGGCAGTACTTGGACTTGCATGCATTATGTCTTATAGTTACAATTTTCCTTCATTTTTACAGAAGAAGAAACAATCAGAATGGGTAAATCTTTTACCCCAAGTCAACTCAGCTAGTAAGTGATGCAACAGAGATTTAAATCTGTATTGACTTACAGTTCATACTCTTTGCTCTATGATAGGATGTGCTGTGACCTTCTAATGTTGATATCTATTGCTTGGCAATATCTTCATATACTGGCACAGGGTCACCAGATAATTCATTGTGAAACATGACATAGGGCAGCACTGTATCAAAACGAAACAGCTGTAGAAAGAGGGGAGGGAGGAACACTGAGTGCCCCAGCCATGAATCAGGGGCCATTCACCATTGCTTCTGGAAGAGGTGCCCAGTCCACGGCTATGCTTTCTCCATCTTTCTTTTTTGGACTGACTTTCGTAGGGCTATTAAGTGCCCTGGCACATTGCTGATGCTGTAGTTCTCTCAACTTAACCCGTCCTGTGAGGTCAGTGGGAGCAAAGGGTGTTCTCCATGCGGGTTGGGGAACTGAGCAGTGTAAGATGAAAGAGCCCTAACTTTGCAGTCAGATAGGAGCTTTCATCACAGCTCAGTCACATACAAGCTGTGCGATTTTGGGGAAGTTACTTGACTTCACTGAGCTTCAGTTTCCTTATGTAAGATGGGAATACAAACATCACCTTAACAAAAGTTAGTGTAAGGATTAAGTGTATGTTAATTCCTTGGCACATAGAATGTGATAGAAGTTATCAATATTAACATATTTATTAACGTATTATTACTATTATTACCTGCAAGAGGAGCTTTAATGTCTTTCAGTTACTAAGAAAAGGTGTAAAGCCTCTCCCTTCATTGGGAAGAGTTACCTACAAAAATATTGAATAAATTCAGGCTGAGCAAGCAAGGCATCTATATTGGTAGAAAGATGGGCTGAGGGAGCTATATTCCAGAAAACTTAATTACTATAGACATCCTGGCAGAGAGGAATGTGTTCCTGATTCTTTCTTTTATCAAAAGAAGATTCCAGTCACTTTTCTGATGACAACGGGGGGTGGGCGAAAGGAAAGTTCCAGGATTGGTCTCAAAGCCCAATCTTATTGGTTTAAAATTCTTCAGAAGCTTCTCCACAGCCTTCAGGATGAAGCTTCACCTCCCAGGCATGGTACAGTGTACTTTAAAAATAACCTGTATCTACCTTCTCCAGCTTAGCTTCCAAAGACACCTTTTACTACAGCCCCATTGATTAACCTGTGGCTCAAGAGATGCACATGCTTTCTCACCTTTATGCTTTTGTAGAGACACACACACACGGGTTAACTTCAACTCAACCTTGAAAATTTCCATCTCACATTACCTCCTTAGGGGCACTTTTCCCTTAACTTGCATCCTGGCTGGCCAAGGAGCCTTCCTTTTGTGGTCCTTTTGCATCTAGTGCGTATTTTTCTCCCTGTCTTATTTTTATTGCCTGGTCCTCACCAGACCAAGTGCTATTGGAGGACAGGGACACTGTCTTGGTTGCCTCTTTTTCTGGCTTAGAATAGAAGGAAGGCAGAAATGGTTCCAGGAATATTTTAGCTTAGGTTTTTGTTTATTTGGGTCTGGATTAGTTTGATAATTTAAAAAGTTCCCTGAGAACAAGAGAGATGCCTTATTTCTCTTCAAAGTTCATATTAGACCAGTGAGTCTCAACCTTAGCTGCATGTCGGATTCACTCAGGGGCTCTAAAAGCCCAGGCATCAGTAAGGGTTAACATTTTTCCCAAGTGATTTCAACATGCACATCCAAGGTTAGGAAACACTGGATTAACCAGAGGGTGCTCAACAAAACTAGTGATTCAGTCATTTGATCAATACATCTCACTTGGGCAATATGCCTAAACACATGCAGTTGTAGATAAATAAGGGAAGGAGAAGCTTGAAGAGAAAAAGAGAAGGGAGCTGCATTAGCTTTAGATGAAGTCATCTAATGTGTTTGACTCCCCCAGTAACAAAAATATTTTTCAAAAATAATTTAATGTAAACAGTTTCAGTTTCTGTTTTCTCTTTCAATTCTGCTGGGCATTGTCAAGTCTGGGCTCAGAATAGGGAAGCTGTGTTTCCCTGAAATGTTGTGAGTATATCTTAAGAAACATCACAGTATACAGGAGAATGTCTGACACTTTTTCCTGGCAATACTACGCAGCTCAATTTTTGCCCCTTCTGTGATTTGCCACGTCCCCTCTTTGAGGTTCATGTAGCTGCTCTCTCTCTCATAATAAGACAGCCAGTACTGGCCTGCATAATTCATGATTACAAGGTGTATACACATGATGATAAAGGGAACTGATGTTTAATTTACAAGGCCCCATGTTTTCTCATAAAAGAGCTAAGCACACCCAATCACAGGCTCAATTATGAAAAATAACAAGAATGTGTTTGAGTATCATTTTGCAGACACATCGTGAAAGAGAATTGAATTTGAAGATTATATGAATACCTGGATGAAAATAGGTTTTTTGATAATTTGACTGAAGTGTGGCACTTTACAAGAATTTTCTAGATTTAACCCACCAATCTCCCTGTTGTTCCCTGATTGTTTTAATTTGCTGCAAGGTAGCCTGCAATATCAGTTCTTTATTTTTTATTTTGAGATACTACTTAATGGGAAAAGGTAATTTTATCTTATACATCTTCATTTATTTGCATGAAACTAAAAAAAGTGATCTAATTTACATTTTTCCAATTCAAAAGCTATTACTGGGACAGTTTCTTCATAAAGTGAATTTATATTTTGCAAAGATTTAGAAAATTTTCCATTTAAATTATATTAAAGTCTGTTTTCTTATACTTCATATTCCAAACAATGAATCTGCTCCTTTAAATATTATCCCATCTTCCAAACCCATGGAAAATGGAAGTAAAATTCCATATTTGAACTCTGATAACAGGCCAGATTATGATACTACTCAATGTTACCAGTGCATATTTGTGTAAGAATTGTAATTGGGAGAACATTACAGTTTCTTGCCTTAGTTTTCCCAAAAGCCAAGTAAGTCCTTTACTGTAGCATTAGATCATCCTCTTCACTTGGCTGGACCTAGAATTAAATACAATTTTGATGCCTCCAGGGAAAGCAGACAGAAAGGAGGAGCAAATAAAATTTGATAATGATAATAATACTTATACTACTGAATACTTGGTGAGCCTGGACTAGGTCCATCATATGTTAGCAGACATATGTAGGAATATTGTATCTAAGCCTCACAGGAACTCTCTACAGTAATAGTATGACCTTGATGTTTCTGATGAGGAAGGATAAGGTGTGGAGAGAGTAAGTGACTTACCCATGGTTCAGCTGGTTAGGGTAAGGCTCTGTCTAACAAACGTCTAAATCCAAAGTTGATGTCCTTACCACTACGTTCTTGCCTCAGTTTATCACTGATGAAGTGCTAGTACCCACTTGATTTACAGGAACTCAGAGGACCAAGGGTCTAGTTCTAATTTTCTATAAGCAGTGAGGAGTTCCCCATCTAGTTGGAAATGAAGGTCAGTCATTCTAGGGATGGTAGATGGGGCCAGTTGAAAGCCACCAGCTTGTCCCACTTATGGAAATGTAAGCTTGGAGGTGCCCCAAAGCAGGTGCTTCCAGGCCTGAAGTAGGGTATTATCCTCAACTGGCATGTCTAGAAGAGCACCTCTTCATGTTGTATGGGGTCTGAACAGCACCCCACCTTTACTTCACTGAGGAGTTCTCAAAGGTCCACATTTGTTGAAAACATGACTTTTACTGATACGCATGATTTTCTTTTTCTTACAAAGACCCATGACAGAGAACTTACAAAATACAAATGTGCAAAACAGCAAAAATATGAATCATTATAATCACATCAGGAAGAGATCATTTGGTGCACATGTTTCTAGTGCCCCTTTTTCTGTGTGTTATAAATGCACATGTATGTGTACCTATTTTGAAAAATGAGATTGTACTATACACATGGTTTATAATTTGATTTTTCCCAATTAGTATTTTTTAGTAACCAGAGTAGTTTTCTCAAAAACAATCTTGTACAGAACCCCAGCAGATAAACAGATAAAGATGGAGACACTCTGTTTTGGGGCAAGGGGTGTGGAGGGAGAGCAGTGAGCCCAGGTTCAGCACCAGCTTCTCTGTCTCCCTCATGCCCCCTAATGGAGGATTTGAAAGCACTGCAGTATTTTGCAGAAACCCAGTTTGAAAACTCTTGTTCTTTAATATCAGTTAAGATCCCATTCTATATTATACCAGTGTAAACCCCAGAACATTGATAATGAATGTCTCCTCCAGGATAAAAATAGTATTAAAAGGTACCAGTAGCCATAAGAGTTGAAACTATCATTTGTTAAAAATCTAAGAATAAGCTGGCCGTGCCTCAGCTTCATCCTCCTCCCTCCTCAGCCTCCCAAAGTGGCTTCCACCTGTAATCCTAGCACTTTGGGAGGCTGAGGCAGGAGGATTGCTTGAGGCCAGGAATTCAAGACCAGCCTGGGCAACATAGTCAGACCTCATCTCTATTACAATTTTTTTAAAAAATAAGTTAGCCAGGCATGGTGCTGTGTGCTGTTGTCCCAACTATTCAAGAGGCTAAGGTTGGAGGATCCTGGGGAGGTTGAGGCTGCAGTAAGCTATGATCATGCCACTGTAATCCAGCCCGGGCAATAGAGCAAAATCTTGTCTCAAATCAATCAATCAAAGAATAGTAGAAAAGTATGTGCCATATAGTCTCCCAGTCTAGAAAAGTGGACTGGACTTTCTCTAAAGCCAGTCATTAAAAGAGAACTGGGGCCAAAAAGAAGGCACCGTGTGGCTTTCTTACCCTTTCCTAATTTCAGACATACAACTGTGTTTAAAACATTCCATACCTAGAGGAGGCAATTCCTCCAAAAATGAACAAGAAGTTGTTGGTTGTTGTTGTTTTCTAAAGGAGTGGAGGGGTTCTTCATTCCATCCAAGCGGAGCCAAATCTGTAGCCAGCATGAAGCAGATGGCCCCCTTCTTCTCTGCCTTTTAGTTTTATGACTGCGAGATTGGGAGATTTTTCAGCAGTTGCAATAGTTGGCTTCATCCATCACGTGAGGCAACGCCTCAGCGGCAGCAGCTTGTGTTCTTACATTTAGGATCTATAGATATGGACTAAGCAAAGCTTTGTGTTTTCACATCAGAAGCTGATGATGAGCAATGTGAGGAGAGGCAGCGTTAAATAGATTCTTCTCTGCTCTCCGTTTCTTAGTCCTACTGGTAACAAGTGTGCATCAAGCTGAAATTTATGGTGCTAGGTGAAAACTCTGCTCCACAGGTCAAATGTATTCTCTACAATTTCCTCTGGTGGAATGAAACTACCTTCCTGGTCACGTTTTATGCTGTCTAATGCAGTGGTAGTGTCTTTATCTCACAAATGTTCCCTAAGATCTAGGCATAAGATTTCTGGATTCTACTTTAACTTTGACATTATTATTCTGTGTGGCCTTGGGGCAAGCCCTTTAAGCTCTCTATTCCTCTGAGATCATAATGCCACTTTATCCCTTAAAGCTTAACATAAACACTTCTCAAAGAGATTTGCATGGATTGGTGGCTCTCAACCTTAACTGTACAATAGGATCACCTGGAGTATTTTTAAAACTAGTAGTACCAAGCCCCAGTGATTCTAAAATGCAGCCAAGATTTAGAAACACCAGCCCTGACAAACCCATTCAGAATTACTCTCACCCTCCTGTGTTGGTTCTGTTTTTCTTGTATAACTCTTAACCCAATAGGTCTCAGTTTGTTATTTCCATGCATGCTTACCTATCAACAATGAAATGTAAGCTTCTTAAGGAAAGAGACAGATACATAATTTATCTTTGTCTGCTTAGCATCTTGACCAGAGGGAAGCTGGGTTCAAAAATTAGCTTTGATACTTGTTAGCCAAGAGATCTTGGTCAAGACTCTTAACTAGTCTGTATCCCTGTTTTCTCACCTGTTCCAAATGAGCAAGAATTCAAATACATTGCGTGGTGTGGTACTACGGTTTAATACAAAGATTTAGTTAGGCTTATAGCACTGTGTAAGTGGTCAATTCAGATCAGCTGTGCAAGTTTTGCTGAATTTACTGCTTTTTATGTAGTGATTTTTCCTTTGTTGGATCACTCATTTATTCAGCAAATATTTTTTAGCACTTCCTACTATAGTTTTAGGTATGTAGGATACTGTAGAGAATATACTGATGGAATTTACATTCTAAAATGCTACATCTGTGACTCTATTTAATTTTTACAAATACCTGTGTTTCGTTATACTGAATCAAATGAGATCCTGAAGGTTAAAAAGAGATTGAGTGATTTAGCCAAGACCTCGCAGTAATTTGGTAATGGAACCATGCCAGCAGTCCAGGTTTTAGTGCTCATTCCAGAGGACAAACCCATCATCCTGATTCCCTAATCAGTGACTGTGACAATGGAACTGTTGTTACAGAAGCAGCCTCATGCAGGGGATAAAAGCACGGTTTCTGAAGTTGGTCTGCC
This sequence comes from Homo sapiens, assembly GCF_000001405.40. Lineage (NCBI taxonomy): Eukaryota > Metazoa > Chordata > Mammalia > Primates > Hominidae > Homo > Homo sapiens. The sequence goes on along the minus strand of NC_000003.12, from coordinate 62,831,350 downwards.
TAGATATGATAGTGTCTCTGCCAGTTATTAGCTGTATGACTTTGGAAAAGTTATTTCACCTCTCTCTATTAGTTTCCTCATCTGGAAAATGAAGATAATGTTTACTTCGAAGAGTTTTCATGAGATTAAGTATATGTAAAGTGTTGCACAGCAACTGGCATACAGCACACAAGAGATGTTAGCTATTATAATACTTATCTATGGTTAGAAGTGAGTAGTCTGTTTTAAGACTTCCCAGGACTTTAAAGAGGTCCATGCACTCCTCCCCTTAAAGTGGTGGTGATTTATTATCAAGCAAATTTCCTGGGTTATAATCTTTGAAATGTACATATTTGTCTATAACTCTATGTCTAGGAAATGGAATAATTTTGACATTTGTGAGTATGATGGAATAAATCCTCCCCAGCAGATTGGAATTGTTCCATGGCTGACAGTTGGCAAAGTCCACAATTTGCATGAGGATATGTGAGGATGTTACATATCCACTTGTAAAAAGACTGACTGGATAATAGAAATATCCTATAGTGTCTGTAGCCCAGAATTTGATGAGAAGGTAAGAATAATCTAATCAAGTCTCCACAAAACGTATCAGGTCTTAGAAATGTCTGGGCCCAGCACACCCCATCAGTCAGTGTGACAGTTTTAACATCATTGAAAAGGCCGTGTATTGAAAGATTTCTTAAGTCAGGTCTGTACAGCTAGCTATAAAGCTCCAATTTTCTGTAGGGAGACTTTGTTTATGACTGAGTGGCATTGTGGGGTTTCTAATTACTTTAGCTTCTAGCACCTGTAGCCATTATCCCCTCAACTTGCTTTTCTTGTATTTATTCTTCTAGAGAAAAACAAGGAGAACAAAGACACAGCACAAGTATTTTCAGCATTTTTCTCACCTGGTGTACCAATTTGGCTGATAAGTATATCCAAGAGGGAAAAAGATTGTCAGCAGCTGATTGCTATTAAAGTGGACTAGGAGAAAGCTTTTAACTCAGATGGGGGTAAATTTTCTCTTTAATGTTGAAGAAGATCCTGATTTGTAAAAATGTCAAAACCCGGAAAAGCAACTTTGATTACTTGCTTTGCTGTGGGCTAGGGGAGGGGGAGAATTATTTTCAAAGATGAGCACTAGTTGGATCTTTCAACAGATTTCAAAGGTGAAGATCCACTAGGCGCCAGACCTCCATCTAAGACATATATTACCTGAAGATGCTTGTGTTCTCCTGTAATGGAACAATTTCAAAATGAGGTGATAGGAGTCTTCATAGAGCTAAGCACAGGATGGCATGGGCAGTGGGGGTGGAAACCAATCACCCACTGAGCCACCCACCTAACTACCCACCCACTTACCCACATGGTGGTGGTAGACAGAAGACAGGGAAGAAATCTCAGCAGAAGAGATGCCCCTGTTTATTGACAACAAGTTGGCTGTTGGTCAGGGATAGGTCCTGAATGTTACAGTCAAGTAGGAGGTGGAAATGCAGCATATCCTCTGACTTCTCTTGTCTCCATTTTGCATTCTTCTCAGTAGTTCCTTCTCAGTAGGAACTATTTTTTGGCTCTGTATCAAAGTGATGGCTGTCAGAAATGAGTATTCATTAACATTGAATATAAAGCCAGAGAGCCAATAATAGCCCAACAAAAGCTTGACCTGTTTATTATTTTTGGCCCAGAACCCAGAGAGTGTCTAGTAAATGGTAGATCATTGGTGGGTAGGGTGAATGCTGCACTTTGATACTACACCTGGAAGAGTGTCTAGTAAATGGTAGGAACCATGAATAGGTAGACAAATGCTGTGCGTTGAGCTTTATCAGGATGTTTTTACCTTTATTCATACAATATTCACTATAACCTGTGACATAGATGAAATTATAGTCATCTCTTGGTATCCATGGAGGATATAGCTTCCAGGACCCTCCGCAGATACTAAAATCTATAAATGCTCAAGTCTCTTATATAAAATGGCATAGTATTTGCATGTATCCTACACATAGCCTCTCATATAATTTAAATTATTTCTAGATTACTTATAATACCTAATACAGTGTCAATGCTATATAAATAGTTGTTACACTCTATTTTTAAATTTTGTATTTTTGATTGTTATGTTTTATTTTTAAAAATATTTTTGATCCATGGTTGGTTGAATCTGCAAATGCAGATTCCACCAATACAAAGGCCCAACTCCATGAGCCTCATTTTTTATGCTGGGAAACCAAGGTGTCAGAAGGTGAAAAGCTGGCATGCTTTTAAACCATTAGTCATCAGGTCCCTAAGATGTTGATATGCCACCATTTTTATTAATCCTGAAACTTCTTTTCTTGGATAATTAGCCCTAGACTAAGCATGTCCACAGGCCATCAAATTCAGTACAGGGACTACCCATGTAAGGTAAGAGTAAGGTACACTGAATGTAACACAGTTGGAAGTGGTATGAAATGGAGTGTGCTTATGTCCACTAAAGAAAACCAAAATCAAATTATTAAAGAGAAAACACAGGTAGGCCAAAGTAAGCATCCCATTTATTGGTAGAATTGGGTCCATAAGCAGTCAATTTGCAACTTCATAAGCAAAATTGAAATTTAAAATAAGTCCTAAGCAGAATAAGTCGAAGATAATTTTTTTAAATCTGCTGGTATATATTTACATGTTATTAAAAGCATATTTAAATAAGTATGCTTTTTTTAAATAAGTATGCTTTTGATAACATCAAATTTGGCCCTCAACTGTGAATATATAATTAAATAGAATATTAAAATGTTCTGATGTGCAAGATAAACCTAGGCATAACCCTTGTGTTATACAAGGCTCTTCTGTGTTTGTTTGCCCTTTGGTGCAGATTCTGGTAACATGTTTTTTTCTTTTTCAAGCCGTTATGGCAAAAGCTATTATCTCAGTTACTAATTGGCCATTTGCCCAGTTCCTTGTCAGTAGTTCCACGTTTTTGCCCAATTACTTTAAAAGAATTTCTCTGATGATTGAAACAATGGGAACAGTTTTGTGAAGACCACCCCAACCCTGGTTAGGCTACTGCACATTTGATAGCTTAAAATAGTGCCATGGTGGGAAGAGTGCTGGAATTGCCATCTGGAGCCCTGGCTCCACGACTTAGAAGAAGCGTGACACCCAAACCCTCTTACCTGCACCATGTGTCAGTAGATCTCCATGGGGAATGGAGGGTTTAACTCCCAGAGGGCACAATTATTAAAAATGTTGAATGACCATGACTGGGCAGAGCTCTTGGCATTTAATGGTTGGGAACCCACCATTGCTACCGACCCCACAAGGCATAGGACAGTCCCACACAATGAAGCAGTGTCCTGGCCAAAATACAGAAGTTCTCTTTCTGAGACACAGTGCTGTAGGCAATTTATTTGCCTTCTGTGAACCACATTTTCCTTATTTGTAAAATGTTCTACTGAGTTTATAGGATCATGATGAAGATCAAATGATATATGTGAAAGTGCTTTGTAAGCCCTAAAACACTGTATGCATGGGAGGTATTACAATGATTACACTAAGTGGCAAAGAGAGACAAAGCTCTTTACAACAAATTGTGAACTGTACAGATCTGTAATCTCCCTCTTTTAAAAAAAATATGGCTTAATCTGGACCATCTGTAACAAGATGGTTGTTTTGATTCATTAAGGGCTTCTGGTTCTCCCAACTCTGGAAACCCCTCAGTGTATGTGATTGTATATCAAAGCTATTTGAAAGATCAGTTTCCTGATTATTCATAGAGTCTTAGAAATCTAGGCTTGGAAAATCTGCAGAACATACACAGCATAACTGCTAGGAGTATGAATTTAGAGACCAAAGGCATCTCATTTGAAACCTGACTTCACCCCTTCCTTACTGGCTTTGGGACCCTGGGCAAATTAATTAACTTTTCAAATCCTCAGTTATCTATGAAATGGGTATTAAAGTATGTGCCTCATGGGGGTTATAAGGGTTAAATGATAGTCTTTGGCATAGTGAGTGTTCTCAATGAAAATACACTTTCATCTTGTTCATCCCCCATAAGGTATTAGGTGTCCCCCAGTATCCAACCATCTTTACAACTTTTGCTTGAAAAGTGGCCATCCTGACTTGTTTTTCACACTTCACTACCAATGGAAACATCCCATTTTCAGACTTCTTGGAAAGATCTAGTTAGGGATTATATTGTATTTCCAGCTATGGGATAGATTTCTTTACACACCTGGGTGGGGGGAATCAAGAAATAGCACCCCCACACCCTCTGCAGTACATTGTCTGATCTTGTCTGCAATCAAATTATCTACTGGGATGTGGTGTTTCATATCAAGCCTTCCATCAAAACCATTAACAGGCAGTTAACAGTTGATGTGAAATTCTTGGCTCCCAGCAGCAGCTTAGGTGTATTTTTAAATATTCCGTCTGGCAGCTCAGAAGGGGAAAAAAAGCTAAAAAGGCAGCAACCAGCAGATTTTCTTCCAACAAAGATCTTTTCCCCACAACCTGTCCACCCCTTTCAAGGAAGGAATAGGTTAGAGATGCTGCACCTAAATAGCAGAGTGACCATGTTACCTAGCAACCAAACCTAAGGATGGGTGCTAGACCTGCCCACTAATTACCAGAGCAAGGAGACCCTCCCTCAGAGTGTCACTTAAACTGTAAGAGCGTTATGTTCCAGTGACTTCCATGAAAGGTTAAGAATGATGTGAAAGCCCCCTGTGTCATGAGTTTCCTTTCAGTTGCTCAGGAGCTATGGAGACTTGAAGACCCATCAAGGATGATATTTAAAGATATGAAATAGCAAGGTTACAAGTTACTTTTCCCAGACCACTTTCTGCCCTTCTTACCATCACACCAACTTCTAAAAAACCTTTTATTTTGAAATAAATGTACATTTACATACAGTTGTAAGACATAAGACAGAGATCCTATATCCCCTTTCCCCATTTTTCCCCAACAATAACATGTTGCATAGCTATCATACAATATCACAACCAGGAAATGGACATTGATACAGTCCATCAACCTGATTCAGAGTGTGCCAGTTTTATGTGTAGCATGACACCAATTTTCAGGAAAACATAATCTCCTGATCTCTACTGAAACAAACCCCTCTCCTAACTTCTAGGAGGATCTCCTTTCTCTTTTTGATAAGTCTGATCAACTGAATAGATGACCAAAGCAAAAGTCCTTATGTCTCAGAAATTCTCAATAGTTCCACAAGAAACTGACTGTCATCTGCCTCCACTGCATCTTCTACCACCTGCCTCAGAATTCTTGGGATAAGGCAAAAGCTATGTCCCAAGGTCACATTAGGATTTAGGATCAGGCACAGCAGCCCATTTTTCAGTTATTTATAAGTCCATGGCCTGTGCATAGAAAGACTGGCAAAGTCTACATTCTTTGAGGTCAAGGAATTTGAAGATCTTATTGTCACCCTCGCTTCTCCCCTGATGCCTTAAGTGCTGCGAAAATCTCCCAGCTCAAGTGTGTGATTCCGTGTCTCAGAATGAATGATGGCTGAGGGTAGGAGAGAAAGCTTGACTTGGAGGTGTAGTCAGAGGAAGGACTATTGTACCTCCATGCATAGGAAGCTGCTTTGCTTTCGGACAAGGCTATGAAGAGCTGTTTTCAAAGTTTAAAGTTATTTTCTATGGCCAGCAGTGATGATATGAAAGGTTGCATGGAAAAGGGCTTAAGGCTAGAAGCCGGAACAATTGGAGTTTAAATCTCAGCCCCATTATTTACCATCTATGTGACAAATGGCCTTACCTTTTGAGCCTCACTTTCCTCACCAACAAGGGATTGGAGATGGAGATAACAGTGCCTACTCCATAAGGTATTCTGAGGTTTACCTGATAGAAGACGGTGGTTTTCAAACTTGAGCATGCATTGGAATTACCTGGGGGGCTTGCTGTACCTCCACGCCCGGAGTTTCAGAGTTAGTAGGTCTGATGTAAGGCCTGATCATTTGCCTTTCTGACAAGCTCCCAGGTGCTGCATTGTAGCTGCTGGTTTGCATACCACACTTTGAGAGCCTTTGGGATCCCGTTTATGATTACACTTTGGGAACCCCTAAAATAAGGACATTAAGTGCCTAATAACATATCTGACTTTGGGTATTCACCCAAGGGAAGCTAGTTCCCCTCCAAGCTAATAAGGAAAAGGTGCCCCTCCCACCCATAAAATAAACTGAGTTCTCTGACTTTCTAGAAACTGACGGAACTTCCTGGTTGACAGAAAGCCATGTCTAAACAAGCAATGTAGAACAAAAGGCTGTGAAATTATCAAGCATATATGACAAGTGTCCATAGCCAATTTTCTTATTTCCCAGTATGACAGTGATTTTCTTTTACAAAATAAAGCAAATTTAGGGTTAGGGGCTTTGTCCTGGATATACGTGCCTGTGTATGTGTGTGTTGGTATGTAAAGCTGACTTCATCTCTGACACGTAATATTTTAACCAAGCAGAAATGTAATACACAGTTTTGTAGCATGTGTATGTGGGAGAGAATGTGGGAGAAGGAAGCTTGGGAAAACAAGCGTTCTTAGAAGAACTGCAAAGAACCTCTCATTAGAGAGGCAAATTAAAATATTTCAGTCCCTGGGCTATTCTTTTTAAATACACCAAATTACACAGCAGTTCGTAATGGAAGAATAAACTGCAGACTTTATAGAATTACCTTTTTTTTAAAAAGTGGTGATATGCTTCACTTGTGCTGTGAGCAATATAAAGAAAATTACTCAAAATATTTTCTTTACCACTGTGGATTTTTGTTTGTTTGTTTTGTTTTTGTAAGGGTGGATCCCCAGGTATAAACCTGAAGGATTATTTTAATAATTTCTGGTGCCCTAAATTTCTTGACACTGCATGCAACCCTTGATTTCTTTTTATTAGTTCGCTCCCCTGCAGTCTCCTTACATTCTCTGACTTCTAACATTGGAGGGAATACTCTCACAACTGATGATAAAGCTTACATTTGTTCCCATAGCCTAAAACATGACTTCCAGATTCAAGGTGCTATTAAATCTGTTGCTGCCACAAAGTTTAATTGACTCCATTTTTTAGCTGATGATAACTGTTGAATATTCTTACATCAAACAAACATCACTAACTCTAATTTTCTATCAAATATCTGGGCTGTGCTTTGAAATGTGTCTATGAAGACATTCTTTTTCTTTCTTTCTTTCTTTTTTCTTTTTTTTTTTTTTTTGAAGTTATAGCAACAGGTACCAAAACACAAGCTGAGAAGTATTTCAGAAGAGTAGTTGAATGACAGTGGCAATCTCAGCCTTGGATTATCAATTTGAATTTGTTTTTTTGTCCAAATCCTCTTGATGTGAGATTATTTCAGGCTGTTTTTCCCCTTGCACATTATGTAATGCCTGCAAAGAGGAGAAGTCAGATGGAGGATCAGAGCAGGAGCCGTGGCAGAAAAACATGGGCCGTGTTAACTTAGGCTGTCATGCAACTTGTAAACCTGCAGCCCCCTAAGGTCCAGCAAGATGCAACTGACAGGACTTCTGATCCCCAGTCAGTTTATTCCCAGGAAAGGCAACCAGCAGGAATTGAAATAGTAATTGCTTTCCTTTATTCAAAGACATCATGGATGAGACGATTAAAGAGATTAAGGCTTACCTCATTCAGTGCACCGGAATAAATGTAGTCTGCTTTTCTGATAGGACTGTAACTGTCAATCAAAGGATTAGGCCTTTGGGAGGTAGAAAAAGGAGGTGGCCTTAAAATGTATTTGAATTTGCAAACTACAGCTGTGTATTTTAATCCTGGAGATACGCATTGATCTTTCCCCCTCTTTGAAGTCTGCTGTTAGCTACAGGCTCTCTGGCCCCAACCACTTTTCTTATATTTTTTTAAAAAGAATATTTTAAAAACTCATTTAAAAATCGTACTGCATTGAATCACCCAAAGGGAAAATATAATTAAAGTAACCATTTGTATTGCCCTCAATGAGGAAAAACTTTGGAAGTGTGCTTAACTTTGGAATATACAAGTCTGATTGTTTCATCAGAAATTGCAGCACTGTATGCCTAAAAATATATTTTTCCAGCAGGTTTGGGATTTTGTACTTATAAGGAGGCTGTTTATCCATTTAGCAATTTAGCTGAGGGCCTAGTATAGGTTTTTAATCTTAGCAGCACAAGTATTCCTGTTGGTTTAAGTCTTACCACCTGAGTTAGTGCTGCCACAACACACACATTCTGTTTTCTCATTAGCTGTCACACAATTGTCTGCATCTATTAATTTTTGAAAAGATAATAGATATTCTTGGAGAAACCAAGACAAAGTGGCAGAATAAATGGCAGGTCATTTCTCATGTGGTGGCAGAACTTAAGCATTTGCAATTTTCTGACTATTGTCAGTCAAGGTTCTGGGTTCATTATCTCAACCTTGACATCTAGGTTCCTTATCTGCAAACTCAATTTCTTTCCATCATTTCCCTGCCTGAAATGTCCGATCAGCCAAGACGTGTCTCTTTTATTTTTTTAATTTAATTTTAATTTTTATTTTTATTTTTTTGAGATGGAGTCTCACTCTGTCGCACAGGCTGGAATGCAGTGGTGCGATCTTGGCTCACTGCAACCTCCACCTCCCAGGTTCAAGCCGTTCTCCTACTTCAGCCTCTTCAGTAGCAGGGATTACAGGCATGCGCTACCACGCCCAGCTAATTTTTGTATTTTCAGTAGAGATGGGGTTTCACCGTGTAGGCCAGGCTGGTCTCGAACTCCTGACCTCAAGTGATCCACCCGTCTCGGCCTCCCAAAGTGTTGGGATTACAGGCGTGAGCCACTATGCCTGGCTGACCTTGTCTCTTAATGTTTCTATATCAAATGAGCAAGCTAATAGGTCTGTTAGAATATTTAGGAGAAATCCATCCGTTTTCCCATCTATTCATCCATCCATCCATTGATTCATTTATTCAGGTGCCTACTCTGCCTCATGCCTGGTGCTCAAGACACCAGCTGTGAATAACATGCATTTATTCTCTACCCTCATGGAGTGTATAATCTAACATGGAAAGAAAATGTTTAATAAGTAATTAGGCATTTGAGGGAAGGTGAAAAAGATCAAGGGTGATGTGGTAGGCAGAATTATAAGAATGCCCGCAGTGACACTTGCCCTTAAATAATCCCCTCTGCTTTGTGTGTGAGTAGAACCTGTTAATATGATAGCATTCCCTTGATAATGCTAAGTTCTATGGCAAAAGGGAAATTATCTCAGTTGTCCTAATCTAATTATAGGATCCCTTTCAAAGAAGAGCATTTTCTCCAGCCTTTAGCTGAGAGAAAGAGAGACTCCAAGAATGGGAAGGATTTGATGCACCAACACTGGCTTGAGGATGGATGGTCATGAGATGAAGCATGTTGATGGCCTTTAGAAGCTTAGAGCAGCCGCCAGCTGACAGCCAGCAAGGAGGCAGAGACCTCATTCCTAGAACCACAGAGAACTAAACTCTGCTAACAAACTGAGTTTGGGAATGAATTCTTCACTACAGCTTCCACATAAGAGTCCAGGTCTTATGATACCTTGAGTTCAGCCTTGGGAGACTGTTATGGGTTGAATTGTGTCCAGCAAAAATTGAACTGTGTCACCCAGTGTTTATGTTGAAACCCTAACCCCTGATACCTATGACTGTGTCATCATTTGGAGACAGGGTCTTTGTAGAGTTAATCAAGTTAAGATGAGATCATTAGGGTGGACCTTAATCCAGCATGACTCTGACTGGTGTCTTTATCAGATGAGGTAAATTTTGACACAGACACAGAAACACAGGAAGAATGCCATGTAAAGACACAGACATAGAGGGAAGACAGCCATGAGAAGATGGAGGCAGAGACTGGAGATGTGCTACTGCAAGCCAAGAAATTCTTGGAGCTACCAAAAGCTGAAAGAGGCAAAGAACATTCTTCCCTAGAGCCTTTGGAGGAAGCTTGTACCTGCCAAGACCTTGAGTCTGGATTTCTAGACTCCAGAATTGCAAAATAATATATTTCTGTTGTTTTAAGCCACCCAGTTTGTGATATTTTGTTAAGGCAGCCTAGAAAACCAACACAGAGACTCTAAAGCAGAGAACCCAGGTGAGCCTGCCCAGACTTTTGACCTACAGAACTATGAGTATAATAAGTGGTGTTTTAAGCCCCTAAATTTGAAGCTATTTGTTATGTAACAATAGCAAACAAATACAGACTAGTATGAAAAGAGTGTCTAATCTACCTAATCTGAGGGTGGTTTTCCAAGAGGGATGTTTAAGATGAGGAAGAAGGCCAGGCATAGTGGCTTACGCCTGTAATCCCAGCACTTTGGGCGGCCAAGGTGGGTAGATCAGAAGGTCAAGAGATTGAGATTAGCCTGGCCAACATGGTGAAACCCCATCTGTACTAAAAATACAAAAATTAGCTGGGCATGGTGGCACGTGCCTGTAGTCCCAGCTACTCAGGAGGCTGAGGCAGGAGAATGGCTTGAACCTGGGAGGCAGAGGTCACAGTGAGCCAAGATCGCACCACTGCACTCCAGCCTGGTGACAGAGCAAGACTCTGACTCGAAAAGACAGAAAAAAAAAAAAAACCAAAAAAAAGAGGAAGAAAGAGTAAGTAGGAATTGTCTAGTAAAGAGGAGAAAGGGAAGATTGGTCCAAACAAAGGGAATGGTATATGCAAATGCCTTGAAGCTGAAAAGTGCCAGCTGCATTCAAGGAACTCAACTGTTCAGGCTTTCACCCTTCAGATAGTATTGTTATTAATGCCAGGCCTAAACTAGGTGCTAGAGACAAAATAAGGACCTGCAACTTCTTCCTTGTCCTTACCGAGCTCATATTTCAGTAAGAGAGGTTAAAAACACATAACCAGCCTAAGAAATAATAATTCCACTTCATACAGTAGGCTCTGAAGGATAAAATATAGGACTGAGGGAGAAAACCCCAGAGTATTGGATATAATATTGAAAATGAGAGGGAGAGTCATGTACCATGAATCTGGAGGGGTAGGCAATTCCAGATCAAGGAGGGTGTTGTGAATGTCTGTTTCTCTATTTGTGGAATATTTCAGAAAAGTGCTATCTCCCTTACTGAAAATTCACAGTAGCTATCCTGCTGTGATCATCTCGGCACCTTGTATGGTATACACCTGTACATTTTCAGATTGAGCCCAGTGTACCAAATTCTAGACCATTCCCCTAACCCAACACAGGATTATACCCCTGGGGTTGAAATTATGGCTTGTTCAGGATCATTGGGCTTTTATGAAAACTCACTGCTCCCATTTGCATTGCATCTTTTTATGGCTTCTTTAATTTCAATTTATTTGTATCGTGTGTGCATGTGTGTGTGTGTGTGCACACATGCATATGTGTGAGGTCCCCAACTATCCTCAGTTCAATGATGCACTAGAAAGACTCAAAGATATCAGAAAAGCTGTTATACTCATGGTTACAGTTTATTTCAGAAGAGATACAGATTAAAATCAGCAAAGGAAAAAGTGCACAGGGCAGAGTTCATGGGAGACCAGGCACAAGCTTCCAGTTTTCCTCTCCAAGTGAGATCACAGGACAGTACTTATTGTTCCCAGGAACAATGTATGACAACGTGTACAGAATGCTGCCAACCAGGGAAGCTCACTCAAGACTTGATGTCCAGGATTTTTAAAATTAGGAATTGGTTACGTAGGGATGGAGTGCCCATATGACTGACCTTAGTTACATAGTCTCCAACCCAAGAACCCCATCGTTAATCACATCATTAGCATAAACCATCTGCCATGGCCCAATGCCCCAGGTATACAAAGACACTGTTATCAGGCAGGATATTCCAAGAGTTTAGAAGTTATCTCTCATAAGCGGATGAAGGGGGGGCCATGCCTTTCTTTGGAATGTGTAGAATTTGGACATCATAGACCTGCTGAATCCACCCTTTACTGTAATACACACACACACACACACACACACACACACACACACACGCACACAGATTGTCATTGCTTTAAACCTTACCCCAAAATTTGGTCTTCCAACATGTTGTGAGCATCATCACTAAAACCTTGGGATTGTAGCAAAAAATAAAAATCATTTTGCAGTGTTTTTTTAATATTCCTTGATGTAGTGGTTTACAAACATAGATTCACATTGTAAATATGTAACTATGCTTGGGGACATTTTTTCATTTAATTTTACTTTATTGAAGAATAATTTACATCCATTCAAACAAACAGATCTTAAGTGTACAGTTCACTGAGTTTTGACAAATACACACATAACCCACACTTCTTTTAAAATATTGACCATTTTCATCACTCTAGAAAGTTCCCTCATGCCCCCTACAGTCAATCCCTGCCCACCCACCTCCACCACCATCCCCTGGAGCCAGTAACTGTTCTTATCTCTTACTAAACATTAGTTTTGCCTATTATCATAAAAGTGGAAACATACAATGTATGATCTTTTGTGTTTGGGTTTTTTTCCCACTCAGAATAATACTACTGAAGTTCAACTATGTTGTGTGTATCAGTAGATTGTCCGTTTTAACTGCTGGGTACTTTTACATTGTTTGGCTATAACACAATTTACGTATCTATTCTCCTTTTGATGGACATTTTGGCTGTCTCCAGTTTTTAGCTATTAGGAATAAAATTGCTATGCTCATTCTCATATACGTTTTTCTGTGCACATATGTTTCCATGTCTCAGGTAAATAGCTAGCAGAGAAGTTGCCATCTTGTAGGTATATGTTTATCTCATCTGCCAAACCGTTATGCAAAGTAAAGTGGTTGTGCTATTTACACATCTCCCAGCAATGCATGAGAGTTACGGTTGCTTCACATCCTTTCCAACACTGGTCTGTCTTTTTAATTTTAGCTGTTCAAACAGGTGTGGAGTGGTATCTTATGGTAGTTTCATTTGCATTTTCCTGATACCTATTGATGTGGAGCACTTTTTCATGTGCTTATTAGCCACTCGTGCACCTGCCTTTCTGAGGTGTCTGGTCAAGTCTTTTGTCTATTTTACAAATTCGGTGATTGGACTTTTTGCTATTGAGTTGTAGGAACGCTGTCCCTGATTTTGCCTCCCCTGAGATTTTGATACAGTAGATGTAGTGTGGGTCCCTGAAGGACTCTGACATACAGATAAGTTTAAGGACTAATGGATTAATGGGTCTGATGTCAGTTTGCTAAGACTTCAACTGTATCTGGCAGCCATAACTTGAAATTTCCCCATCCAAAGACTTGCTTGGTGATTATTATAAATTGTTAAGGAAGCATTAAAAAAACAATTCTCAGTAGGTGGTTTCTGTCTCACTCTGGACTTGGCGCTGAATTTTAACATCAACCTAAAGCTAGAAAATTCCTAGAATTGGAGAAAGTCACTTAAACCAAATGTGGGCTCCACACAGGTATTACTATAATTATTAAAGGGCCCTTGAGTTGATTTGTAGCAGCATCCTAAACCACATCCTGTTTTTCTTCCCTCAAAGGGAAATGTGGTAATATAGACATTTGAACTTGGAAGGCCACATGCAATCTGCATTCTTTTCTAAATAAAATTGATTTGGAAACTACTTGAACCTTGTGTTAATGTTCACATTGTACCAATTTATCTAGCAGACAACCTCCCTGACCCAAAATGTTGGCTTCTTTCTACTAGGTAATTTCTTGAATTTTCATACTGATTTACACAGTACACCGAATAAGCTACCTGCTTAAAGACAGAAGAGATTAAACAAATAATTTTATCCAATTACTGAGTAAACCATGGACGTTTTCTCTTTAAAGGAAACTCCAGATTTGGAAGTTGTTTTGACTCATAGCTCATGGTTCTAAGGGATTAAAGGAATAAAAAATCAGAGAATTAAAGAATCAAAAAGTTTCTACAAACTTAAACATCCAAACTGTGCAGTAGATTTTTTCCTTTTCCAGGGAGCCCTGCTGCCTTAATTAAGGCAATACAAAGATGGCATGTAGATTGTATCTCATATGACAGTGTTGAATGGTGTGACAACCTGAAAAATCATGCAGAGACCCTTCCCTCTTCCTCAGGAAAGTGTGCTGAAATTGATTTGCGATGCTCACCATCATTCAGCAAAAATATACCTTTCTCAATACTGTGTATCTGACCTTTCAAGATATGAGGTTCTGAAGTTAGCCAGAGAGTAAACTCAAACAAATGGTGCAGTGTCTATCAAATATTCTGTTATCGTGATGTTTACAAAGGCTCTTCAGTCAACTTTTGATTCTTCATGTAATAGAGAGGAGATATTTTAAATCCTAGTGATGTAAGGTGTTCAAATCCTTAGAGACTCCAGGTAACCTCTGCTCTAGGGACTTCATATGCCTTTGCTCTTACTTCCTGGCCTTGGACTATTTTATCTGATTCCTCCTAGGTTGAGGTGGAGAAAGGCCAAAAAAAATTTTAACTAGATCCTTCACTTCATTCACAACTCTGGTTAGAACATTTTGATGAGGAGGAGGAGGAAAACCTGGGCTTCAGCGTAGCTTCTGGATCACTAGTAGATCTTTGTCACTGTGGACTAAAGAGATTTGAAAACTAGGGGGATTAGCACAAGATACTGAAATGTGAAAAGAGTGATGACTACATGTCAGCTCTGTTTGGTTTGCTCTAAGAGAAATTGCATTTTTAAAGCTCTCCTGTGAAAAATGTGAGGCTTTCTGAATACACAACTTCTTACAGTTCTGCACTAAGGTAGGTTCCTGCAAAGGTAGTGAGGTCATGTTTATCTAGTAGTGCTGGGAAGGCTTCATTTAGCCATGGCTGCTTTAAATATATACATAGATATTTAAAGTTACCATCAAGGGGAAATTTTCTTCCTTTTTCTCACCATGGAGTAATGTGTTTTCTCTAAATGGCTGTCCTAAGCTGCACATTGATTTTTTTGTTGTTGTTAAGTCATCTCCTGTAATTTCTCTATGATATTTGCAAATGAAGTTGTTTTAACACAAGTTACTTTCCTGGGTGGGGGAGAATAATAACATACCCACCTTTGTAAACAAATTTATTTGAGGATCAGTGGGGGTGGTGAGTGAGAGACAACCTCTAAGCCCACAAGTAGTCAATTCCTTGGGGACTGCCTCCAAAGCCTTCAGTTAGCTAAACCTTTTCCTAAAGAGACACCAGTTCAGAAACAGTTAAAATGGGAAAGGATTTTTTCCCATTACATATAGGCTTTGGTATGCATAACACATTCTGTCTTCCTTTTGGCCATAACAATATTTCTTATAAATATGCTAAGTATTCATAGCAAGAGCAGGTCAGAGTATCATGAAACTGTTAATTTAAAGCTTTACTAAAATATATGCATCCCCCACAGCCATACTCTACAGGAATTTGATCTCTCTTACAGCACAAATTGGAGAATGAAATGAGAAATCAACAATAAATATTTTAACCATTCAAGTTCTTCATATCATCATAAAAAGAACAATTTGAAGATTTCAGATATATCCCCAAGCTGTTCTAATCCAATCAGAAAAGTATAGTTATTACTCATCTTTCCTTCTTTTAAGTAAATTTGCTTGAAGAAGAGAAAGACCTGGACCTAGGGAGTGCAGGAAGGCATGGGAAAGAGAAGGGAGAGTGAGAGAGAAGGAAAGACACACACACAGAGAAAAACATGCCTTTTACTTAAAAGCCCTATCAGTTGTTTTGCCTTGATTTAGTTAGAAACTCAAAAAGGTAGAAGCAGGAAGCAGCACAATATGACCAATTTTTAACAGAAACACATGGGGCAGGAGTGTATGATAGCAAGCTTCTGCCTTTCTCATGTGTCTGATTATTTTTATGGAAGTGGTATTGAAGCATAATGAATGTCAGAGAATTCTATAAATCCTACATGCACACACCCATGTAATCTGCACCCAGATCAAGGAACAGAATGTTATCTGTCCCCCAGGAGACCCATCCTGCCCCCTGCCAGTCACTTCTCCCCCACCCCTGGTCACCATTATCCTGATTTCTCGGACCATAGATTAATTTTTCCTAGTTTTGAACTTTATATAAATGAAATCATTGTGTGATGTCTAGGGGACTGGCCTCTTCACTCACTAATTTGTGAGTTTTTTTTTTTATGTAGCAGTAGATGATGTTCATTATGTGTAGAATTCCATTGACTATCACACAATATTTCACCCATTCTACTGCTGATGGGCATTTTGGTTGTTTCCAGTACAGGGCTATTATAATCTGTATTGCCATGATTAATCTTGAACTTACCTTGTTAGTGAATATTTACCTACATATTTTATCTTCATTTATTTTAAGAACAGCAGTCTCTCAGAATACTAAGAAGTTGACATTTAATTTGTTTTACAAAACTATATACATGTAAAAAGGACAGAACAATTTCAAAAGAATTGACTAGCTCTGTTAAGAGAGGGACCAAAAAGAAGACGGAAGTCCCGCAAAACCTGTCCTGTGAAGTTTGTGTCAAAATGGAGTTAACTTTTAAAATGTTATAGTTTGTTTAGTGATTCATTTCATTGACTAATTGCTTTGATCTTTAACGTAATAAAAACAGCTGAAAGAGGAAAAGAGTGGGTACTCCCTGTGCTTAACAATTAAGTTTCATGGAGGTAATTCGTAAGGATGGCGGAGCATAAAGCATACCCTAGCTTCATTTGAAACATGGTCTTGCAGCAACAAATTTGTGTTATATTTTCAGAATATGGCTTGACAGTTTTTAAGGAATTGTAAGTTTGAGAACCACTATAATCCAGGTTCTCTCATAGAGTAACTTCTTCCCAGGATTGAATTAGAGGTGTGGAAATTTATAAACCCATACCAAGATGCACCGTACATGTGAAACACACAGATTTAGAAGAGATTATATATTAAAAAAGTAAAATATCGCATGAATAGGTAAAAGAAATTTTTATATGAACCGCTTCACGAATTTATGTCATCCTTGCCTAGGGGCTATGTTAATCTTCTTTGTAATCTTTCCAATTTTAGTATATGTGCTGCCCAAGTGAGCGAGCATGTGTACTGATTATGTTTTTAAATGATAATGTTGTGGCTATATTGAGTTAAACATATTATGAAAATTTCACCTGTTTTTATTTTATTAAGGGAGCTATAAAAATTTAAAGTTACATGTGTGGCTTCTGTTACATTTTTACTGTGTTTTTAGATCTTCACATCACCTTTCAAAGACTGGTGGTTTGGCCCAGAAAACAATGAGTTTGACAGGATTGGGGAAATGAGTTTCTCAGGTGATATATTACAAGTGCTTACTTTCAGCATCTACCAATAGATTTCAGGGCCTATGTAGATTTAGTGCAGTTGCAACTATCTTTTACCTTATTATTTCGAAGTTTCTATGGTATCATTAATATACATTTAGTAAGTGCTGTGTGCAGAGATAAGAGAGATATATGGCCACTGTCTGTCGTTGAAAAGTTCCACATATTTCATTCATTCATTTGTTCGTTCAATAAAAATTTATTGAGCTTCTACTCTGTGTTGGAAACAAGGCAAACATGTGAGATTTGGTAGTAAATAAAGCACAGCCTCTGCTGTTTGTTGGCCACTTGTATGTTTTCTTTTGAGAAGTGTCTGTTCATGTCCTTTGCCCACTTTTCAAGGGGGTTATTTGTTTTTTGCTTGCTCAATTGCTTAAGTTCCTTATAGATTCTGGACGTTAGACCTTTGTCAAATGAGTAGTTCACAAATACCTTATCTTATTCTGTAGGTTGTTTGTTGATAGTTTTCTTTGCTATGCAGAAGCTCTTTAGTTTAATTAGGTCCCATTACCAATTTTTTTTTCTTGTAGCAAGTGCTTTTGAGGACTTAGTCATAAATTATTTCCCAAGGCTGATGTTCAGAATGGTATTTCCTAGGTTTTCTTCTATGATTTTAATAATTTTAGGACTTACAGTTAAGTCTTTAATACATCTCGAGTTTATTTTTATATATGTAAAATGTAGGGGTCCAGTTTGGTTCTTCTGCATATGGTTAGCCAGCTATCTCAGCACCACTTATTGTACAAGGAGTCCTTTCCCCATTGCTTATTTTTGTCAACTTTGTTGAAGATCAGATGCTTGTAGGTGTGTGGCTTTATTTCTGGGTCCTCTATTCTGTTCTACTGGATTATGTGTCTGTGTTTGTAGCAGTACCATGCTGTTTAGGTTACTGTGGGCTTGTAGTATAGTGTGAGGTCAGGTAATGTGATTCATCCAAATTTACTCTTTTTGCTTAGTATTGCTTTGGCTATTTGGGCCCTTTTTTGATTCCAAATAGATTTTAAAATAGTTTTTTTTTAATTCTGTAAAAAATGGCTTTGGTAATTTGATAGAAATAGCATTGAGTCTGTAGATTGTTGTGGGCAATATGACCATTTTAATGATATTCTTCTAATCCGTGAGTATGGAATATTTTTCCATTTGTGTTTAAACGTTTTTGTCCAGTGCCCTTCTACTCCTGTGCTTTATCCATCAACCGCCATCCACAGCCTCAGAAAACAGCTCATTTAATTTCCACCAGAAAGTCAGAGAATCAGGAGGGTCACTAACTAAAAGGGTCTTACACATATATAAATAAATCATTTGCCTGGAGAGGCATGCCCTTGGTCTGATGCTCTCTCTTATGGAGAGATGCATAATCCACTCACTTGTAATTCAGAAAGGGGTCCAACATCAATTTCCTAAAAGAGCTTTCTTTCAGAAGATAGAGAGGATGCATTTTGAACCATTTAATTGCTCCTATGAGTGACTTGCATAATGCCTGTAGAACTATCTAGACAGCACATGTTGCCTGAAGCAGCACATGCCAGTTGTTTTCTTTGCTGCCTTTAAAATGAAATTGCATGCACATCTGAAGCTGAATGACTCTTGATGTGTGATTGTACCTTTACCCCGATTCTAAATAGAAAAGATGGCTTTTTTATTAACTCATTTTCTAGCAGGAAGGGATCATTTCTAAGGAATGACAGTTTCTGTTTTCAGATTTCAGCTCTAGTACTCACTAACTGATGAAACTTGGACATATTAGCTAGACAGCTTGACCAGTGTCACCTCACTTGAAGGCCACCTTATGTATTAAGGCAAAAGGACTTTTTAAAAAGTGGCATTTTCTTGATTATATAGTAAAATTATGCACATTGTATAAAATGTACACATGCAGGAAAGTATATAAAAGTAACTTAACAATCACCTGTCTTTCCACCACCAAAAATAAATATCATATGTTAATATTTTTGTGTATCTCCTTCCAGTTGTTTTTGAATATTTTTAATAGTGGAAGCCATACCGTATATAATTATGTATTTTGCCTCTTTTACTTGGCATTACTGTGTAAATACTTTGCCTCATAATGAAAATCTTTTTAATGTAATTTGATTTTATATATACCATTACATAAGATAAACATATTATTTAGTCTTAGGAGGAAATATACATAGATAAAAGACATTTAAGCCATTAAAAAACACTGAGGTAGATAAAAGCAGTCTTACCATATTAAAGCCAAATAAATACTAGTATCTGTAAAGTTTAATTCATACTCCCACATAATGTCCTTTTTGTTGTTTTAAGTTTATAAATTAATTTGCTTAAATTACGACATTTAGAGACAATGGATGTCCTCATTTTGAGAAGATACTTTCTAACAAAAATCAGCTGATGAGGATTTAATACGCACCAGCCCTTGCCCTGTATGAAAGAATTGTGAATTACCAATTACAGCATTGATGCCATTGTTCAGCTGCCTGAGCAAAACATTAGGTGGCACACCTGTCAGAGAAGGAAGAGAAGTAACTGCTGGAGAAGGTCTTAGGAAGCCTTAAGCTGGGCTTTGAATGATGGGATAGGATTGAGATAAGACTTTATAATGCACGGCTTTTAACAGTCATATGCCATATTCCTTAATCTACAAATGGTAGGTTTGCAATTATTTCTAAACAACAAATATAAATCCATAGTGCCCAATGCATGCATTTTCTTGAGGCTTCTGGTGTGGATGGTGTGTGCTTCTGAGAGATGGAAATGACAAGCAGATAACTCTAGAGGTGATTATGCAATGAGCAGCTCTGAAGGAGTGCAGGAGAATGTTGGCTTACAGATTTTTTTTTTTATAAGATTGGCTGGTAGGAGGAGTGGGTGGAATATGTGGAAAAAAGAGGAGAGAGCAATTAAGTAAAAATGTTAGGCTACTCTCTTAGTTAAATATTAACAATCTTGTGGAGCATTTGACTTGATTTATTCAAATGTGCTTTCCCTCCAACTCCTTTTGCAATTTACATCACTGATTCAGCTTTTGTTGGGGCATCAACCTCTAAGAAAGCTTGATGAAAGCTAAGAACCACGGGTCCCAGTTTAAGAAGGGCTGGTTTATAAACAGAGTCTGGTTCCATAAACTACTATTCCTCTATTCTGGGTTTGTTTCCCCACCACCAGTACCAGTTCCTTTGGATTTTGTATCAGGTTCATTTGAATTGGAAGGGGAAAAGAAAGCTCAGCTTAACTGATAGCCTCCTTTGTGCTTTGTGCACAGCTCTGTGCTAGGCACCAAACACACGTAAGAGCCCTGCGCCCTCACAATCGCCCTAATGGGCAGCATTTCTACTTGTGGACCGGGAGTGGAAAAGCAAAGAAATGACAGTGGGATATTCAGCAGAGGAGGCTCACAGGGAACAAAGACACTCAAGAGTGAAGCTATGGTTTTAGGATACAGCTATTCAGTTTTCTATGACTTAGCATGCAAAGACATGGATTAATTCTGCTACAGAACTGTATGTTAACTGGATAATGGAAGTCATTTTGTTCTCTCAATGATTATCAGAAATTCATGCTCTGGAAAAGAACAGACAACAGACCATTTGTAAAAACAAATCCGAGTAATAAAGAAATTAATCAGATACTTTCATGAGAATTTCCCCAATGATTTTAATATTTAGTGGGCATGTACTTGAAAAGCTGCTTCTCAGAAATTGATACTCATGAATGATGATGATGATTATATTAATAATAATAATATATGACCACTACTACTAATATGCTTTGAGTGCTCATTATAAACTGGTAGTTATATTGGGTGATTATGTGAATAAAATTGCTCATTTATTTGGCCATAGATAACATTATCGTCTTTACCTTTTAGAGGAAAAACTGAGGCCCATGTTCTCCTACACAGAAAATAGTTTTTAGTTCAAGTCCATCTGGTACCAAAACCATGCTTTTGAGGACTACTCTCCATTGCTTGTTTAGAGCTGAAAGGGATCTTAGGGAAGGTCATTTCCCAGATTAGGGGCCCGTAATGGTAGTGGCTTGACCAGCATCACATAGGTCCTTAGCAGCAGAGTTAGAATTGCATCCTGGCCTGTGGTTCTAATTAGATTCAGAAAATATGCAGGCCAGTGTGGACCACTTGAAAATAATCCTGGTATTCAAAGATTATTTGTGAGTGATATGGCTATATTGTGGCAATTGCAGCAAAATTAAAAGGCAATGTTTTATGTTAAGACGTAATTGTATGTGTTCAGAATGATGGGGGTGAGAGTCTATTAAATAAACACCTACAGTGTCTTTATATTCTGATGTGTATGGTATTACCATACACATATTCATTTCATGGATATTATGCATCATCTACTGTATGACAGGCACTGTGCCAGAGGATGAAAATACAGCAATAGGCAAGACAAACCTCATCCCTCCTCTTGTGGACCTGACGTTCTAGTGGAATAAGACAGAAGACTGTTCAAGTAATTAATAAGAAAACCACCAGAGAGTGATAAGTGCTTTGTATAATGTTAAAGCTGGGTGATGCAACAGAGACTTCCTGGGAGCTACTTTAGACTGGGCAGTCTGGGGAGATGACAATTAGGCTGAAACCTGAACAACAAAAGGAAACAGTCACATGAGATAAGAGGAATGAGTATTCCTGGCAAATGTAAGGATGATTGCTGTGGAAAAGCTCTGAGAAAGGACAAACCCTGAGATTGGCTTGCTTGAGGAAGAGAAAGAAGGCCTGTGGCACTGGCATCCAGTAAAAGAGGGCAAAGGTAGTGACATCACAGAGGTGCCCAGGGGTTTGCTCTTGTGGGTATTTTTGAGCCAGAGGAAACAGTTTGAATGCTATTCTAAGTGCAATGGAAAGCCATTGGAAGTTTCAGGCAGGAGGAGCAACGTGATTCAATATATTTTTTTTTAAAGATCACTAACATCTAGAAAGTATGAAAAGCAACAGTGGGAGCTGGGATTTCAATGAGGAAACATGACAATTGATCAGCAAAGGACTGTGGCAAGGATTCAAGTGGCAGCAGTGCAGATGTACAGAGGTAGTAGGATCTGAGCTATATCTGGCAATAGACTCAACAGAACTTGACGATGGATTAAGTGAAGGAAAAAGAAAGAAAAAGCTAAATCAAGAATAATGTCTACAATTTTTGGTTTGTGCAGTTGAGTACATGGTGGTATTGTTTATTGAGTTGGAGGAGGAAGAGTTGGAGGAGGAAGAGGTTTAGGATGGAAAAGTCCAGAATTCTGTTTGGGTTGTGTTAGGTTTGAAATGCATATTGTACTCCACCATCCAGGTAGAGGCATCCGTTAAGCATTGGATCTAAGAGTCTAGTGCTTAGTGGAAGGTCAAGGCTAGAGATACAGTTTTGAGTGGTATTTGCATAGAAGGTGGCACTGAAGGCCACCTTTTAGATGATAACATCGAAAGAGAAAGGACACTGAGGAAAGGACACCCAGGACAGGGCCCTGGCACTCCCCAACATTTGACATCAAACAGAGGAGGAGGAATAAACCATGGATTCTGGGAAGGAAGGTCAGGGAGTCAGAAGGAAAACCAGGAGAATGGTACCTTGCAACCTAAGAGAAATTATACAAATAAGATACAGCTGGGTGCCACTAAGGAAAATAAAGAATGATGATGACAAATAGCAATCAACCTGGGCCTGAAGCAGGACTTTTTGACCGCACCCTTTGACCCTGAAGACTTTAAGAATAGGTAACCAGACCACCAGGAGAGCTTCAGGCTCTCTCTCTTTGTCCACTTTTACTTTTTTTCTCCCATTCTCTGCCTCTTGACCTCTCTAAGTCTCATTTTTCTGGAGAGTCAGACTCAAAATCTTGTACCTCAGTTTTCTCATAAGGCTAGCAATCTTTTATTATTTTTATTCCATTTAGATATATTCAGCATTTCATTCCATTTAGAAACATTCAGCGTTTAGAAATATCAAATTGAGGCTGGGTGCAGTGGCTCATACCTGTAATCCCAGCACTTTGGGAGGCTGAGGCTGGCGGATCATGAGGTCAGGAGTTCAAGACCAGTCTGGCCAACATAGTGAAACCCCATCTCTACTAAAAATACAAAAAATTAGCTGGGTGTGGTGATGTGCGCCCGTAGTCCCAGCTACTCGGGAGGCTGAGGCAGGAGAATCGCGTGAACCCGGGAGGTGGAGTTTGCAGTTAGCTGAGATTACACCATTGCACTCCAACCTGGGCAACAGTGCAAGACTCTGTCTCAAAAAAAAGAAAGAAAGAAAGAAAAAAGAAATACCAAGTTGGTAGTACCTAAAAATTGATGGGAAATAGCACCCTCTTGACAAAATCTAGATATATAACAGTTGACCCAGGAAAATGAACCTCAGTAGAAATAATGGCCAATGAAAAAAATCACTGTGGCAATATATATTTGAAATCATTGTGAATAAAAACTGGCAGATGAAGTAAATATGTATTAAAGATTTTCAAAAGAAATGAGCTCACCCCTATGAAAATAATTGATAAAATAAAAATATTGAAAAATTGGAAATGAGTTTATCGTGTTGGATAGAAACTTGATTGAAGAATCATGGCCAGGCTCGGTGGCTCATACCTGTAATCCCAGCACTTTGGGAGGCCGAGGCAGGTGAAGTACTTGAACTCCTGAGTGTGAGACCAGCTTGGCCAACATGATGAAACCTCATCTCTACTAAAAATGCAAAAATTAGCTGGGTGTAATGGTGGGCACCTGTAATCCCAGCTACTTGGGAATCTGAGGCAGGAGAATCACTTGTACCCAGGAGGCGGAGGTTGCAGTGAGCTGAGATCACGCCAGTGCCCTCCAGCCTGGGCGACAAGAGCAAAACTACGTCTCAAAAAAAAAAAAAAAGGAAATTTGATGAAAGAATTAAATTGGCTTACTGATATTTGTCCAAGAAACAACTGCCTTGATGAAGATTCCCCAGTGTTGATTTAAGTCTGATTAATGTTTGTAATCAAGACATTTAGACATTTGTGGCATTGAAATGGCAGGGTCAAACCCTTGGGTCAAAATGTCTTATTCCCTGATAGACCCGTTTTGTGCAATAATATATCATGAAAACAAACTATCTTTAAAATACAGGAATTAAAGACTCATTGAAGTCATCTTTAATTTCAAAGCCCTTGATTTTAAAAAGCGATCTCTTTTGGACTGTAGCCTTCACTGTCCCAAGACTATAAATGTTAGAGAGGAAATAATTATTCCAGAATCTTATTCAGGAAGAGTTGCAGATTCCTTGCCTGAGCAAGGACAATTTCTAAATTAGTGTCATTTGAATTAGTGCCTTTTCAACTGCAGACAGTTCTTTCAAAAATACTTGCTTGTTCTTATGCTTGTTTCCTTTTTTAAAAAAATCACATTGGTTTGCAATTGAGGTTAATATTAGTTAAACTCTACTTTGATCATTAAATTCAGTAACATACTCTGCCAATTACTAGCTGTATGTCCTTAAATACGTTACCTAATTTCTCTAATCCTGTTTCCTCAACCATAAAGGGGACCAGTAACACACACCCCACAGGGTTATTGTCAGGACTAAGTGAGAGAAAGACTTTAATGCCCTGTTTCTTTTTATTTATTTGGAGACAGGGTTTTGCTCTGTTGTCCAGACTGGAGTGCAGTGGAGATCACAGCTCTCTGCAGCCTTGATCTCCCATACTCAAGCAATCTTCCTGCCTCAGCCTTCTGAGTAACTAGGAATACAGTTGCATGCCACCACACCCGGCTAATTTTTTTTTTTTTTTTTTTTTAACTAAAGACGAGGTCTTGCTATGTTGCCCAGGCTGAATGCCCTGGTTTAAAGTAGATGTTCAATGAAAGTCTTTACTATTGCTACTATTGTTAGTATACTGTACATTTTCTATGTACACAACGTAATTACTTTAGCTATTTGGTCTGAACAATTTGTCTCCCAAATAGTTTGAAAATTTTCCCAGGGAAGGGTTAGGCTCTCATCCTTTATTAGTGTCTTTCATTCCTCTGTATCAGTCATAGCAGAACACAGCTGGCAGAACACAGCTGCCTCGCCCAGACTGGGTAATTGAGGGGTACATTATGAAGGGATTATTTAAAGAAGGTTGGACAGAGCAAGGAAAAGCCATAAGGGATGGAGAAACACCCTAGGGCTAGCAACAGCAGGGAGCCCATAGTTTGCAGAGGCAGGGGAGGAGGTTACTGGTGACAGCTTGGGGCACAAAAGACAGGCCACTGAACAAGAACTGTGGTTTTAGATAGAGAAGTGCCAAAATGCTCTCTGGGAGGAAGGAGCCAGTATATTAAATACTCCAACCTCTCTCTCTTCCCACCCTGATCTCCTGCTGGTGCCTCTCATTAGCTGAGCTCAACAGAAAAGCATCAGGCAAGGAAGCTGGTTACAGCAGTCTATAGAAATCAGCATCCCTGAACACAGAGCAGAGGGGAAAAGGGAAGAGAATGGATCTAGGGAAGTAAAATGAGATTAGGCAGCAGAGCCTCTCCAGCCTTCAGTTAGCACAGCTGCTTTACATATAGTTAGTGCTGATACATGTTTGTGGAAGGAAGGGAAAGGAAAATTGATTGAAGGCAGTTCATAAACTATAGATGACTCATCTTTAAATGAAGATTGAGAAAAACACTACGTAATAGCATAGTAGTTTCGAGGTAAGATTTGAAGTCAGACCAACCCCAGTGTGAAATCAGACCAATCCCTTAGTGCTTCCTAATGGAGTGATCAAAGGCAGTTACTAAATGACTTAGCTTCAGTTTCTTCCTCAGACAAAGGGAGATAAGGTTAATACCTACTTCATAGGTTGCCTTTGAGGCGTAACTGAGAGGATGGATACAGTACACTGGGCACAGAAAGCAGCGCTTGAGAAATGTTAGCAAATGAATTCTCAATAACAGTGAGCGGTTCTCAACTGGGGGCAATTTTGACCCCTAACCCCATTCCAGGGAACATTCTGCAGTGTCAGGAGGTATTTTTGGTTGTAACAACTGGGGAGTGCTATAGGCATGTAGTTAGTAGAAGCCATGAATCCTACTTAAATATCCCACCATGCCTAGGACTGCCACCCACAACAAAGAATTATCTGGTCCTAAATGTCAATAGCTCCGAGGTGAGAAATCCTTCCCTGTACTGATTTCATCTCTGTGATTCCATCCTTGGGCCTCTATATTTCTTGATATTGGTTCTTAAAATCCTTGATTATTTATACTTTGTTCACTCTCAGTAAATTTGAGATTTTTGTCCTCCTCTTCCCATTATAAGGTCAGGACATACTGTGTCTATGGCACTTCAACACTATGTGATTTTGTCTTTTCACCATTTGAAGTAAATAAACAAATATATAAATAAATAAAGATAAAATATAAATCACTGTGATACGTTGTAATCTGAACTACAGCCTCCCAATATTAAAGCACTTATGTCAAATACGTGCTATAGATTTGCAAGGCAACAACAATACACAATACAGAGCTATTTCTCGGGGTGTTTCAAATCGCCAGGGAGCAACATATTGAAACATGTTGTTACTGCAGCTCTCATCTCTGATGAACCTCTTCCCAAAAGAAAAAAAACAAGCCAAAAATAAATTCATAAAGCTAGTGAGTCTAAACTAGGTCAGTGGAATTAAACATTAATATAAATAAGGGCTGTCCTTCAACATAATGGGAATGTATTTCCTCTCTCTCTCAGTCACTCACCCCTCTCACCCAACTCAGCCCTATTCTACCCAGAATCGCCCCTGGCAACAGTGGCCTTTCCTCTTGAGAAAGCTATTAAAATAGAATACCCTTGGCCTCAAGATGGCTCTGAGTCCTCACTATGTGTTTCATCTCCTCCAGCCTCAAAGGGGGAGTGGTTTTCCCAGCTCCCCAGTTTCTTCATTTATCTGTCCATTCATTCATCCGTCAAGTATTTATTGTGGTCCTTGAATTAAGCAGTACAGACATAATGGTCCCTGTCCACATGTAGCATGTAATCAACTGGGGGATGGAGACATTCATCAAGTAAGCAAGCAAATTAATACGTCCTGATTGTGACCAGGGCTGTTCAAGGAGCAGGGAGGCACCAGAGAAAATAAAATCAGAGTCCTACTGAGGCAGTGTGGTCAGGAAAGGTCCTTTTGAGGTAATGACGTTTCCAGTGACATTAGAAGGCCTTCCAAAAGAAATGTGGGAAAGGGTACCTAGGAAGAAGGACCAGCCTGTGCAAAGGCCCCACGGAGGGAAAAGTGGGATCTGTTGAGGGACTAGAAATTGGCAAATGAGGCTTCACTGGTGAGAGGATGTAGGACAAGATCAGCAGGAGAAGAACTTGAAGTTACCCTGAAAATTATCCTCTCGTATCCTGGGAAAACGAGAGGATTTTTAAGCTACACGGTGACTTACTATCTGTTAACATTTAGAGTGCTTTTTCTATGGGCCAAAAACACTTTACAGATGACAATGCTAACACTCACATTCACCTTGTGAGATAAGAATGATTGTTATACCCACTTTTACAGATGAAAAGTGGAGGCACAAGGAGGGTAAGGAACCCAGGATCATATAGTTATATATCAGGGTTTCTCATCTCCCCACTGTTGACACGTGGGGCAAGGGCCATCACGTTCATTTTGAGATGTTAGGCAGCAACACAGCCTTCTACCCACTAGATGCCAGTAGCAGTCTCCCCCTCACCTCCAGTTGTGACAGCTAAAAAATATGTCCAGACTTTTCCAAATAGCCCTGAGGAAGAGGTGAGCAAAATCCTCTCTGGTTGAGAATCCCTGCTATATAGAAAAAAAAAAAAAAAAAAGGAAGCATCTCAAATGCCATTATTCAGTAATGCCCCTACCTTAATGTCTTACAGGCTCTTTAATAAGCTTTCTCTGTGTTTTCAAGGATCATTCGTCTCAGATCAAGGCTTCTCTCCTTCCCCAGCTAGTGGATACTTGATCTTGTGGATCTACCCACTCAGTAAATCACCCAGCAGGTGTAGCAATGTGGAGTTGCATGGTTCAGCTCTCCTATGCATTAAAACACATCTTGAAGGCAGAATAGTGGAGGTTGCTAAGAGGAGGCAAAGCATAGAAGAGGCCAGTGTTCTGTGCCTCAGCCCTGTCCTTTCCTAAGTGTTCTTCTTGCTCATCTCAGAAGCCTACTCAGCACTACTAGGTGACTGCCTTCTAAGTCTGAAAACTAGTGCCTCTTAACAGTGTGGACGTATTGCTGGAAATGACCTATTTGGGGACACAGAAAAATGCCTCTTTTCTCTGGATCAACATTCTGAACCAGACCAGAGAATAGTAGGAAAGAGCAGGATGGCTGGGAATTGCTTAGTTGACCCTTGGGAAAGATTGTACACCATAATGAACTAACTTCAGTTTCCTGATTTGAAAAACTATGAAGGTGTCAAGCATTATGAATGTCCACTGGATAAGTAATCTATCAGTGTTTGTTTATTCATTCAATTCATTCAATACCTGGGATTTTAAAGGTAGATTTTGAGCTCTTTTCACTTTGAAACCACCACCTTCATCCAGGGTCTCTAAATCGACCCTCATCGAAATCCATCAGCCAGAGATTCACTGATTCATTCAATTAAAATGTTTTAGGTGCCTATCACTTTGAAGATGCTGGGCACCTGTTAGAGAGATTAGGAGAGGTTGACCTAATCTTGAAGAGGGGTGAGTGGGAGGTGGCTCAGTGAATATGAAGGCTGTTTAGAGATTTGAAGAATGAGTAGAAGTGAATTAGGTAAAGAAAGTGGTAAGAAGGAAAACATTCCGGGCAAAGAGTACAACATTTACAAAGAGCCAGCAGACAAGCTGGTTTTGTAGGTGCAGAATTTTTGGACAATATTTCAAGAAACTCATGAGAGTGTGTTTTACAGGTATGTAGGTTTGTGTGTGTGCACATGTGTGCATGTGTGTCTTAATTTGGCATCATTATGCACTGTCCACACTCCATAATACTAGGTTATAGTCAAAATTTGGCTTGGCCTTATGTGTCCTGTGGCTTAATCATGTTCCACTGATATATATTATTTGCTTACACAGAACAGACTTTTGCTGTGTAGGTCAGCTTTGGGAGGCAAAGCTGCCAATCTGAATCTTTCTCCTCACAAAGACTTCACTGGATAGAAACCACAAAGCAATGTTTAAAACAAGCAAAGTGTGCTAAAACAAAGAGTGATGTCTGCACAATTGTGTCCAACAAAATAACTATAAAGAAAAAAATTAAGATTCAGGAAAATCTAGACAGGCTCAATGATTACAACAGTAGAAAGAACATACATTTTGAGGTCAGAACCACCTGGGTGTAAATCTCACCTTCACCTCCCTCATGTGTGACCCTGAACAAAGTAGCTTCACTCAGCTGGGCCTTTTTTTTTAATCCGTAAAACGGGGTAATGACACCTGCTTCACAGGTCAATTTAGGAGTAGAGATGATTTGTGAACAACACCTGGCACATATTGGCGTTAAATAAGTGGTAGCTACTATTATGGTTATTAATATCAAATTAAAATCAAACATTAATATCTAATTTGCTGGATTTAAAACATGGAACCACAGATTTCATTTACAGCTTCCTGATAGCCACAGCACAACAGGAAAGTCACATATTTTTCCTGAATAAAAGCATAAAAATTCCTTAAGGAAAGACAAGATTATCTGGGACCTTATGCATGAAATAATGTTTTTCCTGGGTTTTCATTGAGGTCTCACTGAGAAACATAGGAGATGATATCTTTAACATCATCCCTATGGCAAATAAATATAAATTCTATGTGCTTATTTCTTTTTTTAATCTTTCAGAGTAAGCCAAAGTCATAAAACCAAAGAACAGTTGTGGGGCAGAGATTATTTCTAATTCAACTTTAAATCTGCCAAAAAATTCTTGCATCAATGGCATTTATGGAGTAGATCATCTGTTCTTTCTTTTCTTATATTATAAGCACATATTTCACTAGTGTTCTTGAAGCACTATCTGTTAGTTAAGCCTCTCAGTAATTCTTCAAGGTTTGTGGTATAATGCCCACTCTACAGATGAAGAAACAGGTTCACAGTCCAAGGTTAGTCACCACACTAGCAAGTGGGGAAACCAGGACTTAAATCAAGATCCATTTGACTGACTTGACTCTACTCTTACCATCTACCCCAGCCTACCACCTTAACAAATGTAGCTAAGCTCTGTTTTCCCCTGATGGGAAAATAAGGGTTTTGTATAAAAATAGAAAGAAGGAAAATTAAACTGGGGGCTCTAGGTGTAAAATTGTTTTATTACTAAGACATCGAGAACGAATGTTTTGTAAACGCGTTTTCTGGGAAAGATGTTTTAATCTTTTTGTTGTTGTTTTGGTTTATTCCAAACCATTTAACTAAAATGACATAGATAAAAAGCATATTAAGAAACACATTTAACAAAATCATGGCACTACAATATACATACCAAATTGCATGGGTGGCTCTGATTTTGAATTCTGTGCCTTCAAAACCCAGCAGAAATAAATGAACATGTTTATATTAACAAGGATAACGCAAATCTGTAATCTGTAATTTAAACATATTTCTATATTTAATAAGTCATGTTAACTCACATTCAGTAAACACACAGTAAACTCACATTTAAAATATCTTCCCAGTAAATTTAGTTTTCATTTTTTCTACATGATTCTGGAAAAGCATATAATAAATTAGTCATAGTCTGTATATAAAAGTCAAATGATTAGTACCTTCAAAGGGAGTGGTACCCCTGAATCATAAAAGGAGTTTCACTTAGGATGATGACCTTAATATTTGCTTTCAACATTTTTTTCACCCAAAAGAATGATGATGATGATGATGATGGTGATAATGATGATGACTATCATTTTAAAGAACTGAGAAGGGTGTACAATTTTACTCCACTGAGCTTCCTAAATGCTGGCAGATGACACGAAACTCCTGTGAAAGTGACAAAGGACTGTCCTACTCACAGCACAGCAGAGGGCATGTGCTTTCTGTTGGCACCCATTTCCCCTGTTCCCCAAGTCCTGGGGGGTAATTTGGAGGAGCCCAGGCAGATCCCACAAACAGTGTGGGTCTATGTGACAGCTAAGGAACCCTGAGCTTAGGAAAGCCCAATCTTATAAGGTACTGCTAGCAAACCTGCTCAGGAGAGAAACATTATCCTTATTATCCTAGTC
This sequence comes from Homo sapiens, assembly GCF_000001405.40. Taxonomy (NCBI): domain Eukaryota; kingdom Metazoa; phylum Chordata; class Mammalia; order Primates; family Hominidae; genus Homo; species Homo sapiens. The sequence goes on along the minus strand of NC_000003.12, from coordinate 62,799,959 downwards.
AGGAAACAAATCTTCCCTCTGCCCTGCAGAGAAGCTCTATCTCTACTTTCCAAGACTGTTTGACATGTAAATATCCTTGAAAGGACAGCCAAGAATGAAAGTGGTCAAAGAAATGTAGAAATATCATGGATAATCACTTTCCAACTGTGATGGTGGTGGTGGTGGTAACAGTGGCTAACATTTATTGAGCTCCCATTTCCCAGGCATAATCAAGCCCTTTGCATACATAATCTCATTCAACCCCATTATAAACCCCAAATTATACAGTTTGTCTACACTTATACATTAAAAATAGCTGAGGCTCAGAGAGGTTAAGCAACTGCCCCAGGGTCACATACACAGAAACTGGAAGAGCCAACACTTGAGTGCAGGTTGATTTGACTCTAGAATTTGTGCCTGTAATCCTAACATTATCTTGCTGCTTGACAAAATGTATTTAGACCTGAATGTATTCCATAGAGGAAACAAGTTATTTAAAAATAGAGATAAATTTAGGATCAGTCTGTGAAGGTATAATTTTTCTCACCAAGATATCAAGGAAGAGTGTTTCATAGGTGAACTTGTTGAGCAAGTAGGTGACAGAGCCGATTTGAATCTAGGTAGTCTGCCTCCAGAGTTAGAGCACACCAACAGGCTACATGGCTAACACTGGACAGAGGCACCCTCGGCTACAAAAGCCAGAATCTAGAGTTAGCTCTGAACCAGTAACCCCCTCATTTGGGTCTTAACCCTTTTGTTTAAGAAATGCACAGTTCCTCAGAGCACCCAAGTAAAGTGCTGTCAACAGTGGTGGACAATCTGTGAAGCACAGTCTGTGAAGCATTACTCTTCTCCTGGAGAACATGGGCAAGTTAGGCACACATGACACACATATGCTGTCTAGAGGAGGGTCACCACAACAGGGTGCTAGAGGATGACCATCAGGTAAAGCTTGGACAAGCAGCTCTATAGGGTAATACTAGGAATGGCTGCTGAAGTTCATGCCAAAATATCTGCTGATGTCTAGAGAGACTCATGGCAGTGGGTTCTCCATCAGTACTTGGGAGCTTCTGTTGCTTTAAGAGCCAATACAGGTCATTCATTCTTTACTCAACAATTTCTTAATGAATGTCTCCTATATGTGAGATCCTTGTTCATAATCTGGTATGAATACTGACAAGCCTGTTACTGGGATACAAAGTGAAACATTGTGTAAAGAAGCTATGTGGAAAGATTAATGAGAGGAAGCAGGAAAAAGTACCTAACACATCCTAGGGATATTGAGGGAAGCTTCACAGGGGTAACATTTGGGCTGAACTTTAAAAGATGAGTAGAAAATTCATCTCCCTGTTTGTATTAGTATTCTCTAGAGGGACAGAACTAATAGGATAGATGTGAATCTGAAGGGGAGTTTATTAAGGATTATTGACTCACACAATCACAAGGTGAAGTCCTACAATAGGCCATCTGCAAGCTGAGGAGAAAGGAAGCCAGTCCAAGTCCCAAAAACCTCAAAAGTAGATAAGCCAACAGTGCAGGCTTCACTGGTGTAAGCCCAAGAGTCCAAAAGCTGAATAATTTAGAGTCTGATGTTCAAGAGCAGGAAGCATACAGCTTCCTGCTGGAAGGAGGATGAAGGCTGGAAGATTCAGCAAATCAAGTCCTTCCACGTTCTTCTGCCTGCTTTATCTTAGCCACACTGGCAGCTGATTAGATGGTGCCCACCCAGATTAAGGATGGGTCTGTCTCTCCCAGTCGACTGACTCCAGTGTTAATCTCCTTTGGCACCACCCTCACAGACACACCCAGGAGCAATCCAATCAAGTTGACACTCAGTATTAGCCATCACATTGTTTATCTGCTTCATTGCGTTTATCTCAGTCTGGAATGTTTATTTAATGCTTACTTGTATATTGTCTGTCTGCCATGTCTTTCATACTCACTTTTGTATCCACAGCTCCAAATGTAGTGCCTAGAACACAGCAGATGCTCAGTATTTGTTGAACGAATGAATGAATGAATGTCAAACATTAAGTTTTGCATTTATTAGTTTTCATGGTCGTTTCTAAAAAATATATATGTTACATTTTTCAGTCTCAAAAGATTTTTTTGTTATAGATTACTTTCAGGAAACCTTTTATTTTTCTTTTTTTCTTTTTTTAACTTTTCAGTTCAGGGGTGCAAGTGCAGGTTTGTTACATAGGTAAGCTTGTGTCCTGGGGGTCAGTTACACAGATTATTTTATCTCCTAGGTATGAAGCCTAGTACCCGTTAGTTATTTTTCCTGATCCTCTCTCTCCTCCCACCTTTCACCCTCCAACAGGCCCCATTGTGTGTTGTTCTTCTCTATGTGTCCATGTGTTCTCATCATTTAGCTCCCACTTATAAGTGAGAACATGTGGTGTTTGGTTTTCTGCTCCTGCATTCGTTTGCTAAGGCTAATGGCCTCCAGCTCCATCCATGTCTCTGCAAAGGACATGATCAGGAAACCTTTTAAATTTGCCTTTCTGGAAATATCTATCTTCTCTATCAAACAGGAGATGAAGTGGAGTGAGAGTTGATTGGATAATTCGTTCATTATTCATTAAATATTTTATGGGCGTCTACTGCATGCAAAGTGCTGGGAGGGGAGCAGTCACACAGAAGGCAAGACTTGATCTCTACCCATGAGGAAACCAAACACCGTCACAGGACACAATTTATGGGCCCCCTATATAAGAAAGAACAAAACAAAGAAATGTAACTGCCATTCCTCAAGAAAAGAATGGGGTTAAAGGGCTATTTCATGGACACTCCCTGAGGAAAAAAAACAAAAAACAAAAACCATACAGTAACTCAAACTGATTTTCCAGGAGAAAACTTTTGGGTTGGATAATACAGGTTAACTCTGTGCATTAATTTCTCCAGACTGTCTCAATGCATCTCACTTCTCTTTTTCTCTTAGAATAAAGGAAAAAATATGCAGTTGGTAAAATTGTAAATATAAGCATGCTTACAGTTTTAAGAAAAATAAGGACTTAAGCTTCGCAATATTCTAGCATTTATTTAATTAGTAGGTGATTACTAAATACTAAATTATGGGAAGCAGTGTTTTCATAGCAATGATTTGTTTACCCAAAGAATTTCTGTCACACATTTTTTGATTCCAACATTTCCTACAATTATTCAATTTTTTTCCTCTCTGCAGCGCTAAAACACACATTTTATTAAGTAGTCTGGCTTATCTGCAAATATGCTGATCCTGAATGGTTATAAAATATTTATGCAGGTCATTTAAGTTGAATCAGAAATGGTTTCCAATCAGAGTGAAATCATCTCTTAGTTTAAGCAAATGATGCCCATATAAATAAGAGTTGCAATTATGCCCATGCCTAGACTCTCTCTGCTATAGGCCTTCTCCAGAAAAATTTTTAATGTCTTTTTAAGACATCATTTGTCTTCTTATGTAACTCCTTCACGGATTTCATCATCCTTTTTCTTAACTTGACCAGGTGCAAATTGCTGCCATTCATGAGCTCAAGAAAAGGAAGTTGTAAGCATGCTTCTTAAAAATTCAAATAAGCCACAGCATGGTAGCTTGTGACTGTGGTCCAAACTACTCCAGAGGCTAAGGCAGGAGTATCACTTGAGCCCAAGATCTCTGGGCTGTAGTGCACTATGCCAGTTGGTGTCTGTGCTGAATCCAGCATCAATGTGGTTATCTCCTGCTAGCAGGGACCACCAGGTTGCCTAAGGAGGGATGAATTGACCCAGATCAGAAACAGAACAGGTCAAACTCTTATGCTGTTCATAATGGAACTGCACCTGTGAATAGCCACTGCACTCCAGCCTGGGCAATGTAGTGAGACCCTGTCTCTTACGAAAAAATCCAATGACATAATACCTTCATTTTCCTGAATAAAACCTTCATAGCTCCTGGTTCTTACAGGATCAAATTCAAGCTTTTTAGCACATGATTCAAGACTTTCCATGACCTGGCCCATGCCATCCCTTCCTCACACTTAAACATCTAACATTTAATCATGTAGAGTGTCCCCACCATCATGATTTCTGTACCCCTGTTGATGTTGTTCCCTCCACCTGGAATATGGTCCCAGTCTTCTCTACTCTGTTACCTCCCATTGATCCTTCAGCAATCAGCTCCTTTTTCATGTCTTGCAGGAGGCCTTCCCCTACTATCCAAGTCTGGTTAGGAGCCCTTCTGTGGTCCATAATACCAGTAGTAGACAGAAGGTTCTGTGGAAATCATCTGTCCACATGTGGCTTGCCCAAGAGACTCAAAGTTCTTCAAGGGCCAGAATGTGTTTTATTCCTCTTTGACCTCCAATGTCTGGCACTTTGTGGGCACTCAATGAATATTTATTGAGTGAATGAATGAATGAGGGCCTATGAAGAAGAACCTGAAACAGAAAGTTGGTAAAGCGAGATGGACCTTAAAAATACAAGCCTTAGTAAACAAGAACGGTCTGAAGAATCCAGCTAATGTAAGGAGAAGCAAATTTATGTATTTGTTGATTTAATGTTTATTGAGTGTCACATGCTAAGATAGAATGTGCAGTGACGAACAAGAAAAACAAGGGCCCTACCTCATGGAGCTTACATCTAGGGCATATGCTAACAAGAGTATTTTTTTAATGGTAAGTACTCTGGGGAAATAGAAAATGTGAGGGTGATGAAAGGGTTGTAGTGGAAGAGATTTAGATTAGGAAGAGCAAGCCTCTTAGAGATGGTGATTTCAAAAATGATACCAGAAGGGTGAGGTTTTGCCAAGAGCTGGTGGGAGAGTATTCTAGTGTGTGCAAAGGCCCTGCAGTGAGACAAGAGATCAAGATTTTGAGGAAGAGGAAGTCTATTCGTATATAGAGATCTTTAATTATATGGCCATTTTCCGTCAAGAGAGATGGAGAGTCTGAGTTCTTAGGAAGATGTCAGTAAACATGAGTGGCTTGTGGGTAGCTCTGAGACCAAAAGCACTCAGCAGCCTGCAGAGAAAGGCCCCCTGAGAACCCATAGCGCTCTGGCAAAGAGACAGTGATCTGAATGAGAGCCCGCCACAGGATAATTACTGGCATCCACATTCTCCAAACTGATGTGCAAGACAAGGGAGAAATTAGATTTTTAAAAATTCTTTACCTAGACTACTGAGACCAGAATATTCATCAGGAAGAGCTCTTGCATTTTTTTTTTTTTTTTTTTTTTTTTACCACCTTGCGTCTGTCTTGTAAACATGAACAACAGATTCTCTAGCCCACAGAAACGTATCCGCGGGGCCCTCCCATCCTTAGGGAAAAAAGATGATGGAATGAGGGACATTAGCAATAGTTTTTGTTATAGTTTTCATTACCATCTACCATAAATACAATAACAAGAATAGCTAATATTTACTGATTATGATTATTTACTAAATACCTGTAACTATATCAAACATCTTATGCAGAATGGTTTACATGTGGGCTCTGGAGTCTGGCCTCCTGAGTTCGAACACTACCTGCTCCACTTACCAGCTCTGTTGTTTTTCTGCAAGTTACTAAATATATGTGTATTTATATCCTCATCTGTATAGTGGAGACAGGGAGCAGATAACTGCACATCCTGTGGACCACTGTGAGGAGTAACTAGGGAATATACAAAAAGTGCTTAAAGGAGCAGTTCATACATGCTGATGTAAATACAAGCTTCCATCACTACTTACTTAATTATTATAACAAATGTATCTAGTTGACACAGTTGTTATCCGCATTCTACACACAGGGAAACTTCAGAGGCTTTATATCATGTGCCAAGGTTTCATGGTTAGTAGTCACTGGCAGAGCTGGGAACTGAACCCAGACTGATTTTAGAGCCCAAGCTGTTACTCATCATTCCATCATATTTTTTATTTAAATTAGAGTTATCGCTGGATTCCACTAGTCCATTTATTCACATGTGTATCTTGGCAGATTTTGAGTGTATATTTTATTTGCTTGTTCATTTGAGAGGGTGAGGGATAATTGAGTTGGAAGCCCAAGGATCTTTAGTTTTGCCTGGACTTCTTGGCTCTAGGACACCCCAGGGAGTTCCACAGACCCCAACAACAAATTGGATGTTAATTGGAACTCTTTCTCTTCTAGGGATTTTCCACAGTGTTATCTGTAATTTATAACAATGATTTTGAGGAACAAAATCATCAAACAAATATGCATGCACGCACACATGTGCACGCACGTACACACACGCACGTGCGCACACACACATTCATACCATATGCTCAGGATGGTTTCAATTTTTAAAAAAATTGTATGTGAAAGTCCATGAATCTAACTATTAGCTCTCTTAAAAAACAGATTAATTACCCTCCAAAAGTAAGCCCATCCCTAATCAATATGAGATAACTGGTTTTCTGTAGCTGGGGTCAGGATGAGTCAGAGGAAAGAACCCAGTTACTTGGTACAGTCATTTTCCAGCAGTGGTTTATATCAAAAGGTCCACATTCTGGTTTAACTGTGATGCGGCAAAATGAGAAATGATGCTTAATGGAGTGATCTGCTGCACATATTAGCTCAAATGCTGAACGTCTTCCTCCAAACTCTTCTATAATTTTTAATTCAATTCATGGATAAATTTGGTCAACAGCACCGCTGAAACTGATTGTGTATAATTCAGGTCTGTTTTGGATTCCTTTGAAGAAGACCCAGTTACAAAGAATACCAAAAGGACCATATTTTAAATAAATAGTGATGCCACATTCTACACCATATTAAATTTTGTTTGTTAATGTTTCACAAGCATTATAAATACTTGTTGTCACTTGGCATTCATAAGTTCTTGCAGCATTTGGTCTGAAAGCTGAGCAAAGTAGGGGTAGTACTAATTTGTGAAGAAAAGTACTTCCAAACACTTCTTATGCTGACAAGTTTTAGGCAGTTTTTTAAACGGTCATTCATTACTGTAGTTTTCCCATTTTACAGATGAAGATATTAAGGTACAGAAAAGATTTAAAATGTGCTGCTAGGTGGCAGAACTGGGCTTCTGATCCAAGTAGTCTGACTGCAGAATCCATCCTTAAACCTTCTCCCAAAACTAAGTTATCAATAAATATTTGTTAGCTGTGTGCAGTGACTTATGCCTGTAATCCCAGTACTTTGGGAAGTTAAGGTAGGAGGATCACCTGAGGCCAGGAGTTTGAGGCCAGCCTGAGAAACATAGTGAGACCCTGTCCCTACAAAAAATAAAAAACAAATTGCCAAGCATGATGGCATGCATTTGTAGTGCTAGCTACTTGGGAAGCTAATGCAGGGGGATTGTTTGAGCCTAGGAGTTCAAGGTTGTAGTGAGCTATGATTTTGCCACTGCACTCCAGCCTAGGTGACAGAGTGTGACTTTGTCTCTAAAAAATAAAAAATAAGTTTTTTAAGTAAATTAATTATAATGCGAGCTTTCATTCAGAAAATATACCAAGATCCTGTGGCAGAGGACATGACATTTAAAAGTTAAACAAGGCTGGGCACAATGGCTCATATCTGTAATCCCAACACTGTGGGAGGCTGAGGCGGGAGCATTACCTGAGCCCAGGAGTTTGAGACTAGCCTGGCAACTTAGTAAGACCCTGTCTCTACAAAATAATTTAAAAATTAGCCAGGCATGGGGGTGCATGCCTGTAGTCCAAGCTGCTCAGGAGGCTAAGGTGAGAGGATCACTTGAGCCTGAGAGGTCAAGGTCAAGGTTGCAGTGAGCTGTGATCACACCATTGCACTCCAGCCTGGGCAACAGAGCAAGACCCTATCTCAAAAAAAAAAAAAAAGTTAAACACCTTCATTAGTCACATGAATTGACTCTCTTTTGACATTTTATATAATGAACAATATGTCCGTACTGAAGTGTTTTATCTTCCTACATGCTGATATTGATTAGAGTGGTGCATTCTTGGAGAATGAAGCCACATAAGATTCAGCATCTTTTCAGCATGGGCTGTAGTTAATACCCACATGTTCCACAAAGGTCCAGGTGGTTTAAGGATGTGAATCTCCTGCAGCTTCATTATAAGAGCCTTGATAAGTAAAACAACAGCAAAATGACAATTTATTGGGTACATGCTATATGCCAGGCATGTGCTAAGCACTTAAAGTACATTATCTAATTTAATCTTCACAAACTGTTTCTGTTTAAAGGATGGGGAAACAGAGAGGTAAACTATCTTGCTTAACGTGACACATTTAGGAAAGGGCATTGCCAGAACAGTTTGAAAGGTAATTATCTGCCATGCTGTACTGCATAGTGCACATTCCTATATCTTTTCCGTTTTCCTGCCGTGACTTATCCGGTGCCTGGTGCCATGAGCAGATACTGGTACCTGCTGACTTATTGAGAGATCATTTGGTTGCTTGATTGACTGATGCAATGAAATGGAAAGTTGAGCAATTTTCTCTAGAGCAATGCTTCTCATACATGAGTTTTCATATGAATCAACCTGGAGATCTTGTTAAAATGCAGATTCTGATTCAGTAGGTTACAATAGGGAATGAGATTCTGCATTTCTAACAATTCTGCATTTCTAGTAATTCCCAGATAATGCTGATGCTGCTGGTCCATGAGACATATTCTATATAGCAAGGCTGTAACCTGAGCTGCACAATATGGTAGTCACTAGCCACAGGTAGCTATTTCAATTAATTGAAATTAAATTCAGTTCTTCATTCACACTAGTCATATTGCAAGCACTAACTAACCACATGTAGCTATTGTCTACCATATTGTACAGTGCAGATATAGAGCACTTCTACCATTCCAAAAAGTCCCATTGCACTATACTGCTATAGAATATTCAGTGTGTATAGGAAAAGAATCTGCTTTAAGATTCCCAGTTACATTCATATCTCATTTAATGGACCTGGAATTTTGTCTCCCCTCTTGTTTTGTCCTAGTCATATGTAAGTCACTTGAACATTTGATGGGAAACAGAAATATTGCACAAAGAATACTGATAAATACGTATTTTTTTTTTTACTTAGGAGCCAACACATGTGCTTGAGGATAAAAAAAAAAGTCACCATTTTTAAAATAACACAGAATTATCATGACGGTAACAAAAGCATCAGAACTTTATTGAAAATATTCTAATTAGACTCAGAAAATATATGAGGGTGTATCTGCAAATAGACACTCTCTGGTCCCTTTGAATCACAATGTGACTTTTCTCCATGTGTAGCTTTGTTAAGAGCTGGACTTCCATGAATGCCCAAAGGTCTAGAAGCCATAGTCGTTGTCAATAGAGCAAGGAAAATAACTTTTGATCATTGACAATATCCTTAAAAATCACTTTTTCCAATCCTTTCATTTTATAGATGGGTAAAGGAAGGCTCAAACAGGAGATGTAATCTGAAGTTCTTGGTAGTTAGAACTGGTCCTAGGTGCAAAATGATATTTGCTGAACTAGTATGAATCTAGTTCTGTGACTCCCCACTGTACTATTTGCCTCTAAATGACAGTAATCACTGAAATATAGCACTGTTTACTTCCATTTCTTATACTCTTTCAAAATATATATGGAGACATTAGATTCAGAAACAAATATACATGGAGACATAAGATTCAGAACAAATGGTCTGGAATAGAAATGAATAGGGCTACAATATTTATAAAGTAATTTCTCTTGTATCAGTAGTACTTATTCATCATAGGAATTTAGAAAAAACAAATAAAAATGCATAAAATGTAAATCACCCACAATCCAGTTATTCAGAGATACTACTATAAAGTTGGTGATTATGTAGCCTTCTTATTTTTTCTGTGTCCATAATTTATAAAAATATATGTTGCATACTCTTTATGAACATTTTCCTGCATCATTTCATAAAATTCTAAATCATTTCTAGTGTCTGAAGTATTATTTCATTATATGATAATATCAAAAATCACATATTTTAAAGAATTTTAAGCCTTCTGATGAAAATTTGCAAATTTTCCTCCAAAAAGCTTGTATTCATGTACCTAAAAGACAATATATAAAAGTAAACTCCCTGAGAGCATGGACTATGGCTATTTTTTTCAAGGCTCTATTTCACAGAGTTTAGAATAGGACCAAACACATAGTGGGCCCTCAATAAAAGTTTGTTGAAGGGAGTGAGAGCAGGAAAAACTATGTTAAGGGCTTGGCTGAGAGCCTAGCACATAATAAGGCTTGATACACGTTAATTATAATTATTACTTTCTTTGGAGTTATTATTCACATTCTCACTGCACTGCAATATTTTGATAGGTTTATTTGAAACTGTGTCTAAGAATAAACATAAAACTTCTGAAAGACTCCAGCTACTCCCTTTGTTTTCTCATATGGATTACTTCTGTTGTTGAATATCTCTGGAACGTGTTCAGTGTGAAGCTGGCTTCTGCACCCCTCCCAGCTTCTTTGCCAGCCTATTGGTAAAACTTCTTCCTTGCTGTCAATTGATAGTTACTGAGTCTCAAAGAACAACATACTGGGGCAAAGTAGCCTGAGCAAAATACTGTTAAATTTATGAAAAACAAGGAAAATGCTAACAGGCCTGCCATTTTCAATAAAATGCTTTAAGTGTGCTGATTAGACTCACATACTCCTACTCCCCTTTTGGGGTGACTATATAATGGGTTTATTAAGAACATTGGCTTTAGGTTGGAACTTGGAGTCTTACTCCATTCTGGCTGTGTGACTTTGGATATGTTCCTCAGTCTCCTTAAGTCTTGGTTTCCTCACTTGTAATAGCAGTGCTTATTTCTCAGTATTGTCAAGAAGAACCCCCAGGATAGTACATATAAAGCTCTTGGCACCAACTCTAGCTCAGATAGTGGCCATTGATACTAGAACTTCATAAACACCAGTGATTGAGAATGAATATGTGTCAGTTTTATGTTGCCACAGTTCTGCTCAGTGCTTTGAACCACCACAATCTGGCCAATAAAATCAATCATTCAGAAACTAATATCTGCTCTCAGCAAAAGTCAGGGAGAACATATTTTTGTGATCATTGAATGAATGTCTTCGAAATCACCAGCATTGAATATGGAGCCAGATTAATATTGGAGCCTCAACTCTGTTTCCTATTTGCAGTCCTACTTAAGACGAGTCACAGGTACCCTAAGCCCTTAGTACTTCAAATTTAAAGTTCAGTGGAGTTTATTTTTAAAATCCTCTTGGAAAAATATATGGGCAAAATCCTGCTTTCCTTCATAAGGAGAGATTTATTTTGCCCATATTTGTTAGCTCTCTGGTAGAGTACAAAAAGAGGGGCAAGACAGCAGTTTATTCAAACAGAAGTCAACTGATTGAAAATACACTAATAATTCCATTATTTAAGAAAGACCCTGTCTGCAGGAAATCCCTACCAACAAGGAATATCATCACATCAAAAGCTAAAACAGGACTAAAGTACACATACAATAGCTTTGCAAATTTTACAAATACAGCTGTGTCGGGTCCCAAGATCATTCTGATACGTCTTCAAAACACATGGATTGAAGGCGTGGATCTTGTTTAAGATCATTTAAGACCTTATTTACGATCTTGTTTAAGATCTAGACATTGAGAAGTGTGTAGCTTTCCATGGGTCACCGACTTCGTGGTGAAGTGCGTGCTTTTCTCAACCTCTTCTTAACTCAGTTGGTTTTTATCTGAGAAAACCTAGGGATTCAGCCACACAAGCAGAACTCTAGAGGAAATTGAAGTAACAATACGTATGGTTATAAGTACTTGGCGTATGTCCTGCCCGATTTCTTCCAAGACCCTCTTATTTTTCATTCATGCACTTTGTAAATAATTAAGGGAGGTATCTAATGAGAAAAGGTATTGCATTCACTGCCTGTCCTTCAGTTATTTCAGATTTAACTGTGTGGTGTGTTCATATCACATCATTCAAGCGGGCCTTGAGGGACATCTGACCTAGTTGAGCAGCTGTACCTTTAATAAAACTGCCAAAATAAGTATGACATTTTTTATACAACTGTGAGAAACACATTAAAGACACATTGAAGATTACTTATATTTTATTATTATATTTAGAACATGAATGACTGTGACTAGACAGCTTGATTTCATGATGAGGATGATGATGACAAGGATGAGGGCAATGATAATGATTATCGTAATAGTACCTAACATTTTGGCATACTTACCATGTGCCAAAGACAGAGCTACAACATCACATATTATCTCATTTAATCTTTATAATAGTCATGCAGTTACTATTAGTATACTTGTCTTACAGACAAACTGAGGCTTAGACAAGCCAAGCTATTGTCCAAAGTTCACAATAGATTCAAAATTCAAACTTAAGCAGTCTGATTCCAAAATGAAGACCCTTAATCACTATATCCATGGTTTCCAAGCTATTTTGAACACACATCCTATCAGTAAAACATTTTGAGGATACCCTCTTCTTTGTACTCATTTATTAATAATTAGTATTATGCTAATATACTATGGAAAATATAGATAAAAGTGTACATTTAAAAGGGCGAGTCATAGATAAAATAATGTTTTGGTTGTATTTATCAATGGTATGATAAATACATTGATTTATTTATGTTTTCACTCATGAAAATAAAGTAAAATAATATTTTAATCAAAAATATGCTTGAATATGCTTCAGTATTTTTGAAAATTTTTGTTTCACGCTTTCTGAATTAGTAACTTAAAGGAAAAGTTCTGGGGCTTTTGGTTTTTTGCATGTGTGTGTGAGACAGGATCTTGCTCTGTCACCCAGGCTGGAGTGCAGTGGTGCGATCTTGGCTCACTACAACCTCCGCCTCCTGGACTCAAGTGATCCTCCTGCCTCAGCCTCCCACGTAGGTGGGACCACAGGTGCATGCAACCATGCCCGGCTAATTTTTTATATTTTTGGTAGAGACAGGTTTTCGCCATATTGCTCAGACTAGTCTCTAACTCCGGAGATCAAGCGATCCTCCTGCCTCAGCCTCCCAAAGTGTTGAGATTACAGACATGAGCCACTATGCCCGGCTTGAGGTTTTTTAAAAAAATACTTGATCATAACTGAAAAAGATGCCTCAGAAATATCCTTAGATTCAAATGAAAGACAGGCATTGCTTGGCTGCACCAAGATATCTGTGTTTCAATTCTACCCACCAACTACTCCAGGATTTTTTAAAAATCTGCTAGCAAATTGCTGTCTTTTCTAGTGTCGATCTCTTGTTATTATTCAATAAATGTTTCATCTTTACATTTTTTTGAAAATTTCTTTAAAACTTACTAAAATTCTTAGTTCAAAACCTCTGAGAGCAGATTAATTAAGTTTATAAGATGATTTACAATACTTTAGGAAGATGTTTGTGTGTGTGTGTGCACATGTGCATGTGTGTGTGTTTGGTAGGGACAGGTTCTCACTCTGTCACCCAGGCTGAAGTGCAGTGGCATGATCATAGCTCACTTTAACCTCGAACTCCTGAGTTCAAGCTCTTATCCTACTTTAGCCTCCTACTTCAGTAGCTGGGACTACAGGCATGTGACACCATACCTAGCTAATGTATTTATTTTTTTAGAGATAGGGTCTTGCTATGTTGCCCTGGCTGCTCTTGAACTCCTGACCTTAAGCAATCTCCCTGCCTCAGCCTCCCAAAATGCTGGAATTACCATTAGAGATTTTTATAAGCATGTCAAATATATGGGTACATCCTCACATCACACACTAGAAGAGTCATTTCCAAAAAGAGTTTCTACTTTTAAATTGCTTTCTGCATAACATCCTTTTTTTCACTGATTAACAAGAAAATAACTTTATTTTTATTTATTTTTATTTTATTTTGAGCAGAGTCTTGCTCTGTCCCCCAGGCTGGAATGCAGTGGCACAATCTCGGCTCACTGCAACCTCTGCCTCCCACGTTCAAGCGATTCTTGTGCCTCAGCCTCCTGAGTAGCTGGGAATACAGGCATGCACCACCATGCCCAGCTAATTTTTGTATTTTTAGTAGAGACGGGGTTTCACCACGATGGCCAGTCTGGTTTTGAACTCCTGGCCTCAAATGATCCGCCTGTCTCAGCCTCCCAAAATGCTGGAATTACAGGCTTGAGTCACCATTCCTGGCCCTTTTTTTTTTTTTTTCTTTTTGAAAAGAGTTTTTCTTTGTGTCCTAGATGCTTGGTTTTTTATGTCTTACTAATTATGATGGTTTCAAGCTATCATTAGCTAACATCTCAAGACACAGTATGCACAGGTCATGGTTCAGTGTTGATAAAGATCCATATATCAAATATTTTTCCTATTTGCACTGGGAAAGGCTGATCTTGAGAGATTTGAAGAACTCATCTGTTGTAACCTCCTAATATGGCCAGTGAGAAATAAGCAGTGTTGATTCTGCCATTTTGCTACTCACTGTGCTTACTTTCTTATCATCAGCTTACTCACCTTGAGCAGGTATGGGAGCAGGGAAGCTGATGGGTCTTTAACAGTATCACATTACATTCTTTCAGTCTTGGGAATGACCAGAGATCTCACCATTATGTACTGGGTGAGTAATGCAGTTCTATAAGAAGGTTACTTTGGTATCAACAACAACAACAAAAACGATGGATGGCAAAGCAAGGCTCAAGGTGTATGACATTCAAAAAGCAGCTTTTCAAAATGTTTGCAGTGTGGCACAAACAAATGAAACTCTCACAGTGCTAGGAGGTTGAGATGAAACATGATCATGGTGGGAAAGTTACATTGCTATAAATAGACCTGGTCACTGGCATTCCCTGCCTTTGACCCCGCCACCACTCCCACCAGAGTTATATCACTCACTAACTTTTAAAAACACTCTAAATTATGAAAATATCAAACATATATACATATAAACAGGTAGAGAGGTTAGTTTAACTAACCCTCTTGTACCCATCATCCAACTTGTTAATGATCACTTCATGGTTAATCTCTTTCATGTGTGCTCCCTATGCTCCTGAAATGAATTATTTTAAAGCATGTTCCAGGCATAACATTATATTTATAGATATTATAATATGAATCTCCAAAATATAAAGATCTGTTTTTCAAACATAACCCACCGTACCATTATTACACCTGAAACCCTAACAGTAACTCTTTAATATCCTCAAATATTCAGTCAGTTTACAACTTCCTTAAAGATCTCACAAATATTTTCTAGTTCACTCATTCAAATCAGGTTCCAAATGAGCTGCATACATTGCAATGGATTGATATGGCCCTTGTGTATCTTTTAATCTATAGAATTTCTCTCTCCCTATTTTTTTTTTTTGTTTTTGCTTGCATTCTTTACTTGAAGATACTAGATCATTTTTCTTGGAGAGTTTCCCACAATGTGGATTTTGCTGGTTACACCCGTTGGTATTATTTAACATAGTTCTCTCCATTCCCCATAAATTGGTAATAGGATCCAGTGATTATCACATTAATATTTGATTCTTCTACAAGAATACTTCAGAGGCAGTATTTGTACTTCCATCAGTAGACACATAATAAATAGTTCTCTCTCTTTGGGGACTGTTAATATCCATCAGTGACAATTGCCTACATCTGTTATTTTATTGGGAGTTGCAACAGGGTGAAGAGTATCATTCTATTTTTCATGTATTAGCTGGAAAAAGCCTATAAAGAGAAAATTTTTCTCATGAATTATTTATTTAGTCTGAGATGCAATTCATATGGTATGCACAAACACACACAAAAAGCTTGATACTTATGTTATCAAAATAATGTATTGGTACCTTAACATCCTTGGAAGGTGATCATTTATATATTTGGTTTTATGAGTAATGTTACGATTTAAATAATTTGACATCACATACTGTGTAGCCATTATTTTTACACATTCTTAAACCATCTATGGCCAGTGAGAGCCTCCTTTAATTGGTTTCTGTGTCCTTTTTAAATAGAATCCCAGCAGTCTTTGATAGCTTCCTTAATTTCCGGTAAGATAAGCGTCATCATGTACATTTCATGCTTAAGACAGGAAATCAGCCATTGCTCCAAGGAACCCTGGTTAAGTTTCATAGGAAATGGTATTCAGAGGTCACACTCTAGACATCATTTCATTTTAAGCTTTGCTTTGTTTTCCATTTTTGTAATGTAAGTGTGCATGTGTGCATTCACACGTGTATGCATTTGTGTGTATTTCTCTCCTTCTCTCAGATAAATAATACCATGCTATACATGTGTTTCTCCACCTCATATTTTTAAATTAACAATATCCAATGGAGTTCATTCTATAACAGTATCTAAAGCTATTCTCAACTCCTTTTATACTTGTACAGTACTTGAGCGTGTGGAGACAAAATTGTTATTTAACCAGTCCCCAGTAACAGACATTTGCTATTATAAGTAATACTTTAACAAACAGTCTTACATATATATCTTTTTTAACTTGCCTCCCCTAACTTTATAATTGTGTCTAACAGGTTAAGAAAATTGCTTAAGGTCTCACAACTAATAAATGCTGAGCCGGAATTCAAGTCCCACATAGTTGTCTAGCTCCAGACCCCAGGAACCCCAATATATATTTGCTGTCTTTCAATTTTCCCAGGACCGCTAACACATCAGACCTGGAATTAGTTCAGTGTAGAGGTACTGCTAACCTGAGGCTCAGATTAATAAAAATAAGAAATAGTCTTGGTTTACCATTACTTGATAAATACAGAGTTTTAGGAAGTTGTCTTTCAGAACTTGGGTCTGTAGAAGGAAACAATAGCAGTTCTTAGTGGTTCAAAAAAAAAAAAAAGTTGAGGTGCACCATTCCCACCTGTGCTTGAAACTAGAGTTTGCCGTTTACTAGGAAACAGAGAGAACACACATCACTGACATTGCTTGCCCAGGTCTCAGACTGATGACTTAGGTCACCTTTGTGCGAGTAAAGCCACACATTTTTAGCGTTTGTTTTCTTTTTGGAACCATAACAATTTTCTGGAGGAATGTAAGATGCTATATTAAAAAATGCTAGACTAGGCCAG
The DNA here is from genome assembly GCF_000001405.40 of Homo sapiens. Taxonomy (NCBI): domain Eukaryota; kingdom Metazoa; phylum Chordata; class Mammalia; order Primates; family Hominidae; genus Homo; species Homo sapiens. The sequence continues at coordinate 62,783,053 of NC_000003.12, read as the reverse complement.
GTGCAATGGCTCACGCCTGTAATCCCAGCACTTTCGGAAGCTGAGGCAGGTGGATAACCTGAGGTCAGGAGTTTGAGACCAGCCTGGCCAACATGGCAAAACCCCATCTCTACTAAAAATACAAAAATTAGCCAGGCATGGTGGCGGGCACCTGTAATCCCAGCTACTTGAGAGGCTAAGGTAGGAGAATCGTTTGAACCCAGGAGGCAGAGGTTGCAGTGAGATGAGATCGGGTCACTGCACTCCAGCCTGGGCAACAGAGCAAGACTCCGTCTCAAAAAAAAAAAAAAAAGAAAGAAATGCTACACTATATGCAAAACTCCTAAAATCCCATGCTTATGCACCAAAGATAATTTTCGAGGCCACTTTTCTCTGATCCAGGGTTTAGCCCCCATGTAATCTAATATTTCTGCTCTTTCAATGCTGTACATCTTTTTAGAGAAAGAAATGTGACCATCATTCATGGCCAAATCTGACTCATGAAGCCATTTTGCCCTTTGGTGTCTTCATGAAAAAATGTGAGTCCAAATTTACCTCTTTTAATGACACATTAAGTAAAGTGTTGGGCGTGAACTCATGTCATCCATTGGGCCTCATGATCGTCAACTAGAATGGTAGCTCCAAAAGGGCAAGATCGTTTGCTTTTTAAATTATTACTGACTTTTCAATGCCTAGAACAGTGCTTGGCACATAGTGATGCTTAATAAATAGTTGAACAGGTGGGTGGATGTGTGCATGAGTGGCTCGCTGGCTGGCTGGCTGGATGGATGAATTAGGCCTTCTGAAATTTGAACAGTAAGTCCTGATGTTAAACTTTAGAGAGGCTTCATTAATGCCCACCTTGTACAAAAATTACCAGAAGGGGGAAATGTCTTTTTTCCCCCCTGGTATTTCTTTTCTGTCTCCCACCTTTGAATATCTTCTCCTTTCCACATATGTTTTTAACCAACATTCCAGAATGATGCGTCTGTCCTTCCAAACCTTCACCAAAAATCCAGATCTCTCAGGAGAGCAGATGTCAACTGAGTGTGGTAAAGGGAGACATTAGGAAATGAGTGACTAGAAATTGATATTTAGCTTTTCATAGAAGCTTCTTAGAACTCAAAAGTCTCAGTCAAATTGTGAGGGCTCTGGGGACCAAATACAAATGAAGAATTTCAGTGAAGCGAAGGCTGTAAGGCCTGCTGTGGTCCTTTATTTTTATTTTTATTTTTTCATAATCAAAGAGACAAGCTTCCAAAGGTGGTCTTTGAGGTGCAAAGACTTGGAATGTGCAGCTTTTGTATCTCCCCTACCATCTTGCCGTCTGCTTGGCTTTGAGTACTGGCTTCCATGGGGCGTCTCAGATCACCTCAGCTGCCATGTGCCCCCACACACAATCGTGGGTGTGTTCTCGCTCCCAGGATTAGTTTTCTCTCTAGCCCTTTGGCCCCTCCCAACAGAACGTAACTTGCTCTTTTCAGAATACTTGTCCCACATTGCTCCCCTGTCCATTTCTGCTTCTGGAGTCTTGGCTGCCCATGCTGGGAGTCACGTGTGTCATTGTCCCTTCTCTGCTGATGTGTCAGAGGCCCAGGAGGCTGATTCAGCGTATCTACTCTTCTCTGGGCTTCACACCCAACTTCAAATCCACTTACTCTTTGAAAGGAGAGGTTTGAAAGGAGGAGTGACTTTTGTATTTCTAAATGGGAGTGTATCCATGGAGTATGCATTCTGACATGGCCTCAAGTTCTTCCTGCTAGTAGATTCACTGCTCTTATATTTGGCAGCAGCCAACTCAGCTGCTAAAGGGCTGGTGGCTTTGTCTGCTGTATGCCTTCAGGGTAGCAAACATTCCTGAGAGAGATTGTGGAGTCTGCCCTAGGACAAGTCTCCTGGTTATGTTTTATGTGAATATAGCAGTACGTGTCCTCTTACCCCAGAAAAACACACCTCCTGCAACACAAGTTTGGTTGCTTATCTGAGTATATCTCATTCATATTAGCAGACAGAATCACAGATAATGAAGCAAATTGTACCCTAATAGTATCAGCCCTAATAGTATCTTTTTAAAAAATAAATGTACGAGTCCTAAGATATAGATAACGACTAACATTTATTGGATAGCACTTTACTGCCAAGCCCTATGATAAGTCCCTTATATATTGTCAAAGTATATTTTTCACAAAGTTAAAAACATGACTCATATAAATATCTAATGAGCTGTTATCAAAGATTTATTTAACTGATTAATGAAGGAACTAGCAAGATGGAAAAGCTGGTTCAAAGAGCAATAAATGATGAGAGATTTTTATAGGCAGCCAGCAAAGGAATGGAAAAATAAGTTTGCTGAGTTATATTCAAAATTGGTTAATGTTCATTAGATCAATAATGCTATAATTTGGGGGATCATCTTTTTTCCACTAGACAGAAATCATTTGCAACTTATCAGTATTCTACAAGTTAATGAATGTCTAGCTTCATAGAGTCTGGACCTAATCAGTAGAAAAAAGTAATTCAAACAAACTTAAGAGTTTTTCTGGAGAATGAGAGGACCTCATTCTCCAAGCTTGTTACACAATGCTCTTCATCACAAACTAGGTGACACATTTATCTTTTATTTTTATTTTCAAGTTTAATTTATAATTTTATTTATTTTTTTGAAATGTGTCTCTGTCACCCAGGCTGGAGTTCAGTGGTGCTGTCATAGGTCACTGCAGCCTCAAGCTTCTGGGCTCAAACAATTCTCCCATCTCAGCCTCCGAAGTAGCTGGGACCACAGTCATGCACCACTATGCCTGGCTAATTTTTTGAAAAAGTTTTGAGGTATGGGATCTTGCTATGTTGCCCAGGCTGTATTTTCAAGTTTTAGATCATTTTTCTATTTGGAAAATACCCCTGAGGCCAGGCACAGTGGCTCACGCCTGTAATCCCAGCATTTTGGGAGGCCAAGGTGGAAACATTGCCTGAGCCCAGGAGTTTGAGACCAGCCTGGAAGAAAAAAAAACCCTATGAAATAAAGTACCATAAACTCTATGTACAAGGGGCTGTGGTAGCCACTAGCCCTCAGTTCAATGATGAATCCCTTCTAAACAAGCAAATACTCTCAATGATGAGAAACTGCATCAAATGACAACCTAATTCATTTTTAAAGAGTTCCAAATAACAGAACTTTATCCTTATGTTATCCCTAAATCTGCTTCACTGTACCATCTACTGTCTCCCAGTTTAGTCTTCTAAAACTGCATTGAAAAATCTAGTTTCCTTCTCACTGAATGCCACTGACATTGTGTTGAGGAGCTTCGTGGAGGTTGGCCAGGTAACCTACATCTTCCTTGGACCTTAGGCTGGAAAACTGGTCACAACTGTAGATGTTATTGATCAGAATGGGGCTTTGGTCGGTGGACCTTGCACTCAGGTAAGGAGACAGCCTATGCCTTTAAAATGCATGCAGCTCACTGATTTCATCCTCAAGTTTCCACACAGTGCCCAGCAGAATTATGTCCCATAAGCCTGGCAGAGGGCAGACAATACAAAATGGGCAGCCACATGATGGGCCAAGAAGATTGAAGCCAGAGAAGGGAAAGCCAAGATGGCAGATTTTGATCATTTTAAAGTCATGAAGGCAAAATGAGGAACAGAATAATCAAGAATGAAATTAAGAAGCTTCAAAAGGCAGCTCTCCTGAAAGTGTCTCCCAAAAAAGCACCTGCTATTAAGAGTGCTGCTGCTAAAGTTCCAGAAAAAAAGATGACCACTGCGGGAAAGAAGGCTGCAACCCAGAAGTTTCCTGCCCAGAAAGCAAAAGGCCAGAAGGCAGTACCTCCTTTGGAAGCTCAGAAGGGTCAAAACACTCCAGCCCAAAAAGCACCAGCTCCAAAGGCATCTAGCAAGAAAGCATAAGAGGTTATTATAATCCCAGCACTTTGGGGGCCGAGGTAGGCGGATCACCTGAGGTCAGAAGTTTGAGACGAGGCTGGCCAACATGGCGAAACCCCATCTCTACTAAAAATATAAACATTAGCCAGGCATGGTGGCATGTGCTTGTAATCCCAGCTACTCAAGAGGCTGAGACAGAATTGCTTGAACCCGGCAGGTGGAGGTTGCAGTGAGCTGAGATCGTGCCACTGGGTGACAGAGCAAGACTCCATCTTAAAAAAAAAAAAAGTAAATGTTCTTTCTGGAAAAGAAAAATCTAGTTTCCATTTCACATGCAGTTACAGAATATTTAACTCATACTAAAGAGAATAGGAAATACCTTTCATCCTTTATAAAAATATACCATAGTTGAGTTCGTTCAGCAAGTGTTTCTTGCAATGGCTCTTAACTTTGGCTTATGTCAGAAATGCTCGTGAAGTTTCTAAACTTGTACATACCTGGGTTTCTATTCCCAGCCATTCTGAGTGAGTGGGTCTGTGGTGGGTGTATAGGCATCAATATTTTCTGTAAGCTTCATGGGTAATGCTGATGCAAGACAGACATTAAAGTTCATGCTGTATATCAATCATATAATAAATACCAAGAGTCAGGGATGAGGGAGTTCAGACTAAAGAGGTATCATTCAGAGGCTGGAAGGAGCCATCAGAGAGAAGTGATCTGAAGTAGCATTTTAATAGACAAATAAGATTTTGCCAAGTGAAGAAAGTGAAGGGAAAATGCAGAAAGGCTTTTAAATAGCATTAATAGCTTAAAAATGCATCAGCGGAGTTACTAAAAAATAGACTTACTAAAAAATGAAATTTGAACAATTGTTAACTAACCACAGGGACAATGATCTCGACATTTCTTGCAACAAAATATTATAAGGGGAAAAAGGAGCTATCTCCAAAGTGATTGCAGTAGTATTCCATGGAGTATCCCCATGTGTTTACCAATACGTGAAATATATAGTTTGTCCATTGATAAGACAAGTGGCGTCACTCAACCTGAGGAAAGTTCAACCTCTCCACTGCTTCCAAAAGGAACCAAAGCTATTTCTCTGTCAGATGGAGCAAGAGTCATTAAATCACTGATGCCTTTAAATTATCAATAATATAAAGTCACAGAGGGAGAATCGAGCCAATGATAAATAGCATTGTAATAAGCCAGAACTCATTTGTGAGTGGAGAAAAGTCTCTGAAACCTCAGTACAATTCAGCCGGCTCATATTGCCGTAAGACATGAGATGATGAAACTCAGAAATACTGATGGCTTTTTACTCTTTCCTGCTTCTGAATATCAGGACAGGCTTGAGTGATAGAATTTTCTGTTCTTCCCTGGGCATGCTTAGGCCTGCATCATGTGTGCTGCTGTATTCGGATCCCTTTGTAGAAGGTCTCCATGTGCACATGTGTGTGTCTCTTTAACTAATACACTTTATTTTTTAGAGGAGTTTTAGGTTTATAAAAAAATTGAGCAGAAAATACAGAAGAGTTCCCGTATACTCCGTATCCCCCTACCTCCAACAGTTTCCCCCATCATTCACATCTTGCATTAGCATGCTCTATTTGTTACAGTTGATGAGCCAATACAGATACATTATTATTAACTAAAGTTCCTAGTTTGCATTAGGGTGTGCACTTGTGTTTTTCATATTTCCTAATTTCAGATCACCTTCACTCTTTGTCCTGTTTTTTCTCTCTGCTATTCTGGATCCTGAATGGCGATTGTTAGAACAACCAGCCAAGGTCTCCACATTCCTCCACATCCCCCAGCAGCCTGAAAAGCGACTGCCAATCACTTGTACCTTCTCTCTCTATTCATGCTGACAGGATAATGTTCTTATCTAAATCAATTTCAGTGAAGCTCATGGTCACAGTTTGTGAATGTTACATTAGCGTCACATATAACCTGTACATAGACTGCATTCAGATATTTTCAGCTTTTTCTCTGGAAATAATTGCTACTGATGAGTTCACTATTAAACCTTATAAGACCCAAGATGGTGTGTGGTGATTTAGTGATTTCATATGTTGCTGTGCTAGTATTTTAATCTGAGCTCCAGCCAAATGGAACAATCTGTCGTTTCATTTTTAATAGTTGTGACTTTGTTTTTGGACTCCTCTGTTGTGCATACTCACACAGCCGCCCCTAATCCTTGTTTTTTGAGTCGGCAGGGTCTAGATTGTAACTGACAAAAGAGATTCTTGCTGTGTCCTCCAAGAAGGTCCCACAGTTTCTCATCTTGTCTTTCCTCACCCATTTTGTACCCTCAACCTGGAATGCCCTCCTCATCTCTCTCTCGCCTTTTCTCCCTACGGCCTTCCTCTTTTCCCAGCTATCCCTGCCTCTGCAAACTGAGATTCTAGATACTATTCAGGGCCCTCCTCTCTTCAAATATCACAGCAAGCCTGAAACATTCTCCTGATTCTATGCTAACCCCCAGAACTCATTCCTATTCCCTGATTCTGCATGCTTTTGTTGTTGTTGTTGTTGTTGTTTTGAGATGGAGTCTCTCTCTGTTGTCCATGCTGGAGTGCAGTGGCGCAATCTCCACTCACTGCAAGCTCCGCCTCCCGGGTTCACGCCATTCTCCTGCCTCAGCCTCCCAAGTAGCTGAGACTACAGGCGCCCGCCACCATGCCCGGCTAATTTTTTGTATTTTTAGTAGAGACGGGGTTTCACCGTGTTAGCCAGGATGGTCTTGATCTCCTGACCTCGTGATCCGCCTGCTTCGGCCCGCCGAAGTGCTGGGATTACAGGCATGAGCCACCGTGCCCGGCCAATTCTGCATGTTCTTAAACCATGTCACTCTCCTATGCAAAACATTTCAATGCTTTCCCACCATTCTTTGAATTAAAGCCCAACTCTTCAGTTTGGCATGCAAGCCCCTGTACTGTGTTCTGTTCTCTGCCTATTATATTCTCATGCTATATTCTCCAAGACTATACCCTAGCACTCTCCTCCTGACTACTACCTTGCTGGTAGTAGATTCACTACTAGCAGATTCATTGATTCACTACAGCAGTGGTTCTGGAAGCATAGTCCACATGACCCTGGAAGTCTGCAAGGTGATTTTCCTAGTAATGCCAAGACATTATATGCTTTTTTCTCACTATGTTAACATTATCAATAATGATGCAAAAGCAATGATGAGGAAGACTGCTGGTACTTTCGCACAAACCAAGGCAGTGGTGCCAAACTGTACTAGTAATCATTATATCTGTCATGGCCATGTACTTCCTGCTTAAAAACGGCCAACTTCACGGAATACTTTCCTTGATGAAACCATAGAAAGTGTTAATTTTATTAAATGTTGATCCTTGGGCACACACCTTTTTAATATTCTATACAGTGAAATGGTAACTATGCATAAAGCACTCAGGCAGCACGAGGAAGGACAACAGTTGTCTCATGGGAAGGGACTTGTCTGATTGAGTTGCCAACTTAACAAGGCTTTTTAAAAAATGGAATATCATTTTTACTTGGAAAAACAATCAACAGACAAATGTAGGTATTTCATAGATGTTTTCTAGAAAGTAAATGGAGGGAGCCTGTTACTTCAAGAAAAACAACTGACAATATTTTTTGCTAATAATAAAATTTGAGATTTCAATCACCACCATAATCTGGACAGTTTCTTAATACCTAAAGATTTTTTTGATATCAGTGGCAATATTAAGTCATATGATTTTTTATGTATTGTGTGATGAAATGTGTGAACATTTGGAAAATTAACATAACTCACTGAATTCATTTTTGATATGACCAATGTATGATTTTTAAAAAATAAAACCACTTACGGGCCAGGCGCAGTGGCTAATGCCTGTAATCCCAGCACTCTCAGAGGCCGAGGCAGGCAGATTGTTTGAGGCCAGGAGTTTGAAACCAGCCTGGCCAACATGGTGAAAACCCATCTCTACTAAAAAAAAAAAATACAAAAATACAAAAATTGGCTGGGCTTGGTGGTGCATGCCTGTAATCCCAGCTACTTGGGAGGCTAAAGTATGAGAATCGCTTGAACCTGGGAGGCAGAGGTTGCAGTGAGCCAAGATCACACCTATGCACTCCAGCCTGAGTGACAGAGTGAGAGACTCTGTCTCAAAAACAAAACAAAACAAAAATTAAAAAAAAAACACTTATGGGTAAAAGATTCATTCAAATAGCAAGACAGATCAATGGGTTTTAATGTAATTGAGTATAAAAAGCTCACTGACATGGTGTCTGATTTTACAGTGCATCTAACTTTCAAGAAAATACCACCACTTGGGCTTTGGTATAGTATCAGGAAGACTATCCCATTTGTCTGAAAAGGCTATTACAATATCTCTCAGTTTTCCAACAACCTATCTGTAGGAGGCCAGATTCTCTTCATATACTTCAACCAAAACGGCATTTCACAACAGATTGAATGCAGAAAAAGAAATGAGGATCTAACTGTCCTCTACTCATCTCTAAAAGATATTTCTTCACTATTATTTTGTTTTGGAAAATATTATTTTCATAAAAGGGTATTATTTCAGTTTAACATATGATGGGTTTGTTATTTTTAATGAGTTAATATTTTAAACTCCTCAGTTTTAGTATCACTATAGTATTTGTTAATAGCTGTAAAACAACTTACATAAACAAAACCTCCTTGCAGTCCTCAGTGATTTTTAAGAGGGGAAAGAGACTTGACATTAAAAAGTATGAGAATGATGGCAACTAGCCAACTAACTCTTAATGAGATCTTTGGCTCTAGAAGTCCTTATTTGACCACATGCCAGAAGAATCCATGTGAGTACTGCCTGAGTACCTCCAAGTTGGAAAAGTACGTTTTTTTTTTTAACTGAGTGCCTCCAAGTTGGAAAAATGTTCTTTTTTTTTAATGTTATCGGGTTCAAGGGTGGAACATTTGTCCTACTAAAGAACACCTTTTAAGAGCTTTGTGGCCGGAAGGGTGAAAAGTAGACCTCCTTCTCCTTCTCTTCTTTTCGTCCCCTTTGATCCTTTTCCTCTTCTCTTTTGATCTTCAATCCAATCTTTAGCCCCAACTCACCTTCTAGATGCATTTTTCCTATTTTTTTCCTCTTCTGCTAGATAATTGTTGGTTGGGACAATCCCATCTTAATCAATGTTCAAATTATGTCTCCATGTTCATTTCCCTGTAGGTCATAGAACTCTTTGTTAGAGTATCATGTGGCCAATTTATAGGTCTTTATTCTTTCTCTTCTGCCCAAAAATAGATCTTTAGGAATAGCATGCTGATTGGTCTATTATTAAATAATTTTAAAATTGACCTCATTTTTTAAAAGTAGTAATTAACTTATATTCAGCTGCTACCCTAAATTTTTTAAAAATGAGCAAGAATTGTTATATATAGAAGAATTTTACATTTTTTCTAAAGAAACACTTTGTAAAATGTGGTAGAGGTATGCAAGAGGATAGAACATATCTAATTTAACAATAGCTACTACATAAAACTACATAAAGCTTATGGTTTTGGATATTATTGCTTAGAAGAAAGTGATTTGATGTAAGTTTAATGCAAAAACAAAAAGTAAATAGTACAGTTAGTACATGGGGAGGACATACTCATGGGAGTATTACTTAAATAATTGAATTATTATTTGAGTAGTTGAATTTTGGGAAACCATGTTCCAAAGGGAAGTCTAGGATAACAGCCTCATCGTAATTCTCCCCACCTTCAATATGTTTTTCCCCCTTCAACTTGCATTTCAGAATTACTCATTTATATTTTGCCGTGATAAAGTCTGTCAGATTTTTTCTTCAAGCTAAATAAAAGTCACTTAAAATGCCTTTTTCAGAGTATGTTACATAAATATACATATATAATATAAAAGGTGAGAAGAACTTTATGTAAATAAGTAAATATTTGGTTAAGATGATGTGATTTCTAAATTTTCTAAAAGCAGGACTTCCTTTAGAGTAGAAAATATTTAGTCTGGTTGTAGAAAGGGCATATTTTATTTATTAATAAAATTCATGGCCCAATATAAATTTTTGAAGTCTTCAAAAAAAAGAAATTAAATAAACATTGCCCTAATCTCTCTAGATTAGCTGATGATTTTTAAACACTTGTTGAGTTGACTTTTTTTCCAGTTATCTATAATAAAGAAAAGCTTTAAAAACCTGTCCCTTTTTTCCCAGATAATGATTTCTTTTTTAAAAAGAAAAAGCATGGCTTATATTAAAAATTGCAATATACAATGCTGACATTATACTTTAAGTAGAAAAGGACCTAATTTATGTGTATAACTGGAACATCTCTATACACCCAAAGATATTTTTCTACTCACTGCTGCCTATGCTTAGAATGCTGCTATTTGAGGTTCCTTCTTTTACAATAAGCATTGCTTCTCCCTTCTTTCTGATACAGTTGCTGTTGCAATAGGACACATATTAACCAATAAGCATCTTAGTAAGTATGCCTTCTTCCATGACTATTGTAAACCAAGTGTATCCATTAGGAATGCATCTGGCTGCCAGTAAGAGAAAACATACAGTGACTTGAACAAGTAGAAATATATTTATTTTTTCTCACATAATGAAAAAACCAGAGATGGGTGTTTACAAACATTTGTTCAGCCACCCAAAAAATGTAAGGACCACATTTCTGCGATGCTCTTAGCCTTTCCTGGATGGTCATGAGATAGATACCATGGCTATAGACAATAGATTTGTATTCTCAGCAGAAGAAGGGGCAGCAGGAAAGAAAAGGATTATACCACCAAGTATGTTCATTTTCATGAGGATTTCGAATATTTCTCCAGAAGATGCCCCCAGTAGTTTTCTGCATCTGTTACATGGCCACCCATAATAGCAAGCGAAACTGGGAAGGGAGTAATTGGCTTTCCAGCCTCTAAACTAGAAGGGCCAAGAAAGAATGAGGTAAGGAATACCACATCAGTGATACCTTCAAAAGGCTGAGTAAATAAAAAAAGCATTGAAAGAAGATAAAAGATAAATGATAGGGAAAAAAATAATACTTCCTGTATTGTTTTTATTATTGAGTCCTTACTCTATGCCAGATACTATGCTATATATTATTACATGTATTATAAATATATATATTATACGTATATTATCCCACCTAGTTTTCACAAAGACTCTGTAAAGTAGATATTGCTTTCCCCTATTTACAGAGGAAAAACCCAAAACCAGTTACTTGACCAAGGTCTCATAGCAAAGCTAGCATGTGACTTGAGCTTGCTCTGACTTCAGCATTGCCTCTCCTGAGACCGACACTTAGAACATGCCGTTTTCTCCTCACTGCAGATCACATTTCACACTTCTCCAGAATGCTTCAGTAAATTACAAACTGCCTGAAATGCAGTGGGAATTTTCAGGCCTTGGTTAATGAGGTAGACGGAACCAAGAATGCTTGAATAGTTCTAGCAAACGCTGCTGCAGCACTGTCTTCTACAATAATCACCTTCCATCTTTTCAGGTTTTCTGCTTGGAATTCATTACTGCAATTCTGAATTCTGACCTTGATGTACAAGTGGTTTCTATGCATATTAAATGCTTTTAGATGGACTTCTATTTTAGGAGGATTCTCTCTCTAAGCGGCTCATCAAAGCCCATTTGTTTGTTTAGAGTTGTACTGTCAGCTACTCTGGGCCAATTATTTCAGTTTATTCGTGCAAGGTCACCTTTTGGGTTCAATCCTATATAAGTCAGTTAACTTTTAACCAGATACAAACTCTGTCCCACAGTTGATTCTTAGACTGGCTTTTGCAAGCTTCTAAGTAAGATTTTCATTCACTCATGCAGTTGGCAAAGGGTGTTAAGAAGTCAAAGATGAGTATGCGATTTCTGACTCAATTGTGAGAAATTCGAGAGCTAAGATTGTGCCTTGATACTGTTATATCGCCAGAGCCTAACACTGTGCCTGGTATACATTAAGCCCTTAATAGGCTCATGTATTCACTCAGCAAACATTCGTTGAGAGCTCACTGTGTGCACAGCAGCAAATGAGACATATGTGTATAGCTATAAACAAGAAGTACAACAGTAAACAAGACAGATATGGTCCTTGTACTTGTGAAACATATATTCTTGTAGAGAGATAGATAATGAAAAGTAGGTATAATTTTAAAATAAAGAAGGCCCTAATATGCATCATAGGAAAATGGATAAATTGTGGTATACCTGTAAAATGGGATACTACCCAGCAGTGAGAAGGGACCAGCTATTGCTACTCCTAACCACAGGGATGAATCTCATCATGTATGATCGTATTGACACCAAGTTCAAAAACAGGCAACACTCATCTGTGATAATAGAAGTCAGGCTGGTGGTCACTTTTGGAGGGAGCAATGACTTTGGGAATATCCAGGAGCTTCTGGGGTCTGGGTAATGTTGTTTATCTTGATACGAAAGTTTGTTATCTGGAAAAGTTTAGTTTGTGAGAATCTCTTATACCGATTGGGCATGACGGCTCACGCTTATAATCCCAGCACTTTGGGAGGCCAAGGCAGGTGGATCACTTGAGGCCAGGAGTTCAAGACCAGCCTGATCAACATGGCAAAACCCCATCTTTACTAAAAATACAAAAATTAGCTGGGCGTGCTGGTGCTTGCCTGTAATCCCAGCTACTCAGGAGGCTGAGACAGGAGAATCACTTGAACCTAGGAGGCGGAGTTTGCAGTGGGCTGACATGGCACCACTGCACTCCAGCCTGGGCAACAGAGCAAGACTCTGTCTCAAAAAACAAACAAACAAACAAAAAAGGAATTCCTCATATTCTGTGCTGATAAAGTATATTTTTCTGGGTACATGTTATAATTAAATAATTTTACCTTAGAGAAGATAAGGGCTAACTGTGATAATGACTGTGCAGGAAATGCTCAGGTTGCAGGGCACTGTGACAGAGATTATCTGGGAGAACTTTACTGTAGATGGAATGGTCAGGGAAGAGCTTCCCAGGAGATGCTGGCTTGGCTGAATCCTAAGGGGCCAACCATGGGGAAAACCAGAAGAGCATCCCTGGTAAAGGGAACAGCAAGAGCAAAGGCTCTCAGGCAAGAAAAGTCGGGGCACAGCTGAGAAGTAAAAAAGACACCAGTGTGCTGGAGACCAGAGTAAGTAAAGAGCAAAGTGGAGCAAGTCAAAGTCAGGGTACGTCATGCAGAGCCTTGGAGCCCATTGAGTTTATCATTTGGCTCTTTTATGCCAGGCCATGTGCTAAGATCTTGAGGTATGTTACCCCATTTCCTTTTCATCTTTTTAGCAACTTTGGGAAGTCAGTTTTATCATCCAAATTTTTTAATGAGGAACCAAGGCTTAGGGAAAGTAGGTTGCCTAAGGTCATGCAGCCTGGAAGTGAGTGGTATCACCAGGACTTGAACCTGTGTCTCTTGGACCCCAAGCCTGTGCGCTCAACTCCTGACTCATGATTCTGCCCCTGAGCACTTGAGTTTAAATAAATAACTACTTCGCCACATAAAACATGCACCCATAGGACTGTGAACAAAATGCTGAGAAAACAGCGACCTCCACCTGGGGAGTCTGGAAGGGAGCACATGCACTAAATTTAAAGATGTGTACATGTGAAATGTCCCCAGAGGCAGGCATTCTCAAGGGAATAGTATGTGCAAACACTCAAAGATGAGAATTAGGGTGGCCACAGTGGTTCACGCCTGTAATTCCAGCACTTTGGGAGGCCGAGGCAGGTGGATCACCTGAAGTCAGGAGTTCGAGACCAGCCTGGCCAACATGGTGAAACCTCATCTCTACTAAAAATACAAAAATTAGCCAGCTGTAGAGGCACACACCCATAGTCCCAGCTACTTGGGAAGCTGAGGCACGAGAATCACTTGAACCCAGGAGGTGGAGGTTGCAGTGAGCCGAGATCACACCACTGCACTCCAGCCTGGGCAACAGTGAGACTCTGTTTTTTTGTTTGTTTTAAAAAAAAAAAAAGATGAGAATTAATCATCACAGTAGCTAAGATGTATTGAGCATTCATCCTGTGCTAAGTTCTGCAGTGAGTATTTTGCTTATCTTAATCCTCACAACAACCCTATGAGGTCAGTATTGGCCCCATTTTACAAATGAGAAAACTGAGCTTTAGAGAGGTTAGTCATTTGCCCAGGGAGACATGGCTAGTGAGTTGAGTAAATAAACACTAGGCTTGTTGAATTAGCGGTGAGAAAAGTAGTGAATTGTAAACCAGTAGGTGGCAAAACCCAGACATAAGCAAAGTTCTGCCGCTGAAGTCCATGCCCCCAACTCTCCTTCTGAGAGCTTAATGTGACTAGGAAAGCAAGGGATGCTTTGTGTGGCTTTGCGGTGTGTGTTCTCTGAACTTGATTAAAATTAATGTTCCTGAAGTTCCTTAGCTCCTTTCTCCTTTGAGAGTTTTATATTCTGTAATTTCTCTTCTCTGAAATCCTGAATCATAATTTAATGTGCTTTTTTGTTTGCCTTTTCCTCTCCACCTAGACTATAAGATCCCTGAAGAAAAGCCCTTATTTCTTTTGATTCCTTAGTGCCCAGCCCTAAGAAGTAACAGGTGAGATCAGGGGTTGAGTGTGTTGACCACTGAACCCGTAGTGTCTGGTGCAGGGCTGGGCAGAGTGTGGGTGATCTATAAATATTTCTTAACTAAATGAGCACCATGCTTATTTAAGGAAAGGTTAGACAGATAATAGATTTGGCCTGGGTCAACAATCAATCTTGATCATTCATATGGTATGTGCATAATTTTATTTCAATTAATCATTTAAGACAAAAGCGAGGTCTATAGGCCTCCATTCCTCTCCTGCCCCATCATCCCACCCCACTCCCAAAATCACGCAAAGCTGGTATTCACACTGTTTTAGAAGGAATTCTGAGCAAGAAATCCTGTGAGATGCCTTGGTTGGTCCTATACTGTTAGGATTTGTGAACTAGATTAAAGCTGGCCTGCTTAAAATAAATGTATGTTACGGGTATCATTTTTATGAGCAAATCAACTGCTACCTAATATTTCAGTTCAAATGGTTTCAAGCACATAAAAAATAACTGTGATTTTCTCTTCAATTTCACATATCAATATGTGCTCTGCTCCATGGGTCAGAGCAGGAAAGCTTAAGCAACTTAGAAGTGAGTTTATTCCATGCTTTAGGTCTGAACTGGTCCAGTGCAATAGCCACTAGCCACATGTGGCTGTTGAACTCCTGCAGTTTGGTTACTCTGAATTGAGATATGTTGTACGGGTAAACTACACCAGATTCCAAAGGCATAGCATTTTTTAAACGTAAACTGTCTCATTAATAATTTAAATACTGATTACATGTTGAAACGTTATTTTGGCTATATTGGGTTAAGTAAAGTATATCAAAATTCATTTCACTTGTTTCTATTTTTTTAATGTGGCTACTATAAAACTTAAAATTATACATGTGGCTAACATTGAATAGTGGTGCCCTAGAATGTAACAAATATGAGTCTGATAAATTTCTAACCCCTTTTAATCTACCCTTGACTTCACTATTCCCCAACTTCTTCCAAAGATACAAAAATTAATGAAAGCACCCAGCTTCCATCTGTGTCACAAACAAAATTCTGTTTTGTTTTTGTTTCTTGACTGAGTCAAAACTCATGCTGGCTTTGTGTCTCCTAAAGCTTTAAACTTTATTTTCTAATTATATTGACTCTAACAGTAAAATCACTTGGATTTATATAAAAACTTTTAATTTTTTAAAAGAACTCGTTATGTTATTGAATAGCTATAACTATCCCAGGACAATGGGTAATTAGAATTACCACCATTTTCCAAGTGAGAAAACTAAGGACGAGATAAAATTTATTTAAACCCAGCCCTGATCCAGAAAGGCTGGCTCTTCACTCTCAGGTCAATGCAGAATATAAGTCGCTTTTTCCAGATGACACAGTGGCCAACAGAACTGCTACTGGACTGGTCTTACTTTTTCCACTAGAACAGTGGTTCACAGAGGTAGTTTCTCATGATCTATTATAAAGCATAACTTTTTACAAAAAGTTTAACTTTTCACAAAAATTTAACTTTTTTAAGTTAAAAGTTTTTAACTTTTAAAACAGCAAAGTTTTGGCTGACTTGTTAATATACATATTTTATATAAATTAGAACCAATGAAAAGATACCTGAAAATAACATGTCTTGCATACACTCCATTCATTCATTCATGTAATCAGCCCTGAGTGTCTGGCACATATAAGGCAGTTAGCTATGCCCTGGGAAAACTTCGATGAATAAGATAGCAAGAAAAGACACCGCATGTAACAAATTTAATCATCATCAAGCAGTTAAACAAACACTGTGCTGTGGAATCACATAGCAGGAAGACCTGCCCCTAACCTAGGGGCTGGGAAGGACTTCATAAATTAGTGCTGCCTGCATTGATACCTGATGGATGGCATGATAGAGCCAGATAAGGGGTGAGGAGGAAGAATGAGTAGGAATCTTTTAGGAAAGTTTTCCTAAGAAAGAAAGGTGGGATTGATAGGCAAGGAATTGTACATAACCTAGTACCCAAATTCTCTATGCCACATCCCAGAAGTATATCCTGTACCCAAACATCATCTGTCATGTGATCATGGATGTACCAACAACAATAAAGTTTGAAAACCCCTGCATATGGTCATACTGCATTCATCAAGGTATTTCAGACCACCAGAGGGGCATGTGCAGTGCTGTGTTTGCTGTTACATGTTTAACAACCATTTCTCAGGAGGGGAAAAAAAAACTGTTTTGTAGCATTTGCCAATTTCCATGGTCTAAATATTCCCACCTTGGCTGACATGAAGCTGCCACTGAGACAACACTGAATGTGGAGCTGGGAAGAGATGGGTGGTAGCACTCCCTTATATAGAATTTCCCTCATGCAAATACCATAGGTGTAAGTAACCTCAAAAGCACTGATGAAAGTGAAATGTGGTAAAATAACTAGGAGGCAATGAATTTTAAGTATTAAAAGTGTATTAACTTTGTTTTTAATATAATTTATTTATATATTATTTTAAAATAATGGCTGTGTTTAACACTGGCTCACAGAAGTTTCCACAGATTCACTAATCAGCTGTCACACACCTATACAAGCCAGCTCCAATACACCAATGGGTCTGGCATCTTCAGCATAAAGTATCCATGATCCTTGTCTAGGACAAGTTCTCACATTTCCCTCTTTTTCTGTTTCTTACAGATCAGCAAACAGCAGCTGCAGACAGTCAAGGACCGGTTTCAGGCTTTCCTCAATGGGGAAACCCAGATCATGGCTGACGAAGCCTTCATGAACGCTGTGCAGAGTTACTATGAGGTGAGAATCACTGTTCAGAAGAATGCCAAGACCACTCAAGCCCTATGCCTGGGGAGTCTGAGCTGCAGGGCAATGGGGACAGTCGTTTTGGTTTACTACAGTATCATCCTTCCTAAGGCAAATGGGTTGGTGATTCGTTACAATGTTAAGAAATAACAGTATTTTGTTTTAGGGAAAACTAAATGTAAGCTACTATTTAACAACGGAATTTTATACCAGGCAATATACTGAGTGTTTTTCATACAACATATAACAGTCTTATGAATTAGGTCTGATTGTATTTCCATTTTACTGATGAAGAGGCTGAGGCTCAGATAGGTTAAATTAATTACTCAAGGTCACACAGCTATGAAAAATCACAACCTGTGACTTTGAGTCAGGAGCATTTTTCTCACCACTTACACCATTTTAAAAGGATGTTAGCACCTCCCAAGGATGGTGGCTTCATGAACTTCCTTATTCTTTTTTTAAAAATGCTGCTTTCTTTTCTGGAGCTGGAACCACTGTCCAAAATGCAGTGCTGTTCTCTAGAGAAAATCTACAAAAGAGAGAATATGTTCTGAGTATGTATTACAGGTAAATTTTCACCACCAGACCTCAGAAGCTTATCAGTAAAGTGGATTTGTATTTCTGCAAATATTTTTAAATTTTGTTAAGTGTTCTATCTCAGTGTGCATATTGGCTATTATTTCTACATGATTATGAAGTGGACATGCCATACCTTCCTATTGGCAATGCTTTCCTCATATGCACATTTTCAAATATGATTATTTGGTCACTGAGTGACATTTTACTTTATATTAATCTATTTTAATGTGAACCAGGTAAATACTCTCTGTGTTTGGAATCCTATGCCCCAAATGTCTTATGCATTGTCAAGGTTAGATGACAACCATTAGAGACCAGCTCCTAGGCACTGAAAGCTTATGATATGCTGCTATATACAATTCACAGTAATAATGGTAAACTTGAAGATAGGTATAAGAAAAATGTAACAAAATCTGATTTTCCCCTGGGATTGTTTCATTGATTTCCTTCCTTCCTTGTTTCCTTTATTTATTAGATAGAAAATTATTTCAAAACAAAAATGTTGGTGTGCCTGCTTTGCTGGTGCTCTAAGCACGTACTTAGTCTGCCCATCTGATTCAGCCCACAACAGATGCTTTCAATATGTTAATTGATTGAAGCCTCGGTAGAGGCAAAATCCTGATATGGCAAAACTCTTCTTCCCACTTGCTAAAGCACTTGACTCCTTCCTTCATGGAGAGAGTAAGACTGCAATTAGATCTTGTGAAAATATTATTGATTGGTTTGCTAATTAGCATTTAATAGTAAACAATCTTTGTGATGTTCGCTGGGACCAACCACAGACTCCTTTTACACCATTTTCTTCAAGAAATTTTTATTTGGATCTATTTTAGAAGTCAAATTTGTTTTTATAGTTGTCCAAATTTAAATCTTTTAAAATTTTACAAGTATCATTCATTATCGCCAATGAGTGTCAAACTTGCTGCTTTATCTTATGTGGTACAGTTTTTTGGCTGAATTTCATGGGGAGTAGAAATGAGATTTGGAATCACAGTGATATATGATAGTGAATAACTTGAATATATTTAACTAAGGTTTTGTTTAGAAACTGCCTGGGAATGAAATTAATTTTCCCTCTTTGTTCAAGTTCTGGAAGCCAATGGGAGAGTAATGGCAGAACCCTTGTCAGGCCAAGCAGACCCCTATCCATAGTTCTCCATATTTAGAGTCATTCACCAGAGTTTATAAATTTATAGGTTGCAAATCTTAATTAGAAAGCTCATTTGACTAATGGCATAAATTAAAAGAAAGTGTCATTTCTATCTATTAATTAAATGTGAAAATTAATAGTCATCAAGGTGCTAATGAGTCTCTGGAAATTACCATTACATCTACAGTGATCCCAATGTTTTCCTCTGTAGTGGCTAGTTTATTGGAAACAGTTTCATTTTTTGTCTGGTAAGAATACAGGCATTGAGAAATTACTGAATATTTAATGTTAGCATTTGAGTAACATAAGAAAGGATGTGGGGTATTAATGATCTAACTGCTGTCTTCATTAGTAAATACTTTGGAGAGTCTTAGATTCACTTTTCCAGGGAAGTCTAATCCTCTAAAGTGAAGTTTCTGTATCAGGAGATCAGGGTTAACACTTTACTTGGGAGCTCTCCAAGTTGATTACACCTTCCTTTCTCCTTTCCCCTTCATCCTTGGGCTATGGAGAAGCTGATGTCTCTTCCTGTACCCAACTCTGGGTTCCAATTGCTTCTCTGTTGGCCCCTGTCTTAGTCAGGACTCTATGGATTATAAGTGACCGATACCTAGGTCATACTGGATAACCCTAAAAAAGAGATTTATTTCCTCAATTAACTTAAAAGTCCAGGAGTAGGCCTGGCTTCAGCCATGGCTGGATCCAGAGGCTCCAAAGTTACCAGCGGGATGGGTATCTTCCCCCCACCTCTCGACTGTACTCATCCCTGTGTTGACTTCCTTCTTGGTCAGCTTCTCTCCATGTGGAAGACCTTGACAGCCCCAGGGCACATCCTACCAGTTTAGCACCTCCAGGAGCAAAGAGAACACCCCTGCTGAGCTCCCTAGCAAAGACATGGGGTGACTTTGTTGGACTGACATGGATCATATGTCCCTTCTTGAGTCAGTCACAGTGGATGGGGGTGAAATAGACTGGGGGGTTAAGGCTTAGGACAGCCACCATCTCTGGCACCTGAGTACAGGCTCAGCTGCACTGGAACCATTTTCAGGAAGAATGTAATGGTTTCTTAATAAACCGTTAGGCTGCTTTTTACCAAAACGGGGAATATATGCTCAGCAGACAAAACCAACAGATATCCTCCTTCCAAATTCCCTCTCTTTCACATTCACACACACTCCACCCTACCATGCCACAACTTCACACTCCAGTTTACCAACAGCAATAACGTTAAAAAATAGTGTAACAGCAATAATCTCAAAATGTTCTGGGATTTCTGTACTTTAAAAAGTCAGTTTTAGATATCGGTCTTGTTTTGCTAATGCATATATTCATTACTCAGTATCCGCAGAGCATTAGTTCCAGGGCTTCCTCAAATACAAAATCCTCAGACGCTCAAGTCCCTGATATAAAATAGCATAGTGTTTGCATATAACCTATGCACATCCTCCCATATACCTTTTTTTTTTTTTTTTTTTTGAGTCCGGGTTTCCTTTCTGTTACCCAGGCTGGAGTGCAGTCATATAATCACAGCTCACTGCAGCCTCAACCTCCCTGGCTAAAGTGATCCTCCCTCCTCAGCCTCCCATATAGTTGGACTGCAGGTGCATGCCACCATGCCAGACTAATTTTTGTATTTTTTGTAGAGAGAGGGTTTTGCTATGTTGCCCAGGCTGCTCTTGAACTCCTGGGCTCAAGTGATCCACCCGCATTGGCCCCCCAAAATGCTGGGATTACCAGCATGAGCCACCACACCTGGCCTTCTCCCATATACATTAAATCATCTCTAGATTACTCATAAAAACTAATACAATGTAAATGTTATGTTAATTGTTGTCATACTATATTGGTTTTATTTATATTACTTTTTATTGTTATTTCTTATTTTTTATATTTTGTATCTGTAGTTGGCTGAATGCATGAATGTGGAACCTGTGGATACAGAGGGCCAACTGCTGAATTGATCTCTCAGCATGCTAGAGTAGTAAAGATCATCTTTTAATAAATGAAAGGAGAGAGGAGGTGCTATTCCTTTTCCATCTGTGCCCATCCAGCCCAGTCTGAACCAAGCTAGTCACCATTAACAACAAGTTGGTGAGGCCTGGGCCATGAGTGGGGATGGGAGAAAGGAGACCAAGGTCCCCATGGTTCTCAAGAGCACACAGGTTTATTTTTGTCCTTTCCTGATGGCCCTGATTGTCAGAGCGGATCAAGCAGGGCAACAGATTAATCCATTAATCTCTTCAATTCTGGCTTTCAGGGCCAAGGGCTGGGGGCTGGGATGGGTGCTCTGAGATCTGGCCCAGCAATTCTGTCTGGTTCTCACACCCCTGGTCCTGAGATATGGCATCAGAGAGCCATTTCTCTGTGTTCCTCACACCTTTTCTAACTATTTTTAAGAAAAATGTCCAAAATATAAGCCCTCCCTTGCTCTCTCCCTCCCTCCTCACACTCACCTCCTCATGCTCACCTCCTCACCTCCCTGCTTGATTTTAGTTTCTTCACATGCTGGTCCTGGCATCAGAGAAAATAGGTGGATAAAAAAGTTTTACAAAACTCAAATTCTTCCTGGAAGTGAACATGGGGGTATTTGCAAGAAAATGGGAGTGTCATATGTGGCAGAAGACATAAAAATTCATTTCAGAACACTGCATCTGATGTCTGAACTTCAGCCAGTGAAGCTCCTATAATTGAGCTTTGTTTGGGGTGTGTGAGTGTTGTTTTTTTGTTGTTGTTGTTATTTTTTTGTTTGTTTGTATTGTTTTGGTTTTGTTTTTTAATAAATGCCTAGTTCATTTTTGTCACACTAGCTTTGAATGTTGCAACAGACAGACTTCTTTAGTTGCTAGCAACAGAAACCGACTGTGATTAAATTAAGCCCTAATCATCATCATCATCATAACAACAGCAGAAGCAACAACAACAACAATAGTTTGCTGTTGTTGCCAGTATTGTTGTTGTTATCAGAAGAAACAGCTAAGCTTCAGAAAAGAAGGAAACCAGACCAGTTTAACTTCAGGAAGCCAGATAGTAAGATATAACAGACACTTAATAATTGGGATAAACCTACTCTAGCCCAGTCCATTCTCATGCCAACCCACTCGGAATGTGAACTCAAGAAGTGGCAGTCTTACTGACCAAGCTCAGATCCCAACCCACCACTTGGCTAAAGAAGGACAAAGTCCTACAATTGACAATCCCACTGCAACTATGTAATGAGAAAGGGGTTCTTGGAAGAAAGACTGAGGTACTATTATCAGAAGAGGAAGAACAGTTGGCAGGCTAAAACTGCAGGTTTCATCTATGCAAGAAGACGTTTAGTTATTATGGTTGAACTTTTTTTATTTAAGAGGAGTATAAATCAGGTCACACTGGCTATTTTTCTAAAATGAAGCAATATATTTTCTAATAAGTAGAATGGCTACAACTATTCCATGGTACCTGAGATACCATGATAAACAGGTACATCCATAGGGGAAGAATAACTACCCACTCTAAAGCATTGATTCTTGCAGGGAAAGCCCAGCAAGGAGGAGGCAGGAGGTGGCAGGCAGAGTGATTAAGAGGATGAGTTTAGTGTCCAAGGCCAGGTGCAGTTCACATCTGTAATCCCAGTACTTTATGAGGCTGAGGAACCTCAGCCTCTTGGGGCCAGAGGTTCAAGGCTGCAGTGAGCTGCACCACTGCACTCCAGCCTGGGTGACAGAATGAGACCCTGTCTCTAAATAAATTAAAAATAAAAATTGTGTCCGACAGAGGTGGGTTGAGTTCTAGTCCTGTTACACACTGACTCTGGGACCTCAGCTATGTCTGAGCCTTAGTTGCTTCATCTTTAATAGGACCTTCCTTGCCTAATTGCTCTCAAGACTAAATGAGAATATATATACCTGGACAGTTCCATTATTAATATATTAAGGTTAGAATATATTAATATATTAAGGTTAGAAATGAGCATGGTGGTATGGTGTCCATATGCTGCATAGAAATAGAAGAAGAGAGTTGAAAGTTGATAGAATCAATTCACTCCCTGGGCATGGAGGAAGGGAGGTGCAAGATGGAGCAGGGGAAAAGGGCATAGAAAAGAAAAGGGAAAGTACTTTTGCTCCTAATCTAGCACCACCTACCACAAGGTCATGGCCCAAGATCTGCTTCTGAAACTTTGCCCAGAATCCTTTACTTTTTGGTGAAGAAGATTTTTAAGATTTGAAAATACATTTTATTTTAGAAATGAAAATGCACCTTGCCTCAAAGAAGGTAAAATTTGTATTTTTCCAGGTAGAAAAGATGTGTTTCAAATGACCGTGAAAGTAAAACATGCCCACTATAAAAATAAAACAGACAATGTAGAAAAATCTCTGCATTTACATGGTTAAAAAATACTTGCAATCCCATCATCCTAGATAACCAAAATTAAACTTTGGTTTCTATCTTTCCAGGTACTTTCAATGTATCTATGCATGTCAAGATAACTATTTGGCTTGCATATTAAGGTGGGAAATTACCACAAACTATTAAGGACCCACTTCTTTTATTTAACACAGTTGTTTTCAGTCTCCTTCCTACCTTTCCAAAGGTCACACAAATGGCATACTCTCATCAGTAAACTGTCTTATTTCCTATGGTATTCTAAATCCAGAGCCATGTTCCTATCCTCCAATCCCACCTCACCCCTGCCATTGGAAGGCTCTGGTCCATTATAACCATATATCATGGACATCTTTGGATGGTAATGAAAAAATATATATCTTTTTTCATGGCTGCATGATATTCTATTTAAAAATAACAGCTAACTTGTATTACATTCTTAGCCGAATAGTAGGCAACAGGCTAACCAACTTGCAGGCATAATATCACTGAATCAGGATTCAGGGATCACCAAAATCCTACAAAGGAAGGTTGTTATAACTCCCATCTTAAAGGTGAGGAAATTAAAGCCCAGGAAGATTAAGTAACTTGCTCAGGTGGCAAAGCTAGCAAGCAACAGAGCCAGGATTTGAACCCAGGTGTTCTAATACCAGGGCCCATCCTCCTAACCATGATGTCTACCCCTTTCATTATTTATGTGCCCATTTATTAATAGCAACGAGGTGTGTGTTTCTTGCAAACCTTACTTACTCCAACATCTAGATGTTTTTCTTATTTATATTGAAAGGATATGCTTTTTCAGAACAGGAATGAATCTGCTGTGGCTTCTCAGCTTATCAGCTAGCAAATGGGAGCTAGGCCAACCTCATCTGTAATGTGAACAGTCACTAAGTACTGATGTGTTTGTATGTTTCTAAAATGACCTTGAGGTTGCTTGGCTCTGGTGATGGAGGGAAGGACTGATGGATGAGGTCGAGTTGCTGAATTGACTGTCCTTCACAATTCCATATTTATTTGTTTATCTTCCATCTCTCATTATGACCTGTCTGGAAGTTGGCAGAAAAGCAGGGAGGATTTATGGATGTGCCCAGATAGAACTGGGCTTGGGGTTAAAGTCTCTTGTGGCAGCCACTAAAAAGCAAAAACAGAAACAAACACGGATACAAAATACAGACAGAGCTCCCAGCACAATTGAGTTTGAATAGTTGTTTTAGAGACACACAGGCACATCAGTACTTAGTGTTTGTATTCATTATAGGGTGAGGCTGGCCCAGGCCCCACTTCCTCTTTGTCAGACTGAGAAGCCAAGACAGATGATGTGCCTGTAGAAATAGTTTCCTGCTGCCACCTTCTCTCCTCATGGCTGTCTTGTCTCCATTGGGCAATTCATCTTTACTGTCTCCCCAGTCTTTGGCCTCTTTCCTCCATGTTCTTATCATTCCACTCATCTCTCCTCTTTCTGGGATCTGGCAGTTGTATCTTAACACAGGACAGATAGATCCCTCCACTTTTCAAAGTCTTCTCAGTTTGATCCTCAGCAAAGAAGAAAGGCTGGATTCCTTCATTGTTTACCATGAAGGAGAGTGAGACTGATGGAGGTTAGGTGACTTGTCTTCCACTGGTAATTCAGAAGTATTTATTGAGTAGCTACTATGTACAAAGGAAGGGGCTAGTGAAGCAGATGCTATGCCCAGGATTCAGGGTTCACCTGATATGGTTTGGCTTTGTCCCCACTCAAATCTCATCTTGAATTGTAGCTCCCATAATTCCCACGTGTCATGGGGGTACCCAGTGAGAGGTAATTGAATCATGGGAGCAGGTCTTTCCCATGCTGTTCTCTTGATAGTGAATAAGTCTCAAGATATCTGATGGTTTTATAAAGGCGAGTTCCCATGCACATGCTCTCTTGCCTGCTGCCATGCCACATAAGACGTGCCTTTGCTCCTCCCTTGACTTCCACCATGATTGTGAGGCCTCCCCAGCCATGTGGAACTGTGAATCCATTAAATCTCTTTCCTTCACAAATTACCCAGTCTTGGGTATGTCTTTATTAGCTGCGTGAGAACAGACTAATACATCACTCAACCAGTTACACCAGCTGGGACCCAAGTGCCAACATCTTTATTTCTTACCCCTTGTTATCAGGCCCCATGGAAAATCTAGCCTAAGTCTCTTGTTTTAAGAGACCAATATACCGTGTGCTGGTTTCCCGTTGACCTTCTCGCCCCAATCCAGACATAGTCTCGCTCCATATTTTTCCTGCTAGAGGAGTCTGCTTTGCTCTTATAGTTCATTCACTCATTCCACAAATATTTACTGAGCACCAGCTACATGCCAGGCACTGTCTCAGGCACTAAGAAGCAGTAATAGAAACAAACAACGACTACCCTGCCTCCCTGGAACTTATAGTCTAGCTGGAGATCAGATATTTACCAAACAGTCACAAAAACAGTGGCAGATGGCAGCTGTGGAAGGGCTTTAGGAAAAAAGAATCTGGGGCTGAGAGCTTATAACTGAGGCCCATTTCGGGTTTGTGGGATACTAATGTGCATAGATGTAGAGGAGAATATAGCTTCATTGTTGATTGAATGTTTTCAAGTCACCCCTTATGTTTATTAGCACTGACAACAAAGGCTTAACCCCTTAGTGTCCCCACTGCCATCACACTCACCCGGTCTCGTACAAGCACCTCTCAACTGGCCTCCCTGCCTATTTTCTTGGCTCCCTTCATCAGTCTCTTTTCCACATTAAAGCCAAAGAATGTGAACTGGTTTGTGCCGTGTCCCAGCTTAAAACTTTCAATGGCTTTCCAATGCCCTTAAAATGAAGACCAACAACCCTAATCCCCTCCTCCTCCTGAATACCTCCTCCTTCTCAATGCCTCCCTGGACTCTCTGGCCCCTCCCTGCCCATCTTACATCTGTCACCCCCAGCCCTCATTGCCACAGCCACACTGACTCCTCCTTATTTCTTCAGGCACTTGGGGTCTTCACACGTATTGTTCCTTCTCTCTAAAATAAATTACAGCTCTCCATTCACCTATCCATCTTTCATGCATCATCTCAAAGGTGTTTTCTTTCAGGAAGGCTTTCTTGACCACATATTAGAATAGATTCCTAGCTATAGGTTCTTGTGGACCCTTGTCTTGATAGCACTTGTTCCAGATCGTAATCATATTTGCATGGCATTATTAGGATTATGTCAGTTGGACTCCATGAGAGCTAAATCTGTGTCTTCCTCACCGTTGTATTCCTGACACCTGGTACAGTGTCTTCCACCTAGAGAGTAACCAAAGAAAGGATGAATGGGTTCATGGAAAAGTTTATAATCATTACAGTTAAAAGGATAGCCCCAAACCTTATTGTTCAATTCCTTTGGTGTATGGATAAGAAATTGGAGAATCAGGCCAGGCATGGTGGCTCACGCCTGTAATCCCAACTCTTTGGGAAGCCCAGGCGGGTGTATCACTTGAGGTCAGGAATTGGAGACCAGCCTGGCCTACATGGAGAAACCCCGTCACTACTACTAAAAACATAATAATGATACAAAAATTAGCTGGGGATGGTGGCAGATGCCTGTAATCCCATCTACTTGGGAGTCTGAGGCAGGAGAATCGCTTGAACCCAGGAGGCAGAGGTTGAGTGAGCCAAGATCGCACCACTGTACTTCAGCCTGGGCAACAAAGTGAGATTCTGTCTCAAAAAAAAAAAAAAGAAAAAGAAAAAGAAATTAGAGAATCAGAGAGGGGAGATGATTTACTCAAGGTCACACAGCAAGTTAGAGGCAGACCTGGCCTGAGATCATGAGTTACAGCTCCTGCCACAATGCTCCATTGCCTTTCCAGAGACTTCCTCCACTAGCCTCAAAACACTGGTATTTGAGATCTATAATGTGTTGGTTAGATGGAGAAACCATCCCCATTAAGTGTTACAGGTTTGCAGATGAATTATTTAGCTCATTAAGGCTCATAAGGCCTGAGGATTCATTTGAAACTATTTTGTCTATAATTAATTTTCAAATTAACTCTAAGGTCTCATCTGAGTACCAGTTCCCACTCATAAGGAAGCAGGCCATGGCCTCTACCCTGTGAGGCAAACCCTCAGCCATCCTTTCTAAATTAGTTCATTAAAGTCAACAATAAACCGGAGCCTTTTTAAAAAAAAACATCTCTCCACCCCAGAAACGCTTTGTGATGAAGCATGAGGCAATGAGATGCCCCCAGGCAGTGCTGTCTCATGGCCAACAAGTGCATTTCCTGAAATCTGACAGGGGAATGAACATTTGCTCTGCCTCTTGAAGGATATTTATGCACCTTCTGAAGTGTGACCAGGACGCAGCTCAAACGTGTCAGATGCTTCCTCTCCGTGAATATGAAGCGGCGGCTTCACTGCCTTGTATTACACCCCAGAACCATGTAGCTCATGTAAGCTTCCGAATGGTGGGCAGTGGAGCAAAAATAAGACTTTCTTAATAGAAGAAGTCTTGGTCCCAGGACTCAACCAGGTAGCACCAGCAGACCAACCAGGGATTTTCCACCAGGGGGGAGAGGTTTTCATCAAGCAGGAGAACCCTGCAGGGAAGGAAGGAACCCGGGTGAAGTAAAAAGACTACCCATTGGTAGTCAGACAATTTGAGCTACCAAAAGGAAGTCCCTTCCCCTCTCTGAAGTCTCAGTTTTTCATCTACAAAATAAACTTAACCTAACACCTATATTCATTGTTAATTCACTTTTAAAGTGTCAGGTGCTGAAGACATTCTAGGACCTGAAGACATTGTGAGGAACAAGAAGGACACGTTCCTTGCCCAAGTAGAGTTTACATTTCAGGAAGGAAGAGAGAAAATTAAATATATGTTTACCTGATACTTGTATACTTTCAATTAAAAGTATCATTGAAGGGATAAAAGGAGGTACAAATAGTGGTTAATGTTTAATGCTATGTGCCTGATATCATGCCAGGCACTTTACATATAATAATAATAACAGCAACAAGTGTAACATGGGCCAGGCACTATTTTATGTGTGTTTTACACATTAACACATTTAATCCTCATTTTAAAATACATACTGGCCTAGGCAACACAGCAAGACCCTGTCTCTACAAAAAGTTTAAAAAATTATCGAGGCATATTGGCACACACCTATAGTCCCAGTTACTTGAGGGGCTGAGGCAGGAGGATGGCTTGAGCCCAGGAGTTTGAGGCTGCAGTGCATCGTGATCACTACTGAAGTCTGGCTTACATAACAGAGCAAAGTCCTGCCTCTATTTAAAATAAAAAATTAAATTCTGGGTGCATTGACTCATGCCTGTAATCCCAGCACTTTTGGAGGCCGAGGTGGATGGGTTGCTTGAGCCCAAGAGTTTGAGACCAGCCTGGGCAACATGGTGAAACCCTGTATGTACCAAAAATACAAAATAAATAAATAAATAAATAAATAGCCAGGTGTGGTGGCATGCACTTAGTCCCAGCTACTCAGGAGGCTGAAGCTGGAGGTCGCTTGAGCCTGGGAGGTGGAGGTTACAGTGAGCTGTGATTGTCACTATAGTCCAGCCTAGGTGACAGAGCAAGACTATCTCAAAAAGAAATTAAACATTAAATAAATACTATTATCCCCATTTTATAAATGGAAACACTGAGGTACAAAGAGGTTAACTTGCCCAAAGTCCCACAGCCACTAAGGGGCAGAGAACCTATGCAGCCCGGGCACAGGTCTGTATACCATGTGCTGCCTCTCATGATAGTATCATCTCATTTAATCCTTGCACCAACCTGGTAAGTACAATTGTTATTCTCATCTTACAGATGTGGACACAGAAGCAGAATGTGTAAGAGACTACTCTGAGTTTGCACAGCCAGGAGGTGGTGGGGCAGGGTGAGACCCACAGTGGTTCCTCCTGGGATGCACGTGAGGTGGACTGGCCCAGTGTCCAGCCCCAGGGAACTGGTACCTCTGTGGTAAACTCTCCTACTGTCTTTCCTGGCCTTGTTCTTGCTCAGGTGTTCCTGAAGAGCGACCGTGTGGCCCGCATGGTTCAGAGTGGAGGCTGTTCCGCCAACGACTCCCGGGAGGTCTTCAAGAAGCACATTGAGAAGAGAGTGCGCAGCCTGCCTGAGATTGACGGCCTCAGCAAGGAGACTGTGCTGAGCTCCTGGATGGCCAAATTTGATGCCATCTACCGTGGAGAAGAGGACCCGCGGAAGCAGCAGGCCCGGATGACAGCCAGCGCAGCCTCCGAGCTGATTCTGAGCAAGGAGCAACTCTATGAGATGTTCCAGAACATTCTTGGGATCAAGAAGTTCGAACATCAGCTCCTTTACAATGCCTGCCAGGTAAGGTGTTTCTCGCCTGGGCCTAGAGCTGTGGGTAAGCAGAGCTGCATTCCAACTTCTATGAGATACTTCTTGATTTTTTTAAAAAAAGGATTAAAACTTATATTTTATTACTCTACTGGTAAAAAGTTGAATACAGTTTAGGCTGGAGTATATTCATGCTTTTCTTCTGATTTAAAAAATAAATAAATAAAACATTTTTATGAGCCCTTAAAAGTCTCAGGGGCCCTAGGCATTGAGCTCATTGTGTCTAATGGGTAAGTTGGCCCTATGAGTAAGGCTTGTTTTCCACGTGTCAAAAGTGCTAAAAATCAATTTTTTAAAAAATATGGTTCTGCCTTTGGTGTTTGCCAGTTGAAGGGCTTGTGCTTCCTCAGCTGGGAAGACTACTGAACTTAGCACCTGCCTGTCAAGAATAATTTTTTAAAATGGAAAGCTTGCAAAAGGCCCGATACCTGTATATTAGTCACATCATGAATTTCTGAGTGGTTCTGATGGCGAGAGCTGAGGCTCTGCTTGGGTCCACCCCAAAATGGGCTTGTATTTCCTCTAGATGGAGGATTAGGGAAGCGAGGTATCTCATATCTTGATATCCTGCCTAAGCTTAGCATTATATTCATTTATTCAACAAATATTTATTACGTGCCTATTTTGCAGTCTGAAATTCTTACTGGATGTCTCTTAGGAGCAATTTAAAAATGCACATTCCCAGCTGCTAGCCCTAGAGATTCTCATTCTGCAGCCTCAGAGCATGGCCCAGGAATCTGCATTTTAAACAAGGACCTTCCTTCCTGGTAATTATGTTGCCCTTCACCTTCAAAGAACTATCAGAGAGATTCATCTTTGCCTTGTTTGCTAATATTCCCAGTATATAAAATCTTGGCACAGAGTGAATGCTCAGTAAATGTTTATCGAATTAATAAATGGATAATGGAAAATTATTTTAACTAGTAGGTAGGGTCTTATCAACTATGATATATCACCTTGAATTTTCTGGATGTTTTAGTAAGAGTCTGTTTAGCATTTCATAATACAACACATGCATCACATTCAAAGATATTGCTGGTATCTACTTTCATCTCATCCAACTTTAATTGAAAACATTGATTACAAATCTGGAGATGAAAGGTTTTTTGTGATGGGTCAAAAAGTATTTTGAAATTTCACATATCAATATAAAATTAAATTTAATCATTATTTTATTTAAAATATTACTACATCCCACCATGTAGCAGTTTTAGAATGGGATAAGCAGGTGGCGTTAGCCTCCACCACCACTATCACCTCCACCAGCATTTCCACCACAAGAAGGTGTCATAGCTTCAATATTGAAAAATCATCCACCTGAGTTATAAGCAAGATTCAGAATTACAGAGAGAGTCAAGTGTTCCTAAACCTTCTAGGTACAAAATTATTCTAGGGATTAATTTTTCTTCTTATTGCAACAGCTTATGCATATTTTCTGTGCTTGCTCAAACTCAGCTTCATTGGAGTGAATCCATTGTTATGCCATTTCTTGTCTTATCTCAGTGTTTTTGCACTTGTTGAATTGAGTGGCAGGATCATATTTTACTGTTTTCTCCTAAAAAATGAATTAATCCGACTCATTTTACCCTCAAAATCTTTTTTGCGAAATAGAAAAAAGTACAGTAATATTAAAGAATATCTTCTCTCTCCAGAATAAAGATTGTACTCTTAGCCAAAAAAGAATTACAAGATAGGCCAGGCACGGTGGCTCATGCCTGTAATCTCAGCACTTTGGGAGGCTAAGACGGGTGGATTACCTGAGGTCAGGAGTTCAAGACCAGCCTGGCCAACATGGTGAAACTGTCTCTACTAAAAATACAAAAATTAGCCAGGCATGATGGAGGATGCCTGTAATCCCAGCTACTAGGGAGGCTGAGGCAGGAGAATTGCTTGAACCTGAGATCACACCACTGCATTCCACCCTGGGCAACAGAACGAGACTCCATCTCCAACAAAAAAAAATTACAAGATAAAGTACTTCTTCTTGGGACAGGGATACTTAAGACATTTAGTATTTTACTCTCTATTCATATCTAAATCTGATTATTGTTTCAGGGTTTCATATCAATAGAAATTAGGGCAAAAGAACATATGAAAGTAATTTATACATACAAAAATACACATGAATTCTAAATATATGGTTTTTTGATTTCTATGTCTTTAGTAATCTAAGTTTCAGGAGTGTATTGGCAAACAAAAGTATTTTAAAAGAAAGAAAATATTGGTCATGATAATATTTCACAACATATAATACCCATTTCTATGACAATATAGAGATGGCTATTCTCTAAACTTACTGTGGCAATAAATTCTTAGTGTAGCCTTTCTGCAATCTGTTAGTTTGCAGCAGAAAACCTTCATAATGGGAAAACCTTTTGACCTAGGAGCTCTACCTTTAGGAATTCATTACAAGTAGATACGCAGAAGTGTGTGCAAGAGTGTTAAGTCCAAAGATGTTCACTGCAGCCTTTTATATGATAGTGAAAAAATGGAAGCATGCTTAATTCCCAGCAGTATAGGATTAATTAATTAGATTTTGATTTAACCATACAAGGGAATTTTCTTTATCCAATAGAACAGCAATAAAAGAGTTGTTAAAGAAGAAGGCTTGCCATGTGGGAAAATGTTCCTTAGATATTGCTAAGTGGAGAATCTGGCTATGAAGCACAATATGCAGGCACAGTCCCATTTCTATGGGAACAAAGGATGGAAAAAGGTACTGGACAGGCAAAGAACAAAATGTTAACTGTGCTTATCTCTAAAGGATAGGATTATGGTTGATTTTTATGATTTTCATTTGTGCTTTTTTATGTCTCCAAATTTCTACCTTAAACACAGTTATTCTGTAAATGAAAACAAATACCAAAAGTCTCAACAAAGAAACCATCAAAACAATGGGATATGAAGAAAGTTATCTTCTGAATTGTTTTCTAGACTTCAGGCGTTAACATACCACCTTCATAATCTTTGCCATTTCCGAGTACTACCTGGATGATTATTTAATGTTTCTTATTAAACTAACTCTCAAATTCACCTTTTTTTTTTTTTTTTTTTTTTTTTGGAGCTTAAGAGTCTCACTCTGTCACTCAGGGTAGAGTGCAGTGGCACAAGCTTAGCTCACTGCAACCTCCACCTCCCAGGTTCAAGCAATTCTCATGCCTCAGCCTCCTGAGTAGCTGGGATTACAGGCACGTGCCACCATGCCTGGCTAATTTTTGTATTTTTAGTAGAGGTGGGTTTTTCCATGTTGGCCAGGCTGGTTTCAAACTCTGGACCTCAGGTGACCCACCCACCTCGGCCTCCCAAAGTGCTGGGATTATAGGCATGAGCCACCGTGCCTGGCCCCAAGTTCACTTTTTAAACCTGTCTTTATCTTAGGTAATGTACATAAAATCACAGCTTTGATATATTCTTTTTACAAAAAAATAATATGCATTAAAGTGAAACCCAACTATTAAAATAGAAACTCTTCATTGGCTGGCCCTCTTAGATCATCTCACACCACAGTGATGCAGAAGACACGGTGGCAGTAGACAGTGCCCTGACGCACTGAGGCTGGTGGGACAGAGCTCTCTGACTCCATCCCTGAAAATAGCCTCAGACTGACCACAGCAGCTTTCATATGAAGTCTGCATAGGCAGGTAGCAAAGCAGAGATTTAATTTACCTCCCTCCTCTTTCCTTGCTGGCAGGCTGTATGTAGACAGGCAGCAAAGATAGTATACCTGTCATGCCTTACCATCAGGTGTCTGAAATTATACATTTACTCACTTTCTGGCAGACTACACTCAGCTCTGCACAACTCTTATCAACTCACAGTAGCAAGAATACAGAAATGATATTGTATCACTTTCATCCTCACTCTGCTGAAATTGTTTCCTGTTTAATTTTGTATTTTCTGGACCTTCTTCTCCTTACCAAACAAAGCAATTTCTAGGTGCTTCCCAAACCCAAAATGTGCTTAATGTTTTCCTCTTACGCATATCGTATCCTAGGGGAAGCTGTAATCTGATTTCTGCTGCTGCTTTGTGAAAGTTCCCATGCTCTCTCTTTATGAGGTTCTGCCAGTAACTGCCATTTTTATCTCAAATGAGAAATGACATTTATCAAAGAGCGATTATGTCAGTTACATATCAGTTATCTGTTGTAACATGAACCATGTCTATCAAAAGATAAGAGAAAAGCAAGAGAGTTTAACAAATGTCTCTGAATTTGCCCACGGAGTTTCTTAACATCTATTCTGTTTGTTTGAGAATTAGTGGATAAATCTCATAGAAGAAATTCATACTCAACATAATATCCAAAGTAAAATGGCAAATTTTATTATGAATCAGTGTTGGTTTTATTTTTCATAGACCCTTGGGAAGATGCAGTCAATTATGTAGCTATTTGAGTTGAATTCTAAAGGTAACTCAAAAAAAGTAAGGTAGGCTGAGCACACAGCTCCATTCCAGCACTTTGGGACACCAAGATGGGAAGGTCATGTGAGTCCAAGGGTTTTAGACCAGCCTAGGCTCCATCTCTACAAGAAATTTAAAAACTAGCTGGGTGTGGTGGCATGCACCCATAGTCCCAGCTACTCAGGAGGCTGAGGTGGGAGGATCACTTGAGCCTGGGAAGTCAGGGCTACAGTGAGCCATGATCTCACCACTGCACCCTAGCCTGGGTGACAGAGTGAGACTCTGTCTCAAAAAAAATTTTTAAGTGAGATAATTTGAGAATAGGTTTTATTATCTGAGAAATGAGGCTAAGACAGACCTGCTTTCCATCTTCATGAAATGCAAAGCTGACAGCGATGATGATGATGACGATATGATATTTAAAAACATTTTCAAGATGCACCATCTCTCCCCTTTCCCTTTAGTAACCTTCAAATTTGGCGTAAATTTGATTCTCAGTTGTACCAGCTGTCTGCTACTTTCTACTCCTCTGCTTAACTTTATAAGTTATCCTTAACTATCTCATTCAAAACTGTGCGGATATTTTCCCTTGAAAAATACCTCAAATGTGCATTTTAGAAGGAGTAAGGTCTACATCTTAATTTTTTTTTTTTTTTTTTTTTTTTTTTTTGAGACGGAGTCTCGCTTCTCGCCCAGGCTGGAGTGCAGTGGCGCAATCTCGGCTCACTGCAAGCTCCGCCTCCCGGGTTCACGCCATTCTCCTGCCTCAGCCTCCTGAGTAGCTGGGACTACAGGTGCCTGCCACCATGCCCGGCTAATTTTTTTTTTTTTTTTTTTTTTTTTTTTGTAATTTTAGTAGAGACGGGGTTTCACCGAGTTAGCCAGGATGGATGGTCTCAATCTCCTGACCTTGTGATCCGCCCGCCTCAGCCTCCCAAAGTACTGGGATTACAGGTGTAAGCCGCCACGCCCGGCCATCTTCATGTATTTTTAAAGGCAAATAGACTCTTCTTAGTGAAGCAATCCAGCTAATTTTGAAGATGTGGTGAATATGAGCTAAGGATGTCAGTTGTATCTCGATGTTTCCATTCTGCTCTTTGAAAATGCCATTTCTGGTTTTTCTCTTACTGATCACACTCTTCCCTTCTAAACTAAGTGCAGCATGACTCTAAACTTCTCCTTGGCCATTACATGTGCCCAACTGGCAGCAGGGATAACATCCACACTCCAACTAATAGGATAAGACGATAATCTGTTCATTTATTCTCTCTGAATTTCTAGAGGTTTTTCAGATAAGTCTGGAAGGAAGAAGAAAGAAATCAGGAAACTTGATTTCTCAATTTATAAACACCTTTGCATTTTCAATATTGGATTCTCTATCATTATTGAACTGCTAATTTTCTTAACATTCAATTTCCTTTCCTCCAAACCATCATCAGCATGGCCTTTGATGATGTGGTTATCTTATTACAGCACTATCTTCCTTGAACTTGATGAACACATGGCAGCTTTTCAGATAGTTTATTAGACTCTGAAGAGAAACCTCAAATTATCAGGCCTTCAGCTGTGACCCAGATTGCTGGGTTGTATCCATACCTCATTACAGAGCCCTTAATCTCCATATAACTACATAGCTTTTTCCTTGTCCAGAAGTTTCCGGTAGGTCTGTTGACTGAACATTTGCTTTGGGGGCCAGACTCTATTTCTTCATCTCTTTTCTTGATCCTGTAACAACAATATAGTTCTTCGCATGAGTGATCTTTCACTGAATATCTACAGAAGAAATGTTTTAAAATCTGGAGATGGGAAGTAGTGACGGAAGGCTAATATTAAACCCTTTTATTTAGAAGCATACTTTCATCATTCATTCAACAGATTTTAGCATCTACTTTGCACTAGGCATCATGTGTTGTATGCTGAGGATACAGCCTAAACTTTCTTACTTTGTCATACAATGGCCCATGATGTGGCTCCTGACTAATTGTCCTCTTTGTTCACTACACACCTCTCAATGACTTTATAGTTGTCCTGCTTAGATTATTGTTTTTGTTGTCTTGGCCGTGTAACAGATTGCCACAAATTTAGCAGCTTAAAAGAATGCCCACTTATTATCTCAATTTTTCTAGGTCAGAAGTCCAGGCATGACTTAGCCAGGTCGTCTGTTAAGGGTCTCACAAAGCTGGAATTAAGGTGCTGGCGAGGCTGTGCTCACATCTGGAGGCTCAACAGGG
Source organism: Homo sapiens (assembly GCF_000001405.40). Classification (NCBI taxonomy): domain Eukaryota; kingdom Metazoa; phylum Chordata; class Mammalia; order Primates; family Hominidae; genus Homo; species Homo sapiens. The sequence continues at coordinate 62,746,783 of NC_000003.12, read as the reverse complement.
AAGGATCCACTTCTAAGCTCCTTCATGTTGTTGGCAAAACTCCTTTCCTTGCAGCTGTAGAATCTCCAGATCCAGCAACAGGGAGAGAGAGAGTCTCTGGTGCATCAAATTTTTTATTTATAGATGCACTGTTAAAAGGATCACCTGGTTGGGCACAGTGGCTCACATCTGAAATCCCAACACTTTGGGAAACTGTGGAGGGAGGATTGCTTGAGGCCAGAAGTTCGAGAACAGCCTGAGAAACATAGGGAGACTCTATCTCTACAAAACATTTAAAAAATTAGCCAGGCATGGTGGCATGTACCTGTGGTCCCAGCTTACTTGAGGGGCCAAGGTGGGAGAATCGCTTGAGACCAGGAGGTGAAGGCTGAAGTGAGCCATGAAAACACCCACCACTGCACTCCAGCCTGGCTGAGAGAGCGAGACTCTGTCTCAATCAATCAATCAATGGATTGCCTGATTAAGTCTGGCCCATGAAGTTAGTCTCCCTTTAGATTAATTTAGAGTCAACTGATTAAGAATTTTACATCTGTAAAATCTCCTCATTCTTGTCATATACTATTGATTAGAAGTGTATACTCTTGATAGAAGTTATACACTATTGATTAGGTTCCTCCCACACTCAAGGGTGGGACCAAAGTAGGGCATAACTCACTGTGGGAGGCATCCAAACATTGTTTGCCCACAGGCTTTCATAAGGCTGGCTCCTTCAGGTATCATTTTAAATGTAACCTTTGTAGAGAAGTTCTCCCTTACCATTCTGCCTAAAATGGGCTCCTCAGTGTTTGCTGTTTTCCTTCCTGAAACAATACCCTGTTTATACAGCACTTAATGCAGTCTGAAATTGCTTTGCACACTTATTTTCTATTATTGTCTATCTCTTCTTCTAGATTTCATTGAGCAAAGAGTGATGTCTATTGCGTTCACCACTATACAGCCAACACTTAGCACAATGCTCAGCACAAAATAGATGCACAATTAAATATTGACTAAATCAGTAAATGCAGAGTCCAAGGCAGTTATGGCCTCAAGGAGCTTAAATGCCCACATTACACAAGGTGCATGTTTGGTCATTTTTTTCTGGTTCAACAAAGTGCAGCAGTGTCACAGGTCTTCAGTATTCAGCCTGAATTCATCTGCTGGTACTCCTGTTTTATAATGTGGATGTTACCTGAGGGTCACAGTAATCTTCCAGGCATAAACTTTCCTTCTGACCACACTCAATCTGTCTGTTCCAAGACAAGGTTGATCAAAGAGGGACAGAAATTAACCATGTCTTTTCAAAGTCATACACTGCCCCTAGAAGTCATTAGATATTCAAGGGACTGCCAGTTTTAAGTGACTTTGCTTGCCAGATGTACCTTAATTTCAGCAATCTTCCAATGTGAAAATACATCAATACATATATACTGGCCAGATGTAGTGGCTCACGTCTGTAATGCCAGCACTTTGGGAGCCTGAGGAGTGTGGATCACTTGAGACGAGGAGTTCAAGACCAGGCTGGGCAACATGGTGAAATGCCGTCTCTACAAAAAATAATACAAAATAATTTAGCTGGGCGTGGTAGCTCACACTTGGGAGGCTGGGATGGGAGGATTACTTGAGCCTGGGAAGCCAAGGCTGCAGTGAGCTGTAATTGTGCCACTGCACTCCAGCCTGGGTGACAGAGCAAGACCCTGTCTCAAAAAAAAAGAAAGCAAAAAGATGCATATACTCAGTTACTAGGGACAAATTTAGAGGCATTAAAGATGTGGTTGGTACAGGGCCAGAGGGCAATATTTAATTTCCCAGAGCCATAATTTTCTGAAGACCCCATCGTGGTTTTTCTTACTTCTCTATCACTTGTTTCTAGAACACATGGCCAGATATTTCTATCTGACTGCACCTGCTGTTACCAAGATGCTAACAGCAATGGAAAGTAGAAATTGAGAGACAGTGGGTATCCTGCATCTAAGGAGCAGGGAATTGGGCATTTTCTATGCAGCCTTCAAAACTGCTATAGACATTTCAGCAATCTCTTTCCTTTGTTGCCAAAATGGATTCATAAGTATGCTCATTTATTCAAAGTCTTTTCATATGCATTGAGCCACAAAATTGTAATCAGAGATGTTAAAGAGGTATACTTTCAGAAAGATACATACAAAAATAATATTTTCTGCTTTTTTCTACCTTTTGCCAAACAACAAAATCTATGATAAGCCATCTAGCACAGCCTTGCAAATAGAGATATTTTACTAACCTTTGAACACGTTTCACCAGTCCAGATTCCCCATGCTAATAATTTGAATTTTTCTTCTTCCAACATGCAGCCTTTTTGTTTCCTCAGTGATTCAGACCTAAAATTAGCAGAAGCTTGGGTAGTGGAGTATAGTGTATTGATTAAATTTTGTTGTTAGCCCTTTGTGTTTCAATCCTTTTTTTTTTTGAAAATATGAATAAAATACATTAATTCCCTTTCCTTGATGGCTAGTGAATGATTCTACATCATTCTTTTAGAGTGAACTGTTAGTGGAGGCTTCATAATTTACGTCCTGACCTCCAGTTTGGACATCAATTATACCTACCAAGTATTAAATACTTACTATGTGCCAGACAGTAAGCCTAATACTTTATATGCATCATCAAATTTAATCCTCATAACAAGCCTTTAAAGCAGACATTTGTACCTACATTTTAGTAAAGAAGCTAAAAGGGGGGTTGTACAATTTTTTTCCAAGGTCATACAGCCAGTCAGCAACAAAGCTTGGATTTGAACTCAACATTTCAAGACTTCAAAGCAAGCTCCTAAGTAGTCATCTTTTCCATAGAGAAGATTTTGGAGATTAAGTAGAAAGTTTATTGATCCTGTCTAGACTCTAGGAAGGTGGTAGATATGTATGTATTTTGCTAAGTCTTTTATGAATCTCTTTTATTTGGTCTGCTCTTTTTTCCCCTAAAATTTGTTGGAGGAAAAGAAAGCTTAGTTGAAGACTCAATTCTGTATATTGGCTAAGAATTATTTTAATGGACGCATCTATTCAATGGAGACTACTTAGGTTTGTTTGCTTCGCTCATTTACGTTCTATTGTAGCAATCCAAGTGTTTCCTGATTTAATTTTTAAAAACATAGTTAACAAAGCCCTGCAGTCTTCAGAGGATGGTTGAAGGATAGGGAATGCTTGTTTTTCTTATCTTGTCATGCTTTTGTGTGATCTGGCCAATTGGATGACCTGAAAAGTGTAGCTATTTCATGTTGTTTCCTAGCTGGGCAAAATTTTTAAAAAGTTGTTCTTTGGAGGAAGAACATACAACATCATACATAAAATTCCAAATTGCAAAGCTTTTCAGTTAATAAATAAACTAGGAGTTGGTAAATATTTTAGGCTTTGTGAACCCTGTGGTCTTTGTAACAACTGCTTAATTCTGTCATTGTAGCGAAAGCAGCCACATATAATACATAAGGTATATGGGCATGGCTGTGTTCTTGTTAAACTTTATTTACAAAAGCAGGCAGCTGGCGTATTTGACTCAAGGGCTGCAGTTTGTTAACCCCTAAATTAAATAATTATCACATCATAACAGCAATAATTATTTACTTTCAAAAAATTATTCCATGGATGTAAGATGTTACCTTTTCCACCCAAAAGCATTCCTTTTTCTTAACAGCCTTTCCAACATCTGTTATTTTTTGACTTTTTAATAATAGCCGTTATGACTCGTGTGAGATGGTATCTCATTGTGGTTTTGATTTCCATTTCTGTAATGATCGGTGATGTTGAGCTTTTCTTCATATGATTGTTGGCTGCATGTATGTCTTCTTTTGAGAAGTGTTCATGTCCTTTGCCTACTTTTTAATTGGGTTGTTTGTTTCTTATAAATTTGTTTAAGTTCCTTATAGATGCATGATATTAGACCTTGTCAGATGCATAGTTTGCAAAAATTCTCCCCATTCTGTCGGTTTTCTGTTTTCTCTTTTCTCTGTTGATAGTTTGTTTTGCTATGCAGAAGCTTTTTAGTTTAATTAGATCCCATTTGTCAATTTTTGCTTTTGTTGCAATTGCTTTTGGTGTCTTCATCATGAAATCTTTGCCGTGCCTATGTCCTGAATGGTATTGCCTAGGTTGTCTTCCAGGGTTTTTATAGTTTTGAGTTTTATATTTAAGTCTTTAATCTATCTTGAGTTAATTTTTGTGTATGGTGTAAGGAAGGTGTCCAGTTTCAATCTTCTGCATATGGCTAGCCAGTTATCCCAGCACCATTTGTTGAATAGGGAATCCTTTGCCATTGCTTCTTTTTGTCGGGTTTGTGGAAGATCAGATATTTGTAGGTGTAAAGTCTTATTTTTGGGTTCTCTATTCTGTTCCATTCATCTTTGTGTCTGTTTTTCTACAAGTACAATGCTGTTTTGGTTACTGTAGCCCTGTAGTATAGTTTGAAGTCAGGTAGAATGATGCCTTCAGCTTTGTTCTTTTTTTGGTAGGATTTCCTTGGCTATCCAGGCTCTTTTTTGATTCCGTATGAATTTTTTAATATTTTTTTCTAGTTCTGTGAAAAATCTCAATGATAGTTTAATAGGAATAGCATTGAATCTATAAATTGCTTTGGGCAGTATGACCATTTTAACAATATTGATTCTTTCTATCCATGAGCATTGGATGTTTTTCCATTTGTTTGTGTCATCTCTGATTTCTTTGAGCAGTGATTTGTGGTTCTCCTTGTAGAGATCTTTCACCCCCTAGTTAGCTATATTCCTGGGTATTTTATTCTTTTTTGTGGCAATTGTGAATGGGAATTCTTTCCTGATTTGGCTGTCACCTTCACTGTTGTTGTTGTAAGAAATGCTAGTGATTTTTGCACATTGATTTTTGTATCCTGAGACTTTGCTGAAGTTGTTTACCAGCTTAAGAAACTTCTGGGCTGAGACTGTGTGGGATTTATAGATATAGGATCATGTCATCTGCAAACAGGGATAGTTTGACTTCCTCTCTTCCTATTTGGATGCTCTTTTTTTCTTTCTCTTGCTTCATTGCCCTGGCCAAGACTTCCGATACAGTGTTGGATAGAAGTGGCGAGAGAGGGCATCCTTGTCTTGTACTGGTTTTCAAGGGGAATGCCTCCAGCTTTTGCCTGTTCAGTATGATGTTGGCTGTGGGTTTGTCATAGACAGCTCTTATTATTTTGAGGTATGTTCCTTCAATACCTAGTTTATTGAGAGTTTTTAACATGAATGGATGTTGGATTTTATTAAAAGCCTTTTCTGCATCTATTGAGATAGTCATGTGGTTTTTGCCTTTAATTCTGCTTATGTGATGAATCACATTTATCGATTTGTATATGTTGAACCAAACTTGCATCCCAGGTTGAAGTCCTACTTGATCATAATGGATTAGCTTTTTGATGTGCTGCTGGACTCAGTTTGCCAGTATTTTGCTGAGGATTTTACATCAACGTTCATCAAGAAAATTGGCCTGAAGTTTTCTTTTTTTGCTACATCTCTGCTAGGTTTTGGTGTCAAGATGATGCTGGCCTTATAAAATCAGTTAGGCAGGAGTCCCTCCTCCTCAATTTTTTGGAATAGTTTCAGTAGAAATGGTACCAGCTCTTCCTTGTACAGCTGGGATAGTACCCATTTAATAAGGTGGTTGGTGCTAGTTATTATTAGCTACCATTAATTAATCAAATTCTCACATCTTAAGAAAGTTCCTTTCTAATGAATAATGAAGTATAGGGTGGGCTGGTTCTCTGGAATCAGTTATTGCAACAATTCATCAAATTGTGCCAGGGAACAATCTGAAGAAGTGCCTTCAATAAGTATACAATGCAATTTGAAGGAATAAAATCCATCCACAATAAATTCTAACTGTTAAAAAGTCAATATGTAAAATAGTAGACAATTGTAATATATAGTGGCAGTGTGAATCCAGGCTTAGCTATTTATTATCGATGTAACCTTTAGCAAGTTAATTAACTTTTCTATAAAACAGATATTAATAACTATCAGATAGAAATAAGGTATGTAAGGAGCCCATCACATGATAGGAACTCAGTAAATGATAGCCTGGGTTGGTGATGGTAGTTAGTGGCATGGTGATAGGGGTAGTAGGGGGCATGGCAGAGTGGTATAAGTTTCAACAGCTGGAGCACTTTAGAGCTATCAGATAACAATGGGGTTTGATTGGTCAGCTGCTGCTTCACAGAGAAGGTATTAGGTGAGCTGGGTTTGAATGATGAAGAAATTGTTTAGGCTGAGTAAAGAGAGATGATCTGAGATGTCTGGTATCTTCTTTTACCCAATTATAGACCAAAGTAGAGACAAATTTGTATCATAAGTGTAATGTGGTTGAATGAAATAATTGCCTCAATTCTTTGCTACTGTGTATTAAAATTAAACACCCTACCATGGCTCATGGGGCATTAAGTGAGCTTCTCAACCCCTTAACTTTGGTACCAGCCATCATGCTTGCTTTGTGAGTGGGCCGTCAGCAGACTAAATGAGCAGAGGTCTTGAGATGTGCTTGTGCACATGGTTTTGCTGCCATTGCACTTTGGGGATCTTCCAAGAGAAGACCATGCCCTATGCAGTTGTTACTCCTGTAGCCTGGGCCTCTGCGTGATACAAATGAAACAAATCTAACTGAACTCACAACCTGGAGCCAAGCCCAGCTAAGCCAACTCCGAAGCAACCCATAGTCTAAAACCTACAGCCATGCTCAGTCTAGGTCAACAGAACCCCAATCAGTTCACAGACCCATGAACATGGCAATCAACATATATTAGTGTAAGTCACTGATTTCAAGGGTTGTTGGCTATCCAGCATTATTGTGTAAAATAGCTTATGAACACAAACAGCATTTAAAATAAGTAAGCATTATGAGTAGTAGATGACTAGTAAGATACAGGCATAACTACAGTGGGGTTCTAGTATTAACTACCAACCTCTCTTTACTGTGGCAACTGTCCTAATCGGAAATCTCTTCCTTTGTCTCTTTCATTCACTGTTTTCAACCTAAATTGTCCACTTTTCTAAACTATACTGGTGTGTTTGCTTTCTGGCATCAATGCTGATATGCTAGCTTTAAAAGACTGCTTCTTTGAAATTGGAAGTGAGGAGATGATAAGTTGGCTGAGGTAAAGGAACTCAAGCTAAGTAGAGTTCCTCATTATTCAAGAGTAAGGGTGGAATCTGAGTAGATTTTGGAGCTGGACAAGAGATAAGAAGTGTGAAATCCTTATGTATAGGGAGGCCAAAAAGATTTAACAAGGATCATTAGAAAGCGGCAAAGCCCTTACCTTTATAAGGGATGTGTTTATTTTACTATTGTGAGAATACCTGTATGGGTTAGCTGTTGCTGCATAACAAACAATCCTTAAACTCAATTGCTTAAAACAAGAAACATGTGTTATTGCTAACAAGCCTATACATGAGCTGGGTAGTTCTTATGGTCTTGGCTGGGCTCACTTATTGAGTTTGTTGTGTTTGTTGTCAGCTGTGGGTTTGGTAGGAAGCTTTGTTCTATTAGAAGGCCAGATGACTATGGATTGATCTAGGATAACTTCAGTTGGAATGATTCCACACCCTGGACTTTTTCACATGGCCATTGGACAGGGTTTTAAGTAAAAGTGTGAAAGTACAAGGACTCTGGAAGTCTTAGTTCAGAACTGTCATACTGTTGCTTCCACTGTATTCTATTGGCAAAGGAAGTCACAAGGCCAGCTAAAATTCAAGCGAGGAGAAACAGACTCCATCTCTTGATGGGAGGAGCTATAAATTCATATTGCAAAAGGTGTCGTTATAATCAGAGTGGAAGGTTATGGCCACTTTTGAATCTACCATAATTTCTCAAACTATGATTATTGCTGACATGCCCTGGCATAAAATTGTTTAAAGCCAATATATGCCCAACTTATTTTACCAATTTATTTTAGTAAACAGTCAATGTTTTATTATAAAATAATGTTTTCTATTGCTACAGTAAATAAAACCACTACATATAACATGGAATTAAGACCTGAAGGTAATTGACCTCTCCTAATGAAAAAGCAATCATTTTTTAAAATTTTATTTTATTTTATTTTTTGAGACGGAGTTTCACTCTTGTTGCCCAGGCTAGAGTGCAATGCTACAATCTTGGCTCACTGCAACCTCCGCCTCCCAGTTTCAAGCAATTCTCCTGCCTCAGGCTCCCAAGTAGCTAGGATTACAGGTCCCTGCCACCACGCTCAGTTAATTTTTTTGTACTTTTAGTAGAGACGGGGTTTCACCATGTTGGCCAGGCTGATCTTGATCTCCTGACCTCAGATGATCCACCTGCCTCGGCCTCCCAAAGTGCTGGGATTACAGGCATGAGACACCACACAATGCATCAATTTTTTTTTAATGTGTAAGTATTTTTGTTGTTCAGAGATTGTTAGCAAAAGTAGAAACATAAGTCCAATCATGCTTTTAATTGGCAGTTTTGAGAGTCACTAGTTTGTTATTTCACATATCTTTCAGAGGAAAGAACATATTTTCTCTCTGATCCTTTTGTCATCAAGAAGTACTAGCTACTTCATTATGTCACTCTGAAATGGGCAGGCACTGCTTTTCCATCTTAAAATGTTGTTTTGATTACCATAAAATCAGCAAAACCTCATAGAAACGTGAGTTGAGAGTGAAAATAGGTGTGTAAGACTGGATGCACCATTAATGATAAAACAACATTCAATTGTGCACTTATTCAATGTGAATTGAGTGTCTATCATACACCAGACACTGTTCCAGGAACTGAGGATATAGCAGCAAATGTAACAGATGAGATTTCTGCTCTCAAAAAACTGATGTTTAATGGGCAAAACAAGAAAAAAAAAGTATATTATGTCATATAAACAGAGATATGGGCTATAAAGAAAAACAAATCAGAATGAGGAGACAGAGGATAATGGTGGTATTTGAGATTATGTAGACAGAGAAGTCTCTGTAGGGTTTGTGACCCTTCAGCAGAGGCCTGATGGAAATGAAGGAACAGCCTGGGGAAGATCATACCTGGAAAAGGAAGTGCTTTTGATGAAACAAAGCAATAAGCTTGGTTCAAAGGATACCAAGACATAAGATCAGTGTGGATGGAGCACAGAGACCAAACAGAAACGGAAAGGAAGTACATTCAGAAGGCTGGGCTATCTTAGGCCATACCTCAGAGCTTGGATTTACTCCAAGGATTATAAGAAGCTCTTAGGTGTTTACGAGTGAGAGACTGACAGATCTGATTTGCCCAGTGGAAGGAAAGATGAGAATCTATAGAATCTTGATATGACTCTTCTGTTTACGTTTTCTTTTTTTTGCTTTTTTTTTTTGCTGTAAGAGACAGGGTCTCACTCTGTTGCCCAGGCTAGATTACAGTGGTGCAATCTCAGCTCACTGCAGCCTCTACCTCCTGGGCTCAGCAATCCTCCTGCCTCAGCCTCCTGAGTAGCTGGGACTACAGGCATGTGCCACCACACCTGGCTACTATGTTTTTGTTTTTGTTTTTGTTTTTAATTTTTGTAGACAGTGGAT